>NC_000007.14:157770648-158083713 GCF_000001405.40 Homo sapiens | reverse complement strand
GTCAGGAGCACTCCCTGGTGATGACCACAGCCCCACGCAATGGTGACGCTCGGCATGCGTGCAAGAAAGGACACGGGCTGTGTGGGCCTCTCCTGCGGCCCCCACGTGAAATACGGGGCCATGTATGGGTCACATGCTTCTTCATAGCATAGGGGTCTGGGTCTTTGGACTCTGAGGAACCAAGAACCTCCTCACAGCCTTTAGAGAAAACTTTCAGCACGTGAGGGAAAAATTAGGTTTAGGATATTCCAGTCCCATCTGTCAGGGAATCTTCAGATGTGGTCGAGATTACAGTTTCACAGATGCCGTGTGTAAGCTTGAAGCCCTGTGGCTGAGCTCTCTGTCCTCAGCGTTGTTTCGGGGGTACATGAGTGCTGCTTGTGTTAATGAGGACTTTCTCTTAATTTTAGAAAACCATTCAACCAAAATGTTGAACCGGTCACAAATATGAATTGATCACCTCCTGCGTGGGTGAGGCCGTGGCAGAAATCATCATGCATGCTTCAAAGAGCCCATCCTGTGCTCGGGAAGAAGGAAAACATCTATAAAACGTCTGGTGTGCCATTTGAGCACTAAATATCAGGCACTCAGGGCCCTTCTGGAAGACTGTGGAGACAGGGAGAATCAGCCACTCTCACAGTGCTCACTCGGGAGTAGGGCTTTGAGAGGGGGTAGAACTCAGCACTCATGAGCGAGTGGAACATCGTTGGCAGGAGAGCTGCAGTCCAGGGAGGGAGTGGCCTCCTCCTTTCTGAGGGCCCATAGTGGGGACCAGCAGAGGGCCCAGCCGAGGCACCGTAGACAGGCCTGGGGCCTGGGCTCGAGAAGACACCAGCTCCTGCTCCATGGTCATCCCTGGAGGCGGCTTCCAAGGACATTTTGCATGCAGTAGAGCTGGACGCAGGAAGTCACTCAGCTCTGCTGTGACAGGGCACAGGCTTGGACTAGAAGATCACAGTGGGAACCAAGAGGCAGTGGTGGACATGGTGCATTTTCCAAGGGTTTCCGCAGAATTTGGTGACTAGCTGGATATTCCTGGCATAAGGAAGCCAAAGGGAATATCCGTAAGGTTAGAATGCTGTTTGCTCCTCAGAGCAGGCGCTGATTCAAGGGAGACCTTGTTGAGTTCAAAGTGATGCTAAGACGTCCACATGGAATATTCAGCCATGGTGTTAGGATGGTAATTGTGCTGCCTCGTAATGGCACGACAGTCCCCTTCACCAAGGGCTTGCACATGGAGGAGCTGGCCCTGGCTGGGAGAATGAGCAAAAATCCCAAGGAGGAAGACCAGAGGTTGGGACTGAGGTATCATGAGCAGAGATGTCTGAATCAAAAATACATGTGAGGTTGAAAGGATTTTGGGTGCAAAATCCACAGCCTGGGTGTCATATGCTGCCTTGGGATGAGCCTGTGGTGGAGGGTGTGTGGCTGCAGTGGGGACAGCAAGGGACCCTGGGCTACATGGTACCCAGTTTCACAGCTTAGATGTCAGTGCAGGCACCTCCCAGGGACCAGGAAGCAACAGTCTTAGCTGCCCTCTCCCACCTAAATTGGGTCCTCTTCGCATTTCCTGTCTGTTCCAGGGATTTACTTCTTAGAAGACATTTAAGGGGTCTGTTCCAGGAAGAGCTATCTATGGCTGTCATCTGTGGACATGGGGTCAGTCTGTCTGTCTTTGGGAATGGACCCTGGATTCCTAATTCATTTTGAGATGGCTGTAGGCACAATAATCAGTTTCTACTGCATATGGGGTCTTCAGATGAATTAAATGGTTTAAAAAGTAAGGTATTTTTTCAAAATTGTGGTTGACATAGCATTTAAAAAGCTTTGAACAATTTTGATAATTCCTGTCTAGCAATTCCCTGCCAGTTGTTTTTATACAGAGTAGTTCTTAATGACTTTGGTAGTTTTTTAAATGGTTCCTGTCAAAAGAGTTTAAAAAATACTAGTCTCTTTCCTCTCTGCTCTAGATTCATACATCTCCCTTGGGGACCAAAGACTAAAATCTATTTCAATAACAACTTTTCTTTTTCTCTAGCAAGAATATCTGCTTGCTGTTGCTGGGTTCAGAGGTTGATGTGAATTTTTTAGGATAGCATATTACACTGTGATGTGTGTTTTGGAAAAGCAAAGCCCAAAAACGGAATTCCTGGCAAATGGAAACAAAGGTCATGGTGTGAAGGAAAACCGACGTCCAGTGGAGTCGACGCCTGGAGCCACAGCGGCCTTGGATGTTTGCGTTTTTAAAAACACACCAGTGTTTTCCATGTCGTTTTCAGAAAAGCGGTGTGGCGCGTAGACTTCGTTATGAACTTATTTTAAATTATCCCTTCCAGGGTTCTCGGACCAGCAGTGACCTTCAAAGTGAGCGCCAATGTCCAAAACGTGACCACTGAGGATGTGGAGAAGGCCACAGGTGAGGCTGTTTCCACACACACGTACACGCACACACACGTGTGTGCACACACACACGCACGCAAACACGCACATGCACAGCCAGGGCAGAGAGAGACTCACACTACCCACATGGGGCAACCCAGAGGAAGGTCTCGGTTTCCGTGGAAATCTGGTGTGCAGTGAGGGGACGAGGGGCAGTCACAGGGCAATGTGGCTGTCCGTGGGCACCATCTGGGATTTCACTGTGTGGAGAGGGACTGGGCTGCCCTGATGTGTGGAACTGGCTCAGATAGAAGGCAGGAGACACAGGGCTGCAAGTGACCGAGAACAAATCCGGCTTTTGGAAAAGCAAGATTTGGTGTTTGTAGTAATCCCAGTGTGTGCAGAGCACGTGCAATTTTGCTTTGAGGTTTTTCATTTTGTACCAGACCAGGAGCACACACCGGCCCTGCTCCCGACTGCGGTGGGCAGAGACACCACAAAGTATCTGGGAGGTTTCAGTAAAAACCGGCCGACTTCCAGACGGTTTCACTGTTTAGAGCCCAGGGTTCTGGGCATTGCGAATCACACATTTTTGAGATGTACTTACAGATAGAGCTTGAGTAATCTTTGTTATATGATTAATAATTGTCATTGAGTGAAAAACACAAAGCTTTACTCTCCAGAGTCTTGAAGAACAGAATGGGATGGTGGACACAATGTTGCATTTTCCTCAACCTGCCTTTTTTTTTTTTTTTAAACTTGTTGAAAACTCTTGTAGAGTGTATTGTTTAATCTTCCTGCCTAGTAAGAAAAATACAGGAAGCATAACAGAACCTTAGCCTGATGGTTTTCAGTGCATTAGGGCCATTCCGCAGGCAGGGTGCTCCCGTTCCGTATCATTGATAAGACAGGACGGAACACACTGACCCAGCCACAGCGGGAAATGACACTTGGTTTTAGCCAGTCCTTTATATTGCTAAATCTATGAACTTGTTTTTTTTTTTTTTTTTTTTTTTTTTTGCTTAAATTTGTGTCTTTTTTTCCCAGTGTAAAATGCAGCAAAATACTCTGGTTTATTTCGGGATTTCAATACTTAGTTCTCGTTGATTGAGGCGTCACTGTACTGGCACCCTGTAAACTTGAAGTTTCTTTTTCCAGTGAGAGTAATCAAGGTGTGAAGTAGCCACCATGTTCTAAGGGATGGAGCGAATTGCTGGTCCTATCTGTTTTGGCTGCTGCGGGTTTTGCTTATGGGATATCCTCGTGCCCTCAGTAACTCCTTTGCTCAAGGTGGTGATTTAGGGGGCTGAGAATTTGTGGTTGAAATACAGTGCTTTGCAAAGTTGTACTAAACTTCTGCAGTCTGATTTAAGGTTTGTGGAGACTTGAGTCCCCAGTCTCACTTTGTTGCCATACTTTGCTGTGAGGCTTGTGGAGCTGGGGTACAACTCGGAAAAGCAGCCCAGCATCCTCACTCCAGCTGGGCGGTCCAGTGCGGTCCCAGCATGAAAAGTCAGTGGGATCCATACCAAACACTCCCACGCAAGAGGAATGGGGGGTCCCAACAACGGCTTCAGTGCCTCGTGGCTGCCAGAGCTCCCTCCCTCCATGGCATCTGTTTCGCTTGCTCTAGTTCCCTGTCAGAAGTGATTATTGGAGATATTTAAGACCAAATCCGTGATCAGGTATTATGCAGAAATGCATTGATAATTATCCCATGATTGGCAGTTTCTCCAGTACTGGGGAGCAATGCCACTGGAATTAGGTTTGCAGGACCTCAAGGATGCTAGGAATGGCAATCTTGTTATATTTTTAAAAATCATAACAATATACTCACAGACAAGGACCTTTGATTTATTTTATGGCTCTCTAGAGAAAATGAGGTTGATTATTTGAAAGCTAGTTTCTCAGTCATTTCAAATGTGTTCATGTTATTTATCGAAGTGCTGCACCAAGGGGGAGCCACATAGGAAATGTACATTTGAGTCTCATATTGACAACTTTCTAAACACCTGAATTTGCTAACTTGCACCAGTGCCTCCATGTTAACTCCTGTGGCTGTGTGAGTCAGAATGTTTCTTGCTTCTTGAACGTGTGCAAAATTGTTTACATTCATGCATGATTTTTAAAGAATTATTTTGAATAATTCTATGGTGTCATGAACGTGCCTGATGCTATATAAGAAACAGATTGGCCGGGTGCAGTGGCTCACACCTGTAAACCCAGCATTTTAGGAGGCCAAGGTGGGCGGGTCACTTGAGGTTGGGAGTTCAAGACCAGACTGACCAATATGGTGAAACCCCATCTCTACTAAAAATACAAAAAAATTAGCTGGGTGTGGTGGCTCAAACCTCAGCTACTCGGGAGGCTGAGGTGGGAGAATCACTTAAACCCAAGAGGCAGAGGTTGCAGTGAGCCAAGATTGCATCACTGGACTCCAGCCTGGGCCACAGAGGGAGACCCTGTCTCACAAACAAACAAAGAAACAAAAAAAACCCAAGAGATTATAAAAAAGAATTTTGTGACTGTGAAGATCTTGCAGGTAGGCAGTGGACATGCCCATGTGTGGTGACTGGCCCATCGGCCTCAGGAGAGCGCTTAGCACGGTTGGTGACTGGTGACTCGCCCATTGGCCTTGGGAGAGTGCTTAGCACAGTGACTGGCCCATCAGCCTCGGGAGAGCGCTTAGCACGGTGACTGGCCCATTGGCCTTGGGAGAGTGCTTAGCACGGTGAAGAGGAGCCTCTTACTGAGTTTCAGGTGAGACGTAGACAGGCTGACATGATAGCAGGGAAGAATTTCAAATTCAAAAGGAGTTTCTTATGGTTTGTGTTTTAAAAGATGATGTGGAATCCTAATAGTGTCATCACAAACGCCCTGTGGTGATGGGCGGACACCTATGGAAGGACGTGTGGTGGTGCCTGTGTTACCAACATACAGAACTCAAGAGCCTGCTGTTGAAATTACTGGGAGTGCTGGGTGCTGCCTGCACCTGCCACCTGCCAGCTGCCTGGAAGCCCAATGGCTGCTGGCGTCTGGTTCCCTCAAGGGCCTGAGGACCTGAGGCTGCTGTTATTAATGCGGGGAGATCACCCTGGCGGTAGAATTCAAAGGGCATTCATTTTGCTAATTTTATACAAAATGATACAAAACCTAATGAATAGGCGTGTAGTTAATCCCACATTAGTCCCCATCAAACGTCACGTGGTATTGATGCCGAATGAGAAGGGCAGCTGCTTTCCATTACTCAGCGTCTCCTCTTTATCGTAGGCAATGCTTTCCCGGGAATTCTGCTAATTTATGACCTTGGGTATGAGCACAGGGTATTAGTGAATATTAAAAATAAGTGGGTTTTGCTCAAGGAGGCACTTACTCTACCACAAAGTACATAGAAATGACTGGTAGCTACGTTTAATCTCCGTGGCTCAGTCACATAGTTGAACTGGCAGAAGAGAAAAATCCTTTTTATTCTTCATTTCCTTGGTAGTTTCTTCTTAAATAGTATATTTCTGATCAATTTTTGTATTGCTCCTTTCAAAGAAAAGGAAATTCATCATCCTTTAGAAACTGTTTGCTTTTGCTGGCTCCCAGTCTGCAGAGACCCTCACCCGGTGGCCTGTGGGGCTGCCTGTGGTTTATGAGCTTATTGCCAGGAATCCCCTCCCATGCTCGGCCGTTTCCTTCAGGCCGAGTTCAGGCTGTTTCTTCAAACATTCCCTCTCGGGCGCCACGGAGGGTGTGTCTCTGGCACTCAGCCCTGTGTGGTGGGGGTGTGGCTCATAGGGGGCTCCTGTGCTGACCCTGAATGGTGGGGTGAGGCTCATGGGGGGCTCCTGTCCTGAGCAGTTTCCCCCTTTGACCTCAGCATCCTCCACCTGACAGCCTCTAAGACACGGCATTCAGCTGCCATTGTTTCTTTCAGCCTGTTGGAGAGGCGCCCCGTGTCATTTCAGTAGCGGCGCCTCTGTATTCAGAGGTACGGTGACTTTCCGTGACGTCCTCCTGCTTCTGCCTGTTCGGCATCTTTGTGAAGCTGGTGAGTGTCAGAACAGGGTCGTGTCTGCTGTGCTGCTGTCTGTGTTTCACGTCTCATATGTAGCGGGTCCACATGGAGGAAGAGGCTCCCCTCCTCTCTTGTGAGCCTCTCTTGAATCCCGGCTCAGAACTGGACTCTGTGCCGATGCCTGGACCCCATAGCCCGCAGCGTTCTGCGTTAGTCACAGGCCTCTCTGCTGGAGCAAGGGCTGCCCAGGCTTCTGGCCTCTCATAAAGCAGACAAACGTGCTTATTTTGAAAAGCGTAATGGCAAAGTGAAGTGAATTCCTTTATAACACATACTTACAATCCAGCCAGCCTTAACTATCGACCCCAGGCAGGCATCGGTGCTTCACAGTCTGGTCCGCTCCGTGCGGATTCTGTCTTCGGCAATGCATCACACCTTCCTAAGGTGATATCACTCTGGATGTCAGTGGCCCTGCCCTCCAGAAGCTCCCCCCAACCCCGGTGCCAGGGCTGTTCAGACGGGAGTTCTTAGGGGCAGTGGATGGCACATCGGGGAGGGCAGGGCAGGGCTTAGATGAGGCTCCACAGAGAAGCTGGCCTTTGGGCAGAGCACAGGGACTAGCGTGGGTCTCAGGGGCTGAAGGTGAGAGGAATGAGAATGGTGCAGCCTGGATGTGGGGTCCAGTGTGCCAAGGACATGCCAGTAAGAGGCTGGCAAGGTGGAATTCAGAATCGGACTTCATAGTGTGGGAACTTCATCTTCAGCAGCCACTAAGAAGGACTTGGGCCTGAGTTTCACTGCAGCTGATGGAATCAGCTCCGCTGAGGTGGACACAGGCAGGTTGGCCCCGGGGGAGGGGGAGGGGTGCCTTGCTGCTGCAGCATTGGTCCACAAGCGGCAGACGTTCCTCATCTGACTCCCATGCACCAGCTCCCCAGGGAGGCCACGCCAGGTGGAGCTGCATGCTGGTCACCAGCAGTGGGGCCTAAAGCCATCCACGCTCCCACACACCCACTCCCCAGGGAGGCCAGGCCGGGTGGAGCTGTGCACTGGTGGGGCCCGAAGCCCATCCGTGCTCCGGTACCACCCTCATGATTAAGAGATTGGAGCAAGACAAGAGGAACTCCTGAGCCATGAGTGTGGAAGGGAAGTTGCACTCTTATTAGAAATGAAGGAGGATGCTTTGGAAATGTTCAAAACAGCCACTTGCTGAGAAAATTGCCTCCATGTGCAGGTGAATGAGACACCTGTCAGACTGATGAAAGTGACTCTCCAAGGACCTGCACTCTCCTCAAGGGTCTTCCAGGCACAGGGATCCCAGCGCTCCCCTTCGCCAGACCTCCAGGGTGCAGCTGAGAAACAGCGCCAGAGCAGTGAGACTGGAGGTGTGGCCTGGGCAGCCCGGCTCCAGGTTCCGCTGCACGTGGGCCGCTGTGTCACGTCCTCCATGGAGCTGAGCTGCTGCCAGGATCAACGCAGGCTGGGGGCTCCTGGGCTCCAGCTGTGGCTGGCGTGGGGCTCGTGCTCATCCTGCTGCTCCGCAGCCATGAGGTTGACGATCCCACAGCTCGCCTGGCTGAGGTGTCACCCAGAGTGGGCGAGGGAGATGCTCAGAGGGAAGCACCACGCTCTCCTCCTGCTCTTAGAACATCCCTGACTCACGGCACAGACACAGACGATGAGGAGTAACTAAAAAGAGGAGCCTCTAAGAGAAAAAGATGAAGAAGTGGAGGGCGCGGCGTGGGAAGCGTGGGCCGGTGGTGCTGGTGGGGTCTGCACAGTGGGCCCCGCAGGCTCAGTGCCCGTCTCCTGCTGGACCTGCTGCGTTGGGGGCGGGGAGGGGGCCTGCAGTGTGTGAACCAGCCCCAGCTTGTGTCCAGGGCCACGTGGGCTGGACATGGAACAAGAACTCCCACCTGCACGGGAGCGCCTCCCCTGGGCTGCCGGAGAGACCAGCAGACAGGAACATTGGTAAGGACTATGGCGAGGTTCTGCTGCCAAAGAGCAGGTGCCCTGTGGCTGCAGCCCCAGGAGGTTGTAAACAAGTTTCGGTTTGGATGGAGGCTTTAGGGAATCGGAGATGGTAGGAGCTGCACCCCATGACTCCATTCTGAACAGCCAGGTAATTACTTCTGGCATTTTGACAAGTGTTTGCAGGAGTGGAGCTCAGGGCTGGCAGCACCCAGGACCTGTGCTGACCTTCCCGGCTGCGAGGACAGAGGCCACCCATGGCTCTGTAATTACAAGTCCCGAAAGCCGCCTTCATCATGGCTTTACCCTGAGCGCAGACAACACAACGCTGTGGTAGAAAATAATTGCATCGCCATCGACAGGGCTACCAGCGTGGAACGCCAGGAGCCGCATGTGGGGGACACTCGGGGATACTGCTAAACCAAGGGCTAGGAAACTGCGTTGCTCAGCAGCCACTTTTCTGTGTTTATTTTTACACAGAGGGGGTTTATGCACTGGACATACCACTCATGGGAGCAGCTCGTTCTCACCTGCAAATGAACGAGCAATGCTGATCCTGCTGGCAGAGGGTGCTGCCTTGTCCCCTCCGACTCACTGCTGGGGAGCACCTGGCCCCCCTCCAACTCACTGCTGGGGAGAGCAGGTTCCATTTCATCCTCACTTTCACGTTCATTTAGAATTCATACCCTGATCAGGGAGAAGAGCCCCCAGGGCCTCCAGCTTCCCCTCCACCTCGGGAGCCACGTCGGCACGTCTACTGCGAGGGGCTGACTGTCACAGGTGGCCACGGGAGCTCACCCCTAGTTGGCTGGGGTTTGGGAGCAGCCTAGATAAACACCCATAGAAATGCCACTAAGACCTTTTCATGCCAAAAGTTGTAAAACCCGCTTCTGAAAAACATGAGTGAGAGTTTTGAAGTGCGTGGGATTCTCTGCAGGCTTTCACATGTGCAGGAGGCTTCCGTGGCCAGAGGACCTGTTAGAAACACAGTGAATCACCACCACCTCCCTGCGCCTTCTGTTGCCTGGGAAGCTGCCGAGGGGGTCTCAGCTGTTCTCTCCACGGAACGCCCAGCCTCCCAGCAGAGGGATCGTCGGCAGGAGGCTGTGATGCTGGTGCAGTCGGCTGCCGGGGCAGGTGAAATCCAGCAGAAGGCCCTGTACCCTGGATGTGCAGGAGGGGGTTTTGCTGACGGTGTGACGGTCATGGAGCACACTGTGGGCGTCGCTGAGTTTCCCAAGTATTACTCTTCCCTGCACATGGGTTTCTGTCTTCACTGCCCCAGGCCCCGTGGGGTTAGAGACTGACGGGAGGACGGCAGGATGGCTGGCGGCTGTGGCCAGGACACGTATGTCCTCCTGTGGTAGCCGTCCTAGCCCACTGGAGATGAGCTGTGCTGGAGGGGAGTCCCAGGGGAGCCGCGTCTGCTGGTGAAGATGCCGCTGGGCTGTGGGCCTGGGGGACGAGGCCTCAGGTTTTGCTGGAGGAGCCTGCTGTCCACTTGGCTCTCTGTTTTGCTGTGTTGAAGCCCTGGTCCTTCCATGATGCGAGGCTGCCATGCCTGTTTTCACAGCCTTTTCTTTTCCTCTTTGTCCATAAGCGAATGCTGTTTCCACTCTTTCCCTCACCTCTGAATAGAAAGGGCAGTGTCTTCATACCTTAGTAGGAAGCGGCCTCATCTCCGCATAGAAAGGGTAGTGTCTTTATACCTTAGTAGGAAGCGGCCTCATCTCCGCATAGAAAGGGCAGTGTCTTCATACCTTAGTAGGAAGCGGCTTCATCTCCGCATAGAAAGGGTAGTGTCTTTATACCGGAGCAGAAAGTGGCTCATTTTAAATCAGGGCTGTGTTCTGCAGGGCAGCTGGGCAGGGCATAGCTTTGAGACCTGAAGGAGGAAAGCAAGGGGTGCCCGAGGAAGGTGCACTTGGAGCCTGCAGGGAGAGGCCAGTGCGGCCCTGAAGCCAACGCATGGGCCCACACCCTCCCCCGGGCACCTGGAGACACAACTTCCAGCCAGCACACAGGTGCCCACCATGCTCCTTCCTCCTGCAGCCGCGGCTCACAGGCTGTCTCTGAGCTGAGGGGAGGCCGATGTCTGCCAGAAGCCACTTCTTGGGAGTTCTTCTACCAATATCAGTTCCCATGGCAACTCGACAGAAGCAGTAGGGGCAGAGGAGCCGAGATGGTTCTGAGTGCAAAGATGGTGCTGAGTGCAAAGGTGGTGCTGAGTGCAAAGGTGATGGAGAGTGCAAAGATGGTGCTGGGCACCTACCTCCCCAGCAGATCCTGCCTCAGCTACAGCCGAGCCACTGCCCTCTGTCCCTGGTGGTCGGCCCAGGAGTCCTGCCCTGTAGCTGCACCAGGTCACAAGCCTGGGCCATCTTGGGCAGGGCAGAGGGTTTCTCCTGCTCTGCCATACCTATGGGCCCCTTGGGACAAGCTCAGGTCTTGAGACATGAATTGTCCAAATATTATGACTTTTGAGAGACTCTGAAGGGCTCAATTATTTAAAAAATTATGTTCCGCCAGCCCGTTGGCATCTGAAACTCTCCCTTGTTGTCTCCTTGTGCTTTGGGGACCCTACAGGGCTACACAGCAGCTGGAGTGTGTGGCACAAACCCCTTGGCAGTTGGTGTCCCCTGTGAGTGCACAGTTGATCAGACTAACACAGAGTCACCTTGGTGAGCCCAGGAAAGTTCCTCCTGACACCAGGACTCCGGAGAAGCAGCTCTTGGTTGGAAGGCAGGGGAGGTTCAGTGAAGTCCGAGAGCTGCCTGGGATGGGTAGGGAGGGGTCCCTGAGCACTTGGGACCAGCATGAGGCTATTCAGCACTTGGGAAACAATTGCTCAGAAGCTTGTCTGCTGGGGACGCTTGTCACAGGCAGGTCTTACCTGGTCAACACCTGCCCAAGGCCCCTGGGCTCTCAGGCCTTGCATCTGATTCTTTGCACTTTTCCTCCCAGCACGGGAATGCCAAAGCTCTGAAGGCCCATTCTTGAAAATTTACATGATGATTCACACGGCAAGGCTGGCATCTGAGTCCCCTGGCCCTGTAATCGTTCTTAATAAGGAGGGCACTGCACACCATCAGGCCTCGGACTTATCGGCCAGGACAGCATTCTACGTATTTGCATTATTGGACAAGAGTCCTTGGGTGAGGATGAGTGGGTTAAATGCACGCTGGTCAGCAGAACCAAAAGGTTCAACTGAATGGCATTTAGATCCTACATGAGCACCTCCACCACCATGAGCACCTCCATACTACGAGCACCTCCACCACCACGAGCACCTCCACCACCACGGGAACCTCCACCACCACGAGCACCTCCACCATGAGCACCTCCATACGACGAGCACCTCCACCACCACGAGCACCTCCACCACGGGCACCTCCATACGACGAGCACCTCCACCAGGAGCACCTCCACCACCAGGAGCACCTCCACCACAAGCACCTCCACCAGGAGCACCTCCACCATGAGCACCTCCATATGACGAGCACCTCCACCACCACGAGCACCTCCACCACGGGCACCTCCATACGACGAGCACCTCCACCAGGAGCACCTCCACCACCACAAGCACCTCCATCACCACGAGCACCTCCACCATGAGCACCTCCACCACCACGAGCACCTCCACCACCAGGAGCACCTCCACCACAAGCACCTCCACCAGGAGCACCTCCACCACCACGAGCACCTCCATCACCACGAGCATCTCCACCACCACGAGCACCTCCACCACGAGCACCTCCACCAGGAGCACCTCCACCAGGAGCACCTCCACCAGGAGCACCTCCACCACCAGGAGCACCTCCATCATCACGAGCATCTCCACCACCACGAGCATCTCCACCAGGAGCACCTGCACCATGAGAACCTCCACCACCACGAGCACCTCAACCACGAGCACCTCCACCACCACGAGCACCTCCACCACCAGGAGCAACTCCACCACGAGCACCTCCACCACGAGCACCTCCACCACCATGAGCACCTCCACCACCACGAGCACCTCCACCACCATGGGCACCTCCACTACCATGGGCACCTCCACCACGAGCACCTCCACCACCACGGGCACCTCCACCACCACGGGCACCTCCATACTACGAGCACCTCCACCACCACGGGCACCTCCACCACCACGAGCACCTCCACCACCATGAGCACCTCCATACTAAGAGCACCTCCACCACGAGCACCTCCACCACCACGAGCACCTCCACCACCACGGGCACCTCCACCACCACGAGCACCTCCACCACCACGGGCACCTCCACCACCACGAGCACCTCCACCACCATGAGCACCTCCATACTAAGAGCACCTCCACCACGAGCACCTCCACCACCATGAGCACCTCCACCACCACGGGCACCTCCACCGTGAGCACCTCCACCACCACGGGCACCTCCACCACCAGGAGCACCTCCAGCACCATGGGCACCTCCACTACCATGGGCACCTCCACCACCATGGGCACCACCACCACCACGGGCACCTCCATACCACCATGGGCACCTCCACCACCACGGGCACCTTCACCACCACGGGCACCTCCACCACCACGGGCACCTCCACCATGAGCACCTCCACCACCACGGGCACCTCCACCACCACGGGCACCTCCACACCACAGGCACCTCCGCCACCAGGGGCACCTCCGCCACCACGGGCACCTCCACCACCAGGAGCACCTCCACCACCATGGGCACCTCCACCACCAGGGGCACCTCCACCACCAGGAGCACCTCCACCACAGGCACCTCCACCACCACGGGCACCTCCACCACCACCATGGGCACCTCCACCACCAGGAGCACCTCCACCACCAGGAGCACCTCCACCACCACGGGCACCTCCACCACCAGGAGCACCTCCACCACCACGGGCACCTCCACCACCACGGGCACCTCCACCACCACGAGCACCACCACCACGAGCACGTCCACCACCACGAGCACCTCCACCACCACGGGCACCTCCACCACCAGGGGCACCTCCACCACCACGGGCACCTCCACACCACGAGCACCTCCACCACCAGGAGCACCTCCACCACCACGAGCACCTCCACCATGAGCACCTCCATCACCATGAGCACCTCTACAGCAGTTGGCTGCTTACCTACTGAAGCTGAGGGCAATGGAGCCTCCTTACTCTAGGTCAGTCCCTGCTTTTGGATGTCTGCTGTGTTGGCCATAGTGCAGTGCCCCATGGATTAGGCACCAATCTAGGTCAGGTATCAGCCTCTCCAGCCCTGCCTGGATGTTCTGTGCCACTTCATGGCACCTGAGGTTGGCAAAATGGAAGAAGGAAAAACAAGAGCTTGGAGTTTAGAACTTGAGTTCACAGCACCCTCCCAGCTATTTGCTTGTTTTGTGACTTTGGACGACTCATTGACTGTTTTCAAACCTCAGGGTGCCTTCTCTGTCAGCTAGGGCCAATAGTTACACTCCGCGAGGCTGCATTCAGATCAAATGAAGTGGGAATAATTTGATGTGAGAGCAAAATGTAAAGTCTGAGCAGTTTATAAGTTGTTGGTTGCCATTGCTCACTCAAGATGTCCATTGGCCTTGCGTGCCTGGGCATCCCACGAATGCCTGGAGTGGGAAAGATGCCATGGCAAATCCTCATGAAGTACTCTCTTTTCAGTAGTGTTCTTTACTTGGCTACAAGCAGACAGTAAGATGTCATGGGGTTAGAAGAATAGCAACAATTGTGGGTAAAGAATGGAGGAGGTGGGGCGTGGTGGCCATGCCTGTCATCCCAGCACTTTGGGGGTTAAGAATGGAGGAGGTGGGGCGTGGCGGCCGAGCCTGTCATCTCAGCACTTTGGGGGGTAAAGAATGGAGAAGGTGGGGGTGTGGTGGCCATGCCTGTCATCCCAGCACTTTGGGAGGCCAAGGCAGGAGCATCACTTACCAGGAGTTTGAGACCAGGCTGGGCAACATAGTGAGACCCCATCTCCACAAAAATATTTAAAAATTTAGCCAAGCGTGGTGATGTACCTGTAAGTCCCACACAGGAGGTTGAGGTGGGAGGATCTCTTGAGCCCAGGAGTTCCAGGCTGCAGTGATCTGTCACAACCATGGTCACAACCATGCCACTGCCCCTGAGCTTGGGTGATAGAGCGTGACCCTATCTCTAAAAATTTTGTTTAAAAAGAATGGGAGAGGATCTTGAGCTGATAAGACCCACCGTGTCAGGCACTAAGACATCTTCTTGCAGTGCTGCTCACTCCTCCCTGGACTGTCTTCAGTGTCAAGATGAGGCCGCTTCACTAACGAGATGCGATGATTCGTATGATGCAAAGCCCACGGCTTACAGAGAGCACGTGAAGATGGTGTCGGCAGCAGGGTTATCACATCCTCTGGCAGGCAGCTTGGGAAGGGAAGTTTCAATCTGTGTTGATATTTTAGCACTGATTAAAGGTGGATGTACAATTAGACCTTTTAAATTTAAAGACAGTTTGCACTCTATCAACACCTTGTCTTATTACAGTTGTAATCCATGAGAAAGCAAGTTAAGAATGAGAAGTCATGGGCAAAAGTAATTACACAATTTCCTCATGTGGTATAAAATGGTACAAATTGAAAATCCCATCAGCTTCACAGCCCTTGACCGACCAAAATGACATCCCCCAATGAATGCTGGTGGCAGGAGCTTAAGGTGCTTCCTGCTTAGAGAGATCTGCATTTCTGTTTAGAATGAAGCAGGTGTAGATACCTTAGTTCACAGTGATGATTTGGGCTGAGTGCTCACATTCAATAGGCACCCGGTTCCAGTGGTTTGCGGGGTTTGATGATGCATTTTTAAAGTGAAGCCGTACCAATGCAGGCCCATGCTTCCCTGAGGACGCGGCCTCCGTTCTGCTGAGTGCAAAGGTGGTGCCGAGTGCAAAGGTGGTGCTGGGCACCCACCTCCTCAGCAGCTCCTGCCCCAGCTGCAGTCCAGCCACTGCACTGGGTCCCTAATGGTCCTGGCGTGGGAGCTGTGGCCTGGGCCTCCTGTGCACTGCACCGTACCCTCGGCTGCCATGAGCACGGGCACCCCACGGGGACAGCAAGCTCAGCACCCAGTGGGCCTGATCAGACAGCCACCTGCGTCGTTTCATGGCTTTCTCCTTCATGTTGAAGGAGTGACAGGGACACTGAGGGATGAAGTCCCCACGCTCTGGCCTGCTCTGCTCAGTCAGGGCCGCTGGCATGGGCCGTTCTTCCCCTGGGACTGCACAGCCTGGACCCCCACCAAGTCCTGTTGCCCACCCTGGCTCAGCTCTCCTCCAGCCCAGCATGCCTGCCTTCCTCCCTCCTTTCCCCATACCCGGTCCTGCCATCTCCCAGCTGCAAGGTCCATGCCACCCCACAGGAAGAGCCTCAGCGGCTGTCCTCAGACCCCACCCTGTCTGCCCCGACCCTGCCGCCTCACCAAATTCTAAGCACACCATGACCCGGCCTGCCCTGGTGTGCTGCCCATGGCCCGGCGTGACCCAGTGTGCTGCCCATGGCCCAGCGTGACCCAGTGTGCTGCCCACGGCCCAGCCTGACCCGACCCGGTGTGCTGCCCGCGGCCCGGCCTGACCCGGTGTGCTGCTCTGGGAAGGAAGCCTGGTGGGAACAGTGCTCACTCACTCACTCTGTCACTCGCTCACTCCTTCACGCCTTGTCTCTGGCAGCTTTCGCCACAGGCAGAGCTGCGTGGTCACGGTGGACTGCCCGACCCACAAAGCCTCCGACACTCACTCTCCAGCCCGTTACAGAAACCTTTTCTCAAGATTGTAGAACAGCAGTTCTGCAAACGGGGCCCCTGAGCACCAGCTGGAGGTCGTTAAAAACGCAGACTCTTGGGCCCCACCCCAGAGGTTCAGAACATGTCCTGGAGGCAAGGCCAGCAAGCCATTGGGAGCAGCCCCCAGGGACCTCAATGGCACTGGAGCCGAGTACCACTCACAGCTGCAGTCCAAGAGCTCCTGAAGACAAACCCCTGCCCCCTGCCAGCTGGGAGCTCCTCCACAGTAGACACTCAGCAAATGCCTGCTGGCCGGAGCAGCGGCAGGGAAGGTAGACGACTGCAAGGCATTGGAAACGGCCCCTCTGCATCAGGAGACACCCTGGGTGCAGGAGGAGGCTTCGCTGAAAAGCATTGCAACAGCATTATCACATACGTGGAAATAAGAATTGCATCTCAACCCTTCCCTTGCCCTCCACCCATCTAACATGCCTCAGCCCTCCTGTGGCCATAGTAACCTGAACAGTAACTACAGCAGCAGGCTGCTTAGGTGCCAGGTGTAAGAAGAGAAATTTCATGAAAACAGGAAAATATAGCCTGCTTTTCTCCCCAGCTCTAACCTTTCAACCTATAACTACTCCCTACTGTAATTTTTGTGGGATTTGCTGATATTGAAGGAAGATGATTGAAAATCTGCTTAAGATTTCGTCTTTATTTCCCGCTTGACAGGCCTAGGGCCCCACTGAGGAAGTGTTTCTCTCTGCAGAGCCCTCAGCCACCCCATATGTCCCAGGGATGTGCTCAAGTCACGAGGACCAGTCCTTTGTGTCACATCCTGAGGTCCAGAGTCACCTGCCAGCCTTGCCGTCTGCTTGGCATTATTAATTTTCCCATAAAGTATACAATCTGGGTAAGGATGTATTCGTAAGGGACTTCACCAGGTGAGAGTCACCACAACTCAGGTGTCAGGTGTGTGTTTTCTAAAGCCGATCTTAGCGTTAACGTTCTCCTGTAGGGAAAACTACTTTCTGTCTCTCTACAGTGCCTGGTTTTGGAATTTCTCCACGGTGTTTTGTAAATGTCTTGTGACACCAGCTGAAAAGGCTGTGTTCCTTTGAGCACTCAGAGCCCTTCCATACTGAGGAGTTGGGAGGTGGTTGAAGGAAAGGAAGCAGCACAGCTTAGAGCACATTCTGTGGCAAAACTGCCAGAGAGAGCCTGGGGTAGCCATGCTGCAGGTCAGTGTGCCTGTCGGCCCTGGCCCTGAGCCTGGCAGCCCATATTTAGAGCCTCATTTCATCCTGGAGCCAGAAGGGTGGCTGTTTGCAGAGAAGGCCTTGAATGGAGGGGACTCATCCACCTCATGGAAGGTGCCATCCCAGGCTGGTGGTTGGGAACGGAGAGGGAGGCAGAGGGGGCACACCATCTTGCTGACGGAGTCTTATTTTTTGTGATGCCTCCGAGCCTCAAGACCCCCAAGCTCACAGCCATTCCTTGCTAGAGAAACAAAGCAGCATATTATGTGATTTTCAGAGGAAATAAATGGAAACATACAACGTCATGTCAGAGGGACGTGGGACACATAGGTAAACTGAGGCATGGAAAGAAAGCCCGTCCCTGTGTGAGGTTAGAGAGCCAGGGCAGGATCTTTCCCTGAACGAAACTCTTTGCATGCATTCCTGCCCATCCACCTCTTCCCTTTTAAAAACATTTTCTTCAAGAATTGAATGGCCACATAATTTCTTATTCTAAAATAAGACAGAAAGACAGTGCCATTCCCATGCTCTGGGGTAATTTCCATTTTAAATACGCAATTTCTCCTCTTTTAATAGAAGTCAGATTTCTTTTATCTGTAATTAAATCCAGAATATGGTTTTTTTTAAGGTCCTCGTGGAGTTTTGACTTTACTGTTCTGAAAATGAATAAGAGTTCTGAGCGTCAGTTTAGTGAACAACTCAACTCATTATCCGCTGGTTGTGAAATACAAAACCTTGGTCTGACCCGTGGGGGCCGTGTGGTGGTGGCAGCCCCTGCCCTCCCCCCGGGTCTGATGGCTCCATCTGCCCCGCCAGCCACTGTCTTTCTGGCCGCAGCCCGTTAGCCCAGGGCCCTTTCAGCACTGACCTGAGACTTGGCTCTGACTTGGTCAGATGACCATGTGAACACAGCTGCTTCTGGAGGCCCATATTCCGCAAACCATGCCCCTGCTCACTGCAGGATTCTGCACGTTGCATTTTGGAGTAAGTCTTCGGTAGACCTTACAGGACTCCCCCATGATCTTATGTCCTTGGTTTTCATGAAGGGTGCGAGGTAAGAAACTCATTGAGAAAACTCACCTGAAGCTGCTGAGGAGGCTCCGCCAAGTCTCTCAGCCAGGACACGCCTGAGTGCATCTTGGGGCCCATGACCAGGAGAGACGTTGGTGTTCCTGGTGAACTGCATGGTTCCTGCCACCAGACAGTCAGAGCCACTGCCATGTCAGGCGTTTCTCTCGTCCCGAGTCGGCAATCTCACTCCCAGATTTTGTGCTCACCTGCTTAGCTTCTCTCACCCAGAAGTATGCCAGATTACAGTCAATTACCAGATGCGCAGCACCATCTTTCTGCCTTTCTTCCCCTGGATTACTTGTTTCTCAGCCTTGGTCTTTATTAAGCTGAGTGTTTATGCCTGCGCTGCCTGCAGCCCCTTTGGAAGCAGGTGAAGCATCCATCATCCATAAAATTGGCCACTCTGTGCCCCATCCCCAGGAGGCCCTGGCACTCCTTTCCCCAGGGACACCCGACAGCCCAGCAGTCATCACAGAGCCACGCTGTGACTTGGAGGAGAATGGGGTTGAGCCAGGAGTCAGTTCTGTTGCGGGGAGGGTGACCCTTTCTCTTCCCTCCCCTGCAAGTAGAAAATGTCCCCCCCACCAGTCAGCTTCTGGAAATCACTGGCACAGGGGGGGCTTTGGTGAGTGGGAGATGACAGAGGCCCTGAGGAGAAGAAAAAGGAGCATCTGGGGAGGAAGGAGTCCTTGGCGTCCCTCAGACACAGTGTGTAGATGGCTCTCTTTTTAGCAGCCAGATTCCAGGAAACAGCTGGACAGGAAACCATGGGGCAGTGTCCGGCGTGACCAGTGTGTCCAAGCAACCTCACAGCGCTGGGCTCCCCAGGCTCCCCCGGCTCCCCCATGGCTGTGACCCCAGTCTCTGGCCCCACAGCTCCCTCATGCACCTCCCATGCTCTCCCGGGGGCTGTGGCTGTCCTGGGCATCTCGTCTTGGTCGTCTGGGTAACAGGTCCTGAGAGACGTCCCCAGGAGAATGCTGTGCATGTCCCGGGCTCTCCAGCTGCTTCTGAGCCCTGGACTTGGACACCCAGCACATGTTCAGGTTGCCAGAGTCAATGCGGTTAAACCCCAACTTGCTCGGGATGCCTGTTTGTTAGATGAACTATGTGGAATTCACCCCAGGTTTCTCTGTCCTCGTATGTGGGAAGGTTTGTACTTAGAGGCTGAGACCTCGTCGCCTCTAGCAGCAGGCACAGGCCCCTGCATGGCCACATTCTGCTGAGATGGTCCCTGCTGGTGGAATTGTGGTATCTCACTGAGCATGTGTGTTGTCTTGCTGTATGAGCCCGTGTCTCACTGTGTGTGTGAGTGATTGTATGTAGTGTGTGTCTCTCACTGAGTGTGTCTCACTTTCTGAGCACATACATATGTGTGTAAGTGTGTAGAATGGTCATTAGCTAATTGGTATTAGGTTTTGTCGTGGTTGCCTTCTGGAAACTCTGTAGGGCACCCCATTCCCTGACCTGCTGTGTCCAGAATGGGTGGGTTCTTGGTCTCACTGACTTCAAGAATAAAGCCACGGACCCTTGCAGTGAGTGTTACAGTTCTTAAAGGCGGTGTGTCCCGAGTTTGTTCCTTCTAATGTTTGGATGTATTCAGATTTTCTTCTTTCTGGTGGGTTCGTGGTCTCGCTGGCCTCAGGAGTGAAGCTGCAGACCTTCATGGTGAGTGTTACAGCTCATAAAGGCAGTGCAGACCCAAAGAGTGAGCAGCAGCAAGATTTACTGCAAAGAGCAGAAGAACAAAGCTTCCACAATGTGAAAGGGGACCCAAGTGGGTTGCCACTGCTGGCTCGGGCAGCCTGCTTTTTTCCCCTTATCTGGCCCCACCCACATCCTGCTGATTGGTCTATTTTACAGAGAGCTGATTGGTCTGTTTTACAGAGAGCTGATTGGTCTTTTTTGACAGGGTGCTGATTGGTGCATTTACAATCCCTGAGCTAGACACTGAGTGCTGATTGGTGTATTTATAAACCTTGAGCTAGACACAGAGTGCTGATTGGTGTGTTTACAAACCATTAGCTAGACACAAGAGTGCTGATTGGTGTATTTACAGTCCCTTAGCTAGACATAAATGTTCTCCAAGTCCCCATCAGATTAGCTAAATACAGAGCACTAAATGTTGTATTTACAAACCTTGAGCTAGACACAGAGTGCTGATTGGTGTATTTACAAACCTTAGCTAGACACAGAGTGCTGATTGGAGTATTTACAACCCCTTAGCTAGAGATAAATGTTCTCCAAGTCCTCACTAGACTCAGGAGCCCAACTGGCTTCACCTAGTGGATCCTGCACCAGGGCCGCAGGCGGAGCTGCCTGCCAGTCGTGCACCGTGAGCCCACACTCCTCAGCCTTTGGGCGGTCAATGGGACTGGGCGCCGCGGAGCAGGGGGCGGCGCTTGTCGGGGAGGCTCAGGCCGCACAGGAGCCCATGGCGAAGGGGAGGCTCAGGCATGGTGGGCTGCAGATCCCGCGCCCTGCCCCATGGGGAGGCAGCTGAGGCCCAGCAAGAATTTGAGCGCAGTGCTGGTGGGCTGGCACTGCTGGGGGAACCGGCACACCCTCCGCAGCTGCTGGCCTGGGTGCTAAGCCCCTCACTGCCTGGGGCCAGCAGCGCTGGCTGGCAGCTCCGAGTGTGGGGCCTGCCGAGCCCACGCCCACCCAGAACTCGTGCTGGCCCGTGAGCACCACGCACAGCCCCAGTTCCTGCCTGTGCCTCTCCCTCCACACCTCCCCACAAGCAGAGGGAGCCGGCTCAGGCCTTGGCCAGCCCAGAGAGGGGCTCCCATGGTGCAGCAGTGAGCTGAAGGGCTCCTCAAGCAGGGCCAGAGTGGGCGCCAAGGCCAAGGAGGTGCTGAGAGTGAGCGAGGGCTGCAAGGGCTGCCAGCACGCCATCACCTTTCACTGCCACTGACAGTACCTGGGAAACTGCAGAGCCCCACACACATGTGCACTGACTGTAACAGCAGGAATACAGCCAGCACCTGCAGCCCTGGCTGGTGTCCACAGGACTGAGTTTCAGTCCCATAGCCTTGACTTACCTGTGATGTTGGACACGTTGGTCTCCTCCAGCCTTGTTTTCTCCATCTGTGAACTGGGCCAACGCTCCTCTGCTGTGAGCTGATGCGAAGCCACCTCAGATAACCTCTGTGCTCAGTGCTCTGTGCCATGGCCGTCGCCCGTCGCTTTACTGAGGCTATTGCAGAAGTCAGCGTGGGCTCTGGGCTTCCGCACCAAGGTGCGAGATGCTCACCCCGTGGAATGAGGTTGCTCTGACAGCAGGACCATGGCCGTGCTCATGCCCAGCTCCGCCTTCGTGGGACACCACGCATGGGCACTCCCTCTGGTTGGGGAAAAACTGTCATACTGGATTGTGTTCCTTTTTTGCCTTAAATTATTAGCTGCCATTTTTGCTCATCAAAAAAGTGGCATTAGGCACTTCCACATGGATCGAAGGGCCCTGTCACTAGTGGGTTCCTGCTCAGAGCGTCTTGTGTGATGTTTCATCTTGATGCTTTGACAGGTTAACAACCTTCTCATCAGGATCATTGTTAGGTCCTTCAGGTGTGGTCCTGGGGACCGGTGATGAAGGACACCCCCATTGCATCTCAGCTACGGCTCTTGGACCATGGGCAGCGGTGCTGAAATGACAATCCTGGAGCCACAGCCTTCCTCCGTCCACAGCCAGTGTGCTCACGGACGACACAAGTAATTGTGGACACCACTTTGCCACCACGACTGTTTATGCTGCAGCCCCAGGGGCCACAGCAGCAGCTGGTCTCTCCTCAATGATGGTTCAGCGCCGAGTGCATTGGCGGCACGGTCCATTTCTCTGCCGAGCGCTTGTGTTGTGCCTGGGGTCTGAGCCACAGCGGCAGGTGGATGGGAGAGATTCCCTCGGAACAGGTGTCTGGAGCAGGTGGGTTGCGGGGCCACTGTCAAGCACGTGGGGACTGTGCCTGTGGCTTCATCCCTGCGTGGACTCAGTCCTCCCCTTGTTTTAAGTGGTCCCTGGGTCCTTTGTGCACATCAGTAATTGCAGAGGCGGGACGCGCACTCTCTGAGCGGAGCAGCTTGGCTGGGCTTGTCCCTTTAATTTGCGATGCATCACAACAAATGATTGTAATCAGTCACCGCCCGACGGCGGCCTGCTCTTCCATGACCACCCTTCAGTGAGCCGGCAGCTGAGCGACACGGACAAAGCCGCCTGGCTCAGGGTTGGGGAAAACACTCTTTAGTCAGTAGAGTTAAACCACCTGATTTATTCCATATTGTGGAAGGTCAGTCTGATTTAAGGAAATGTCAGTTTGATAGAATGTTTTGAAAGAAATGCAGCTCATAAATACTGCGCTGAAAGCTCAGCCTTGATACAAGCTCACTTGGTAAAATAACTTAATAAAGGAAACTTTCGATTCAAACAAAAAGCCTTGAAAGGTCCTTCTTCATCCCTCCAGGCCATCCTTCTTAGCAAGGCCTACATGGTCTCTTTCCATGCCATTCATCGCTTTGCAAAACCTTCCCATATTCATAAATAGGCAAAGGTAATGAATGCAATGTCTCTAGCAGGCTGCCTGGTGTGCAGTGGACACTCTGTCAACCATTTCTGGGTGACACCTGCTGTGGGGATAATGAGACCTCCAGAAAGTTATGGTCAAAACCTAACCCCTGCTACCTGTGGATTTGGCCTTATTTGGAAATAGGATCTTTGCAGATGTCAATAAGAGGAGGTCAGACTCCATGAGGGTGGGTCCCAATCCAACATGACTGTGTCCTTAGCAGAAGAGGGGATCACCTCGTGAAGGTACAGACACAGAGAGCGGCCATGCGCAGACAGAGACGGAGAGGTGCCGCCACAGCCGTGGGAGCTGGGGAGAAAGCAGGTTACACACACACGGCGAGACAGTGAGACCTGTGATGGCGGCCGCTGGGGGCTGCATGGGAGATGGGGGAGTTTCTACCCTGCACTGATGTGTCACCGTGTGCAGATGGAGCGTGGCTGCAGTGATGTGTCACTGTGTGCAGATGGAGTGTGGCTGCAGTGATGTGTCACCGTGTGCAGATGGAGTGTGGCTGCAGTGATGTGTCACCGTGTGCAGATGGAGTGTGGCTGCAGTGATGTGTCACCATGTGCAGATGGAGTGTGGCTGCAGTGATGTGTCACCGTGTGCAGATGGAGTGTGGCTGCAGTGATGTGTCACCGTGGGCAGATGGAGTGTGGCTGCAGTGATGTGTCACCGTGTGCAGATGGAGTGTGGCTGCAGTGATGTGTCACCGTGTGCAGATGGAGTGTGGCTGCAGTGATGTCTCACCGTGTGCAGATGGAGTGTGGCTGCAGTGATGTGTCACCGTGTGCAGATGGAGTGTGGCTGCAGTGATGTCTCACCGTGTGCAGATGGAGTGTGGCTGCAGTGATGTCTCACCGTGGGCAGATGGAGTGTGGCTGCAGTGATGTCTCACCGTGTGCAGATGGAGTGTGGCTGCAGTGATGTCTCACCGTGGGCAGATGGAGTGTGGCTGCAGTGATGCGTCACCGTGGGCAGATGGAGTGTGGCTGCAGTGATGCGTCACCGTGGGCAGATGGAGTGTGGCTGCAGTGATGCGTCACCGTGTGCAGATGGAGTGTGGCTGCAGTGATGCGTCACCGTGGGCAGATGGAGTGTGGCTGCAGTGATGTGTCACCGTGTGCAGATGGAGTGTGGCTGCAGTGATGTGTCACCGTGGGCAGATGGAGTGTGGCTGCAGTGATGTGTCACTGCAGATGGAGTGTGGCTGCAGTGATGTGTCACTGTGTGCAGATGGAGTGTGGCTGCAGTGATGTGTCACTGTGTGCAGATGGAGTGTGGCTGCAGTGATGTCTCACCGTGGGCAGATGGAGTGTGGCTGCAGTGATGTGTCACCGTGGGCAGATGGAGTGTGGCTGCAGTGATGCGTCACCGTGTGCAGATGGAGTGTGGCTGCAGTGATGCGTCACTGTGTGCAGATGGAGTGTGGCTGCAGTGATGTGTCACTGTGTGCAGATGGAGTGTGGCTGCAGTGGTGTCTCACTGTGGGCAGATGGAGTGTGGCTGCAGTGATGTCTCACTGTGGGCAGATGGAGTGTGGCTGCAGTGATGTGTCACCGTGTGCAGATGGAGTGTGGCTGCAGTGATGTCTCACCGTGGGCAGATGGAGTGTGGCTGCAGTGGTGTCTCACTGTGGGCAGATGGAGTGTGGCTGCAGTGATGTGTCACCGTGGGCAGATGGAGTGTGGCTGCAGTGGTGTCTCACTGTGGGCAGATGGAGTGTGGCTGCAGTGATGTCTCACTGTGGGCAGATGGAGTGTGGCTGCAGTGATGTGTCACCGTGTGCAGATGGAGTGTGGCTGCAGTGATGTCTCACTGTGGGCAGATGGAGTGTGGCTGCAGTGGTGTCTCACTGTGGGCAGATGGAGTGTGGCTGCAGTGATGTCTCACCGTGTGCAGATGGAGTGTGGCTGCAGTGATGCGTCACTGTGTGCAGATGGAGTGTGGCTGCAGTGATGTCTCACCGTGGGCAGATGGAGTGTGGCTGTAGTGATGTCTCACCGTGGGCAGATGGAGCGTGGCTGCAGTGATGTGTCACCGTGGGCAGATGGAGTGTGGCTGCAGTGATGTCTCACCGTGGGCAGATGGAGCGTGGCTGCAGTGATGTGTCACCGTGGGCAGATGGAGTGTGGCTGCAGTGATGTCTCACCGTGGGCAGATGGAGTGTGGCTGCAGTGATGTCTCACCGTGTGCAGATGGAGTGTGGCTGCAGTGATGTCTCACCGTGTGCAGATGGAGTGTGGCTGCAGTGATGCGTCACTGTGTGCAGATGGAGTGTGGCTGCAGTGATGTCTCACCGTGGGCAGATGGAGTGTGGCTGCAGTGATGTCTCACCGTGGGCAGATGGAGTGTGGCTGCAGTGATGTGTCACCGTGGGCAGATGGAGCGTGGCTGTAGTGATGTCTCACCGTGGGCAGATGGAGTGTGGCTGCAGTGATGTCTCACCGTGGGCAGATGGGGCGTGGCTGCAGTGATGTGTCACCGTGGGCAGATGGAGTGTGGCTGCAGTGATGTCTCACCGTGGGCAGATGGAGTGTGGCTACAGTGATGTCTCACCGTGGGCAGATGGAGTGTGGCTGCAGTGATGCGTCACCGTGCGCAGATGGAGTGTAGTGATTCTACTGCAGTAAGTGGCTAGATTTTCATGGAAGAAAAGAAAACTCTTCTTTATGCAGATTTACTTACAATAGATCATTGTACTTATTTATTTCTAGATAATTATTTGTAAAGCCTGCAACTAAGGAAGCATTCTGTATATGGGTTGTGAGGAGGGAAACTTTCCCATTAAACAGATTAGCAGGAAACAAGGAAAAAAAGATAATGTCGTATTCGTAGACCTGAGGACTTTAACTCCTTCACGGCCCGTGTTCCTTGGGAAGCTTTTGCTGTGTGTCTTTCCAGGTGTGGTCTGGCTGCCGTTGTGGACCTTGTGCACATGAACATGGCAGATGGGGGCAGATGAGGGGTCCCAAGCAGCCACGCTGAGGAGCTTTGGGGAGTGGCGGGGATGCTGAGGCTGGGTTCTTGGAGACTTTGCTGTGGTCCTTTTCCTCATGAGGAAGTGGGGCCTGGGCTCTCTGGGGTCCTCCATGCACCCACTTCCCTTTGCTCAGGAGGGGAGGGCAGCTGGCCGTCTGCCTCACCCACTCCAGGCCACAGTGCCACAGCGTTACGTGTGTTTCCCAAACACAGACTAGGAAAGAATCCAGAACTCTGTTGTGGGGCCAGCAGGTGAGACTGCAGAGGCTATTCCTCGGGTGTACCTGCTCGGTCTGTGACTGACTGTGTTATGGAATCCAAATGCTTGTCCTGAAAAAGAGACCATCATCATTGGGCTTTGCTGCCTGTAACGTGGAAGTTCATCTCAAATCCTGTTTTTCCCCAAGTTTGACGATTCTAGCAGAACAGTCATGGGAGGCTGTCAGGAGATTCAGTTTCCTGTGGGCACAGCAGAAGAGCAAAGTTTCTGGTTCATTCTGTGGTTGCCGAGAGGCAGATGTGCTGGGCAGGTGTCAATAGGAAAAAGCAAAAAGGAGGGAAAGGTGGGTTAAGGGTCATTTCTGTATTTATCATAAAATAGAATTGCAGAGGATTGATGATAGATGCTCCCGCGTCCACAGGTGCTGAGCGGAATCGGGAGCTGGGCAGCGTCCCCGAGTTGCCAATAACCACAGAGGGCGTGACCTTGGGGTCGCTGGGTGGGTCTAGTGCATCTTTTGTTTTTGTTTGTGAATTTTAAAAGCTTGATGGACACATCCGAGGTGGCTGATCATCGGATAAGGGCGACATTGTGAGCCTGGAATGCCACGAGTGGAGCACGCGTCCCGATGTGGGTGGCACAGCTGCACCTGCTTCCACCATGCTGGATGGCCACTCACCGTCCCCTGACCTGGGATGATGCGTGGGACTTAATGTGCAGCTTCTGTAAGGACTCCAAGGGGGTCAATGAGAGGCACTGCCAGGGAGAGCCACTGTCCTGCTGTGTTGATTGTAGGCACTGAACAAGAATCACTCAAAAGCATTGGCAAAATGTAGCTATAAGAAATAGGCCTCACTGGACGCTGGAGAAGCAGCAGCAGGAGTCCAGCACACTCCTGCTCCAGCAGCTGACCGAGCTTTGTGGAGAACGGGTCTGCTGTGGCTGGTGACGGGATGCACACGAAAACATCCCATCGTCAAACCGAGCACCCTTTCAGGGGCTTCTCCTGCCCATCCTAAACCCAGGCACATGTGGAAGTATTTTGTTCTGTTGAAAAATGCACACAAAAGTGATTTTTACAAATGTGTTTTTCCCAACACTTTCCCCTGGGCTCATGGGAGGACGGAGAGAGCACCCACTGTTTGAGCACCAAATCCAGTGCCTGCCGCCCCCATGGGGACAGAGAACAAGCCAGGTGTGCCCCCCTGCTCCCGGCCTCTGTGTGGATGAGGCCCCGGGGAGTGCCTGGTGGCCATGCTGTGATGGCTCAGGGCATCCATTAAGGAGATCTGACCTTGTCTGGGGCAGGGTAACACTCCTTGGCAGAGGTGACCTTTCAGGCGAGATTAGCAGGACCTGCGGGAGTTACCAAGGCCAATACGAAGGCAGGAGGAGCTTCCAGGTGGAGGGAGTGTGTGGGAGAAGGTCTGCATTAGAGCAGAGCAAGAGCCTCCGAAGATTCCAGACTGAAAAAAGCAGCAAGAACCAGACAGAGAGGAAGGGGCCTCGGCCCGGACTCCACCCACAGGCAGTGGGGTCTGGAACAGGGCCCCGTTAGAAGTGTCGCTCTGTGTAGGGTCCAGCCCCACAGGGTCAGTGGGTTTTTCTCCCCGTGTGTGGAGACGAGAGATCATAGAAATAAAGACACAAGACAAAAAGATAAAAGAGCTGGGCCCTGGGGACAACTACCACCAAGTCACGGAGACCAGTAGTAGCCCGGAATGCCAGGCTGCGCTGATATTTATTGGATACAAAACAAAGGGGCAGGGTAAGGAGTGTGAGCCATCTCCAGTGATAGGTAAGGTCACATGGGTTACGTGTCCACTGGACAGGGGGCCCTTCCCTGTTTGGCAGCCGAGGCAGAGGAGAGAGGAGACAGCTTACGCCATTATTTCTGCATATCAGACTTTTAGTACTTTCACAAATTTGCTACTGCTATCTAAAACACAGAGCCAGGTGTACAGGATGGAACATGAAGGCGGACTAGGAGCGTGACCACTGAAGCACAGCATCACAGGGAGACGGTTAGGCCTCCGGATAACTGCGGGTGGGCCTGACTCCACAAGAGGTGGAGGAGTGGAGTCTTCTCTAAACTCCCCCAGGGAAAGGGAGACTCCCTTTCCTGGTCTGCTAAGTAGCGGGTGTTTTTCCTTGGCACTGACGCTACCGCTTGACCACGGTCCGCTTGGCAACGGGCATCTTCCCAGACACTGGCGTTACCGCTAGACCAAGGAGCCCTCTGGTGGCCCTGTCTGGGCATAACAGAAGGCTCACACCCTTGTCTTCTGGTCACTTCTCACTGTGTCCCCTCAGCTACTATCTCTGTATGGCCTGGTTTTTCCTAGGTTATGATTATAGAGCAAAGACTATGATAATATTGGAATAAAGAGTAATTGCTACAAACTAATGATGAATGATATTCATATATAATCATATCTATGATCTAGATCTAGTATAACTATTCTTATTTTACATATTTTATTACACTGGAACAGTTCGTGCCCTCAGTCTCTTGCCTCGGCACCTGGGTGGCTTACCGCCCACAGCTCTGACCACAGTGAAGGGGACGGCTGGGCAGAGCACGAAGGATGGGGAGCAGGCAGGGGCCACCTGGCCTGACCTTGGGCACTGGCGTGCGGGCTGCAGTCTGCAGGTGTCTTGGAGGTGCCAGCAGTGGGATTTGGTGATGGATTGGACAGAGGGGAAGATACAGGAATTAATGGTGCCCGCGCCCCCAGGCACATCAGCTGCAATCATGGAAGGCAGGGCTGACGGTGCTACGGGGCACACTATGGGCAGGACTTGGTTTGGGGTAGGTGGAGGCTCTGGTGCCTGGGAGCAGCCGTGTAGAGGTGTGGGATGGGCAGAGAGGTGCATGCACCCCCATTACTGGGCCCGCCAAAGGGCCTCTCCTGGTTGCCAGATTCTGGAGAGGAGGCTGCACCTGCGAGACCTCACCCATGGGCCACCTGAAGGTGTTCTGACGTGTTCGTTGCATGAATAATCAACCGCAGAAAATAATCTCACGGCATGTTTCATAGACTCGACTCACAGACAAAAACAGCCGGTAAATGTGTGTTTTTCCTTCGTGTCTTCCTCTCTTGCTCTGTCCCCCATCCCACACAGCAGTCTTTTTGAGTGTCTGCAGAAAGGGTGTGGCCTTTCTTTCCTGAGGAGTGTCCTGTCCCCAACCCTGTCCCACTTTGGGACTTCAGCAGTTTTCTTCTTGGTCTCAGGACAAGCACACAGTCGAATCGGCCCACGCATGGGAAAATTTCGGAGAGCTGTGTTCACATCACACTCCACAGGCACATTCCTACTTCACACAGGCCCTAATCAGAATAGTAACTTTTAGCCGAAACCTGTGTGTCAGTGACTTCTCTCTAGGGCCCCCATGCTCTCTAGGGTCTCTGCATCTCTGGGGTCTCTCCGTCTCTGGAGTCTCTGCATCACTGGGGTCTCTCCATCTCTAGGATCTCTGCATCTCTGGGGTCTCTGCATCTCTGGAGTCTCTGCGTCTCTAGGGTCTCTGCATCTCTGGGGTCTCTGCGTCTCTAGGGTCTCTGCATCTCTGGGGTCTCTGCATCTCTGGAGTCTCTGCGTCTCTGGAGTCTCTGCATCTCTGGGGTCTCTGCATCTCTGGGGTCTCTGCATCTCTGGGGTCTCTGCGTCTCTGGAGTCTCTGCGTCTCTGGGGTCTCTGCATCTCTGGGGTCTCTGCCTCTCTGGAGTCTCTGCGTCTCTGGAGTCTCTGCATTTCTGGGGTCTCTGCGTCTCTGGAGTCTCTGCATCTCTAGGGTCTCTGCATCTCTGGGGTCTCTGCATCTCTGGGGTCTCTGCATCTTCCGCAGCGGCTGTCCCACAGCTTATTTACAAGCAGCTTCGGGCAAATGCCTGCCATGTTTAAATACATCTCCTTTTACCACATTAAACCTATTGAACCTCTTTACGTGTGTTTATAAAACACACCAGGAAAATGTTTCTTTCCATTTTGTCATACCATTCGTTCCTCTTCAGAATTTCCCATAATATCAGAAGCTAAAGCTGGTTCTGAATTCTTTTCTTTTCTGTCTTCGCTGTTTTCCCCTTTTCTGTGATCTTTAGCTACACGTTAATTAAACAGTCAGAGCCACATCGGAGTTCGCTGTGCTGTGAGAGGATGCTGGGCCCTTCCAGTGGTGCCTGCAGGCCCTCCTTTCTCATCCAGCTCATGTTTCTCCCTCAGTCACTATGGCTCATCTGCTCCAGTTGTGAGATTTTCCTACAGTGTCAGTCATTTTTAAAGCGCCTTTTAGTTCCCAGCTGCAGATGGCCCAACCATGAAGGCACACTCAGAAATTCCCAGGTAAGCCTGTGTCTCCCCAGCCATAAAAATTCCTCTAGGTTAGTTTATGAAAATCACTTTTATTGACATGACTTGAAATTGAAAAAAAATCCCCTCCCAGGACTGAGAGAGACTGTGCTTCTGGGGGTTGTGCCCACTGGGTGCTTGGGAAGCAGACGCCAGGGTGGGATCGATGGGGGCCAGCCTGGGCAGGGAGAAGGCGGCAGAGCCTCAGACCCCAGCAGGAGCCCCCGAGGTGCAGTTCGCAGAAGGGCGGCACTGGCCAGGGAGGGCTGTCCCTGTAGCCCAGGGAGCTTTGTCCTAGGCTGGGGACAGCCTGGGTGGAGCCTGGCCTCGAGGGAACGTGGTGGACCCCGAGTGGCTGGGAACTGTGGCCAGGTGTCTCCAAAAGATCCAAAGGGCACCCCTCCACAGCCCCCTCGAGGCAAAGCAGTGGCTGCACCCCTCTACCCTCTCCAGGAGGTCCAAAGGGCACCCCTCCACGGCCCCCACGAGACAAAGCAGTGGCCGCCCCCCTCTACCCTCTCCAGGAGGTCCGAAGGGCACCCCTCCATGGCCCCCACGAGGCAAATTAGTGGCCGCACCCCTCTACCCTCTCCAGGAGGTCCGAAGGGCGCCCCTCCACGGCCCCCACGAGGCAAAGCAGCGGCCGCACCCCTCTACCATCCATGCGGCGGAGACTCAGGGCTTCCCCAGGAGGCTGGGTGCCTTTGGTGCTGATGCTCTTGGTGGCCAAACCACACTTAATTTTATTTCATTATTTTAAGAACTTCCCCCAATAACCCACAGAACCAGTAGTCACTGCTTCTAGAGGAATCTAATTAAGGCTTTCTCTCTGTCTTTAACTTTCGCAATCCAATTTTCATACCTGGGTTTCTTCACTCCCTTCTAAGAGGAAGTCGGAAACCAATCAACAAATGAATAGAACATCAAAGGCGATCACTTATGATGGAGAATGCATAATAAACATTAGCACGTTTCACAAAAACATTTCCTCCCGTAGAAGTCATTGCCATATTAATTTAATCCTGCTGTCTAAGATAATATAATCTCTTTGAAACAGTCTTGACTTTAGTGCACAGGGACTTTTCTGGATCAGAGGCGCAATTTCCATCGCCTGGTGAGCTAATTGGATGTGGCAGCCTCCTATGCAGATGGGGACTCTCTTGTCAATGGCCTCCCTTCAGAGACAAAGAGAGACAAATGTCTATATTCATTCCCTCCCCTCATGCATGAGTAACACTACCTTTTCCCTCTTCCTCGCTCTCTACCAGGTAGTCACCGCACATTTAAATCTTAGCTTTTGTGTTTCGAGCTGGCCAAGCCTGCAAAGCTGTTTACAGATGCCTGGCAGCCGGGCCTACTTGTTTAAGTACAGTGTGTATTTTGACATGTAAATTTACATGAGGCATATTTAATCAGTCACAGTGATATGCTAATTGGATTCATCTGTGAACTGAATAAAAAACACATCTAAAAAAAATGAAGTGAACATATTACCAGCTGAGACACTTTGTAATCAGTGCTGAACGTCACCAAAAGGGGAAAAGATGAAGGTGGCGGGCGCTCGCCGGGGGAGCACGACATGGATGTAATTCAGTTAGCCACTTTTCCAGCTTCCTGAGACAGACAGACAGACAGACACAGCTACTGCAAAAGGCCTGCTTTTGTCCTCCTTGGTGCTAATCAGCCAGGAACCTTGGTGCACCTGACACAGGGAGGGTATGTGAGGCCTTTGCAGCTGCTGGCAGACAGACTTGGGAGGGACCCAGGCTGGGGCCAGCAGCTCCTTGGGAGTCTTGGGAAGTTCTGATGTTTGAGGGGAGGGCTGTGCTTCCTGTCCTTTAATGTCCCCACAGTCCCATAATAGCCTAAGAACTGGGTTACATCTGGAACGGAGATCAGGCAGTTTCCTCTCTCTGCACTGTGCCGTCTCCCCTCAGCAAGCTGGTCCAGAGCTGGGCTGGTCCACAAAGTGACACTGCTGAGAGCTGGCTGACACTGCTCTGTGCTGGATGGGGCCCTTGGGGACAACATAGTGCCCTCCAGACCCCCAACAGATGCCCCCTGCAGATGCCCCCCATGGGCACTGCTAGCATCTGTGGCTTCTCAGATGTACACACCACATCTCTGCATTTCATCTTTTGGGCAGAGACTGGCAAAGGAAGAAGAAATCCCCGGGGTGGCTCCACCGCCATGGCGTGCCCCTGGGTGACCTTCCACTCCAGGTGGCTGTTGTCTCAGTGCTCCTCACTCCTGCCGTGGGGAGAGCACTTCCAGCGGGAGGGGCAAGCATCCCTGAGTGCAGCCAGAACCCAGACGGGGCTGCTGAGGCCTCTGAGCTTTCAGTGCCTCTTTGCATAAAGAGGTGTGCACAGAGGAAGGAACAGGACTTATTTTCTTGGTAGGCAGGTACTTGAGGAGATGGAGACTGGCATGGAAGAGTCGTGTGGGGGACAGAATGGTGTGGGAACCTGGCCTGGCCTGAGTCTTCTGCAGAGAAGGAGGCCTTCCCTACCCACCCTAGCACAGAGCTCAGCGTGACGGGGGAGAGCGGGGCCCGAGCTGTGCTCCTGGCACCTGGGAGGGTGTGCAGCTGAGGGAAGCCGGGAGGCTGTGGGATGCAAGCTGGGTGGCTCCTGCATCTTGGGGAAGCTCAGAGAGAACCAGAGGACTGTCTGGATGCCCGAAAGACTTCTAAGAACAGCAGGAGGAGTTTCCAGAGGGAGTTGGCTTGAGGCTCTGCAGATGGGAGTCAGTAAAAGGCATTGAGGTTGCTGTGACTTTGTTGTCACTGGTAAATCTGGAGGACACTGAGCCAAAGAAATGTGAAGGAAAATTGCACCCAAGATATTTTCAAATTGTAGCTTAGTAGAATTATGAATTAAGTTTTTCATTGATTCTAACAGAAGGTAAAAATATAAGCATGATCACTTTAGAACATGAATAATCTACAAAAGGCTGCATTCCCTGAATATTTTCACTCTTTTTAAAGTAATTCTAATAACAGTGTTTTAAACAGTAACCTTTCTGAGGCCACTTCAAAAGCATTCTGACTTTGATGTACCTTTTCAGGAACACGCTTGTTATATAAATCACAATGTGCCCATTACCCTACATGTATTTTATTTCTTTCCTAATAAAATGGGGGTCACTAGCAGTGAATTAATGTGTGCCTGCATCATTCCCTGCCCCTTTCAACTCCTTCAGGAACCAAAGGTAATAGCTACATTGCAACAAATAAGAACTGAGCACCACATTTCTATCAGGTTGCATTTTTTTTTTTGAGATGGAATCTTGCTGTGTTGCCCAGGTTGGAGTAAAATGGTGCGATCTTGGTTCACTACAACCTCTGCCTCCTGGGTTCAAGCAATTCTCCTGCCTCAGCCTCCCCAGTAGCTGGGATTATAGGTGCCCGCCACCACGCCTGGCTCATTTTTTGTAATTTTTAGTAGAGACAGGATTTCACCATGTTGGCCAGGCTGGTCTTGAACCCCTGACCTCAGGTGATCCACCCACCTCGGCCTCCCAAAGTGCTGGGGATTACAGGCATGAGCCCCTGCGCCCGGCCTCAGGTTGCATTCTTTGAGGACCATGTGGGATCAGCTGTGAGGCTGGTGCCATGGAAAAATATAATGTTGGGCCGAGTTCCTCAAGGAACTTCAGCTCAAGGATCAGCTGAGGGTCAGTCCGAAAGAGTGAGTCCTGGCTTCAGGCCTGTGGATGCTCAGGCAGCAGTTCAGGAGGTGAGATGAGCATGAAGAGCTGTGAAAGGAAGGAAGACAGGGCAGAGCATGTAGTGTCGGAGTTGGAGTCACCCACCAGTGTAGCAGAGAGGGCTGAACATGTAGAGGAAGACGGCACAGAGAATCGGGAGTGGAGATGGCTGGGGGAATGATGGGAGATGCCCAACTGAAAGGACAAAGGAGGAGTTCCAGGGCCACCAGTCAGATGGAGATGCTGATGACAATGATGATGATGATGATGATAGTGATGCTGTTGATGGCGATGGTGGCAATGATGATTGATGGTGATGGTGATGATGTGATGATGATGATGATAGTGATGCTGATGATGGCGATGGTGGTAATGATAGTGATGCTGATGATGGTAGTGGTGGGATGATAGTGATGATGGTGAGGGTGATGATGGTGTTGGTGATAGTGATGATGGTGATGGTGGTGATGTGATGGTAATAACGATGATGATAGTGATGATGATGATGGTAGTGATGGGACCATAGTGATGATGGTGTTGGTGATAGTGATGATGGTGATGGTGGTGATATGGTGATGATGGTGATGGTGGTGGTAATGTGATGGTGATAGTGATATTGGTAATGGTGGTGATGCGATGGTGATAATGGTGATGATGATAGTGATGGTGGTGATGGTAGTGGTGGGATGATAGTGATGATGGTGAGGGTGATGATGGTGTTGGTGATAGTGATGATGGTGATGGTGGTGATATGATGGTGATGGTGATGGTGGTTGTGATGTGATGGTGACAGTGGTGATGGTAATGATGGTGATGGTGATATGATGATGGTGGTGATGGTGATGGTGGTAGTGGTGATGTGATTGATGATGATAGTGATGATGATGATAGTGATGATGATGATAGTGATGGTGATGATGGTGCTGGTGGGATGATATGATTATGATGCTTATTGATGGTGATGATGGCAATAGTAACAATGATGATAGGGATATACATTATTCCTATGTAACTTACTCACCTTAAAATACATCATTCAAGTTTTCAGAGTCAAGTCATGTTCCCTTGCTATGAAGAAAACTTAAGTCTAAGAAAATGTAACATGAGGACCAAGAGGAGATGCCCGTGGCTAGCAGGACCTGGTGATTTATAGATGCATGTAGGACTTTTCCCCACATGTTTCTACATGGTCTGTAAGATAAGGAGAGTTTCTGATGCTATAGAGCTCTCACATTGCAGAGATGAAAAGGCACCATTTCCCCAATATTTTATGATGAAAATATACAAACAGAAAAGTTGAAAGAATGGTACTGACCTGTGTGTGTGTGTGTGTGTGTGTATACATATGTGTATTCATGTATGAGTTTCTATCTAGACAGAAAGTGTCCTTAGAAGAAAGTGTGTATGCACCATTCTTGGCCACCTTCGATATCCATCGGGTCCCCTGTCCCTGTTGCTCTGAATTCGGCCCCATTCTAGCTCTTCCTGCCTCATGCCTGAACAAGGAGCTGCCTTACGTGTGTTCCATGTGCTCGGTACTCCTACCCCCAGGTCACCTTGCACTGCCCTGTTCATCCTCCTGTAATGCCACATTGGTGGGTTGCTGACTCACTTGAGAGCTCCCGGCTTGCCCATTTTGCACTGAGAAAAGACTGGCTGCATGTTGCTCTGTGCTTTGCTGTGCAACCCAGCCTCAGCTCTCCTTTGCAGAATGGACCTCAGCTGCTTCTAGTGCACCAGCTGTGCCCAGCAGCTGTCCCTCCCCGGTGGCCTCTAACATGCCATCGGCTCTGAAACGCCAGATGTGCCGTGCCTCCTCTCCCAAGCGCAGTGACTGCAGGCAGCCCTCACATGCTCAGTGACTGCAGGTAGCCCTTGCACTCTCAGTGACTGCAGGCAGGCCTCACACACTCAGTGACTGCAGGTAGCCCTCGCACCCTCAGTGACTGCAGGCAGCCCTCACATGCTCAGTGACTGCAGGCAGGCCTCACACGCTCAGTGACTGCAGGCAGGCCTCGCACAGCACAAGTGGCCTCTCCTTCCCTGAGGTGTGCAGTGGCTCCAGCCTCTTTGGTTGTGGTTACTAAGATTGCCCTTGGACATGATGTGTGTATACTCCTTGTTTATTCTCCTGAGCTGAAAGCTCCTTGAGAGAAAGGGAACTGAGTGACCTGCCCTCGGCTCCTGGCCTGTTCTGCATGGCCCATGGGCTCCAGCCTGGCTTTTTTGGACTTCGGTGACTGTGCTTCTTCCCTGCTAAACCTGCCCATGGGGACTGTTGTATTCATCTGTGTGTTCCTCAGAAAGTAGCAGTGTGTGTCACACAGAGTCTGCACTCAGCAAATGCTCTGTGACCAGATGAGTTTGCATGAGAGAGGAATGGGATGTGGTTTGAGTTGAGTGTATCTGGAGGCTCCATTCCGGGGCGAGGGGCGGGGGCGTTTTTAGGCCAGGCCTCCCTCGCAGCCGCTCGCCTCCCTTGTGTAAACCTGATTGCCTGCCCCTGTACTGATCCTGCAGGATTAAGGTTAAATTAAAAATAAGCATGGATGGATTTAGATGGACTTTTTGGTGAGTGGGCGGAACTGGTGCAAAGCTAGCGGTACACACACCAGGAAGGAAGACAAGAGCTCGGCGCCTCAATGGCAGATGAGGGATTATTGCTGAGAAACCCGTCCTGCCGTCTCCAAAATGTCAGGTTAGGAAATCTGCTTCAGGAAACTCAAGAGCATGCCAAGGTGGCTAACAGGGATGGCTTTTCCCTGTGTTCTGACACCCAGCCCGGCATCCTCTCCTGGTTCCTGCAGCCACAGTATTTTAAAGTCTCGACATCCTTTAGTCCCAGAGCTGCTGCATAACAGTGCATTCTTAGAAACCAGCTGGGCCTCAGGTCATGGTGGAAGGTGTGGTGCTGAGAACCTGCCACATGAGAAATCGCGGGATTGCCTCAGTCCCTGAAGGGCAGTGCACAGAACAAGACAGTGTCAGGATGCCAGGATTGCAGTGTCAGGATGCCAGGATCGCAGCGTCAGGATGCCAGGATCGCAGTTTCTGCTCCTGGACAGAACAAGGCAGTGTCAGGACGCCAGGATCGCAGGTTCTGCTCCTGGACAGAACAAGGCAGTGTCAGGACACCAGGATCGCAGTGTCAGGATGCCAGGATCGCAGCGTCAGGATGCCAGGATCGCAGTTTCTGCTCCTGGACAGAACAAGGCAGTGTCAGGACGCCAGGAACGCAGGTTCTGCTCCTGGACAGAACAAGGCAGTGTCAGGATGCCAGGATCATAGGTTCTGCTCCTGGACAGAACAAGGCAGTGCCAGGATGCAAGGATTGCAGTGTCAGGACGCCAGGATCACAGGTTCTGCTCCTGGACAGAACAAGGCAGTGTCAGGACACCAGGATTGCAGTGTCAGGACGCCAGGATCACAGGTTCTGCTCCTGGACAGAACAAGGCAGTGTCAGGACTCCAGGATCGCAGGTTCTGCTCCTGGACAGAACAAGGCAGTGTCAGGATGCCAGGATCGCAGGTTCTGCTCCTGGACAGAACACGGCAGTGTCAGGACGTCAGGATCGCAGGTTCTGCTCCTGGACAGAACAAGGCAGTATCAGGACGTCAGGATCGCAGGTTCTGCTCCTGGACAGAACGAGGCAGTGTCAGGACGCCAGGATCGCAGGTTCTGCTCCTGGACAGAACGAGGCAGTGTCAGGATGCCAGGATCGCAGGTTCTGCTCCTGGACAGAACAAGGCAGTGTCAGGACGCCAGGATCACAGGTTCTGCTCCTGGGTCTCTCACTGACTAGCTAGCCAACTATTGGCAAGCCCTTTGCACTCTCTGTTCCTTAGGTTTCAAATGATAAAACAGGATGTCTGTGCTAAACAATCTCTGAAATCTGCAATTCAGAGACCGTCTCTGAATGTGCCAGCTGCGCCCACGTCCTGGGGCACACCTCTCTGATTCTTCTTTCCTCTCCTTCCTGTTTCTCATGTCTTGCTATGGATGTGAGTATTTAGAATGCTGACACAAGGCCAAGACCACCAGGAGATGTGGGTGCTCTGAGTGGCATTTATCTGGATAGCTGGGATCTTTACCATGGAGAAGTGAAAAATTAGAAATCTGATTAATGTAAACATCTTTCCAATTACTTTTTTAATAAAAAATTTATTTCTCCAGCCATTTGGAGCTTCCCGACAGAGGGGCTAGCTCAGCCTCACGGATTTGTTGCTGCCTGCTGGAAACAAAGAATGGGCTGCTGTGCGCCACATGACTGCTGTCCCAAAGCCACCAACTTTCTTTAAAGCCGGGTCAGATATCAAGCTTCCAGTCATGGAGGCTTTTGGGTGGTTTCAGCATCAATCTCTGATCAATTCAGGGGTCAATATCATGCATATGTGTAAGTTCAGCCCAGTAGGGTTTAAGTGGATAGCACCATATTTTAATTTAGAAAGGCTTTCTGTAAAATATAACCGAGCAGTGGTTATTGACATAACTCTCAAGGGTGTCTAAGGAAGAGAAGTTGTTGTTATTGTTTGGGGCTGCCCTTCACTGTTTATAATTTTTCCTGTCTGTGATGCTCCTCCTGGTGTCCTCCAGGTGCTCTCGTTGAGAATTAAATGTTGCTCCTGCAGCAGACTCTTTTGTACTTAGTCATCGCCGAACTGGCACCTGTCGGCCTATGGTGCAGGAAAAGATCTCTTTTCCAAGTAGCAGAGAAGATGTTAACCTGGGCCACTTGAGCCCTGGACACTGTTTCTGAGGCAGAGCTCCCATCTTGGTCCCCTGGGACCAGCTGTGGTCTCTTCAGCACGGGTTCTCCTTGTCCCCTGTGGCCTCCTGCAGCCTGTCCTCTGCTGGTGAGTTTGGTTGCAGCAGAGTCTTTACAAATGATCGAGGCCCCGAGCTCTCTGTGCCTGCCTGAGAGCCAGAGGCTGACCCTGCCTGAGCCCTGGAGACTGTGCTCTCTTTGGTGATGCAGATAATTTAGACCAAGCTCCAACACGTTCCCATTTAGTAGGAAAAAGAAAGACACACACATTGGAGTGCTTGCTTTGTTTTTATGAATTCCTATGCAGGTGCAGGATGTGCGGGGAGAAGGGGCCCCAGAGTCCTGTACAGATTCAGCAGCAGTGAGGACGCCCCCCACCCCTGCCTCAGGGCTGTGGCCGCCCACAGTCTGCTGGTTCAATTTTCTCCTCCAGAGGTGAGCTCCCCAGACGCACCAGCTTCAGGATTCCCCCTCCTGCCTCTGTGCCACTTAAGTGTTTTTTATTTAACCAAGACTTTCTGGACATTTCTTCAGTTGCTGACTTTTAAAATTGTGTAACTCAGATAAAGCTATTCTAAATTTTTTTATCTGAAACACCCTGCAGGGTTGCTTTGGGAGTTAATGACTTTTATGAAAATCATGTGTGGCAGGATGTAGTCCATAAGCATAAGATTTACATATCCTCACTGCCCATCACAGCCTCGGCGTGTGGCCTTTCTCTTTATGCTTTGCTCCCTCTGCCACGTCGAGTGACGTGGTCAGCGTACGTTAGGTGCTCAACACATTTTTTGAGCAAATGACAATCAGTCTCACACATTTTATGTAATTGCTAAATGCTGAGCCAACTGTGCAGGATGGTCTGTGCGCTTCTCCCCTCTCGCCACACTGTGAAGTGTCATTTCTGAAGAAATGGTGGGTCTTTCCAGAAGTGTCTGCAGTGCCGGGAAGGAAGGCTTGCTTACTTGGGTGCCCTGGCATTGAGAACAAAGGCTGGTGAGTAGGTTTATAAATGTCAAGCTGCATTTCCTGGCAACCTGCCTTGTGCTCAGAAATTGGCCTCTTTAATGCAGACGGCCTTGCAGTGAGGTCAGGCCCTTCTCCTTCCCATTCACGGCCATGTCTGCCACCCAAATGCCATTCTCTCCTGCAGGAGCTTGGTGCTGGGGAGATATTATTGTTGGTGAGTATTTTTGTTGAAAAACTTACCAACCCTTTAAAGTCAGGTGACGAGAATGGGAGTCCCTCTGATGTTCATCCCTGATCCCTGATCCTCCTGTCCCTGGTCATGAGAGTCCCTCTGATGTTCATCCCTGATCCCTGATCCTCCTGTCCCTGGTCATGTCTACACCCAGGACACATCTCTGATTTAACTAATAGGTAAGAATGTTGTTAGTAAAGGTGACACTTTTTTCTGTCCATGGGATTAAAACCTGGGATTTGCTCCCTTAGATTAGAGGAAAGTGTTCCCCTCCACATGGCACATTACTTTTATCACTAGGAACTTTTTTTTGGTATTTTTTTCTTCATGAGATGGGGTCTTGCTATGTTTCTGAGGCTGGTGTTGAACTCCTGAGCTCAAGTAATCCTCCTGCCTTAGCCTCCCGAGTAGCTGGAACTATGGGCATGGCCACCACGCCCATCAGGAGCTTTTCACTGTAACTTCCCCCAAACTTTCCTCCATTTTTTTGGTCTCTGTCTTGGAATGGCAGATGCGTTGCACACTGAAGGATTCCAGAACCTCCAAGAGTGTTTTGCTTTGTATTGAAATATGGAATTTATAAATGAGGAAACTGTTACAAGCTTTTCTTTTAATTATGAAAACAGCATAATACAAATAAATTCAGAGGCAGTTCATAAAACCTGTTTTCTAGTAGTTTCAGCCGTAAGTCTCTGCAAGCCAGTACTCCCTTTCTTCCCTGGCACAGTGGGCAGCAGATGCTCGTCACCCTGGCCCTGAGACACTGTCACAGACACCCATCGGATTCTTCACTATGGTGTCTATCAGCCGGCTGTGGCTCAGGACAGCCAGGTCCCTTAGGAAGCCCTGGGCCTGGCCTGCCCCTGCCCTCCCGAAGCTTGCAGGCAGGATACCAGCAGCACACAGCAAAAACGTGAACTCAGCCGTGACGGGATACTGCGAAGATGTTAAGTGCGGGGAAAGTAAATGGAAATGTTATATTTAGGATTAGTTCACAGTTCCATGGATCTCTCATCTCTTTCTGAATAAATGATTCATGCGTGTGGTAGAGAGTGCATTACCCTGTGCTGCAGAGAGTGACGTGGATCCTACCCTGTGTCTGGTGCCTGAACTTGTGCAGTTCTGAGCTGTGTTTGGCTTTGCTCCGAAGCGGCTCACCATTGATGGGAACACTGAATCCACCGGAACTCCCGACCCCTCTGCTGGGGAAGAGTCAAGCACGATGGGGCAGTCGGATGAGCTCCTGGTCTCTGCGTTTCACTCCCCTGACTTCTTTTTTCTGGACGTTTGGAAATCCATTCTCTGGTTTCTGTGGGTATGAAGTATGCACCCAAAAGCTGGTGTTTCAGTGCCCGTGGCATCTTGGTGCATTGCATCACGAGATGGAGGCCCCTCACAGGCTCTTTCGTGGGCAGAAAGTGCGTGTCCAGCCGCACGATCTACTGGGCCTGTGATCGTTCTTGTGATACAGATATCTTTCTTTTGACATTGGTCTTTGCTGAGGCTTAAAGCAGGTACATTTTTACATAAAGAATTCAAAATGATGTGATTACTAAGAGTGTTGCAAGATACAAGGATAGTAAAGGAGCCTGACATGGCTGAAGGAAGTCTGTCCTTTCACCACAGACTCAGCCGTGGGTAGGAAGAAGTGTGATTGGGAAGGGTCACATGTCAATGACAGCAAAGACTTAGAGCTGGCCTCAGAATCACCAAGATCATGCAATACTCGTTTCGCTTTTTTGGACCCAAGCACGCAGGTTTCTCTTTGGCCATAGATTTTTCAAGAGACTAAATATTGACTATTTGTAGCCTTCAATTGTTTCTTTTCTTTTCTTTTTGTTTTCTCTCTCTTTTTTCTGGAGACATAGTCCCTCTCTCTTGCTTAGACTGTCACCGAGGCTGGAGTGCAGTGGCAAGATCTTGGCTCACTGCAACCTCTGCCTCCCAGGTTCAAGCGATTCTCCTGCCTCAGCCTCCTGAGTAGCTGGGACTACAGGTGTGTACCACCACCCCAGGCTAATTTTTGTATTTTTAGTGGAAACAGGGTTTCACCATGTTGGCCAGGATGGTCTCAAACTCATGACCTCAAGTGATCTACCCACCTCAGCCTCCCAAGGTGCTGGGATTATGGGCATGAGCCACCGTGCCCAGCCTCAATTGTTTCTTTATTGCAATGTTGTTAAGAACTACTTAGAAAAAAAGCAATAAGCTATTATTGATAATACAGATGATGCATTTGTATTCTTGCTGTGAACTTCCCTTTATAACTAGTAGATCTCTTCCAAGTACCCTGGCTTCCTTGCTGTTCCTCAAACATGCCAAGCAGGATTCTCCAGGGCCTCTGCAGTGGCTCTTCCTGGTGGTGCCTGGAATGCTTTCCCTGGTATCTGCTGTGTCTTGTTTAGATCCGAGTGTCGGACCTGTGTCACTTTCCTTCTGTCAGAAGAGCTTCTTTTAACACTACTTGAAAAGCAGGTGGACCGGGCGTGGCGGCTCACGCCTGTGATCCCAGCACTTTGGGAGGCCGAGGCGGGCAGATCACGAGGTCAGGAGTTCAAGACCAGCCTTGCCAACATGGTGAAACCCTGTCTTTACTAAAAATACAAAAATTAGCCAGGTGTGGTGGTGCATGCCTGTAATCCCAGCTACTCGGGAGGCTGAGGCAGGAGAATCACTTGAACCTGGGAGGCAGAGGTTGCAGTGAGCTGAGATTGTGCCATTGCACTTCAGCCCGAGCAATAGAGTGAGATTCCATCTCAAAAAAAAAAAAAAGAAAGAAAAAAAGAAAGGCAGATCAACTGCTGACAAATTCCTTTAATTTTTGTTTGCCTAAAAAAGTCTTTATTTCTTCTTCAGTTTTGAAGTATTATTTCACTGGACATAGAATTTTAAGTTGGGTGTTTTCTTTTAACATTTTCAATATTTTACTTCATTCTCTACTCGCTTCTTCCTAAAAAGAAGTCCAGCATAATTCTCTCCGTGCTTTTCTATGGGTAAGGTAAGGTTTTTCCCCCCTCTCTGGCTTTGTCCAAAAATTCCTGTCTTTGATTTTTCTGCAGTGTGTGTGCACGTGTGTGCATGTGCAGTGTGTTTGTGTGTGTGTGTGTGTGAAGTGTGTGCACATGTGTATGCACGTGTGTGTGTGCATGTGTATATGCATGTGTGTGCGTGTCCGTGTGTGTGCATCTGTGTGTGTGAGTGTGAATTTGTGTGTGTTGTATTTACCCTTCTTGGTGTTCTCTGAGTTTCCTAGATCTGTGATTTGGTGTCTGGCATTAATTTTGAAAATATTCAGCCATTATTACTTCAAATATTTCTTCTGTTCCCTTTTCTCTTTATCTCTTCCTGGTATTCCTATTATGCATATGTTATACCTTTTGTAATTGTCCCACAGTCCTTGGATATTCTGTTTTGTCTTTTTCTTTTTTTTTCTCTCTCTCTCTTTGCTTTTTGTCTTGGGGAGTTTTTATTGATAGATCCTCATTCTCACTGATTATTCCTCAGCTATGTCTGCTCTACCAATGAGCCCATCAAAGGCATTCCTCATCTCTGTTACAGTGATTTTGATCTCTAACATTTCCTTTTGATTTTTTCTTAGAGTTTCCAGCTCTCAAATCACCCATCTGTTCCTACACATTGTCCGTTTTCTCACTAGAGCACTTCTCATATTCATCATGGGTATTTGAGATTCATTGTCTGATAATTCCAATATCTCTGCTATATCTGAGTCTGATTCTTTTTCTCTTTGTGATTTTTTTCCCTTTTAGCATGGCTTGTAATTTTTTTGTTGAAACCTAGATATGCTGTATTGGATAAAAGAAACTGAGGCAGATTGGCCTTTAGCATTAGGTTTTATCTTTACCTGGCTGTGAGTTAGGCTGTTTACTGTTTGCTGGAGCTGTAATTGTCAGAGGCTAAAATTTCTTCTGGTGTCCTTGTTTTATCTCCCTACTTTTCTTTGGGTTTCCCTAGAGACTTCTCCTTAAATAAAGTCTGATGTGTGCAGTTCTTTTATCTGTAATCCCCTGTCATTATGTGGGAGCCCTGTTGGTATTGATGTGGTGGTCTGGTGTGGAAGGAGGGCAGCATCCTCTGGCCCTGTGATCAGGTCTCTGTCTCAGCCTGAACCTGCACACCTGGGCTGTGACCTCAAGAGGACTTCTCAGCTTTTTCTTTTCCTCCCATAAGTGAAAGGAAGGCCAGATGGGTTGGAATTGGGTATTTTCCATCCCACAACATTCTGGACTTATTTCATGACTGGTTTCATGCTGTAGCTATCCTTTCAAGATGTGTTTTTCACACAGAATTATATTTTGAGGATTTATCCACGCAGATACCTTTAGATCTAGTTTATATGTAACTATGGCATGGTATTACAGTATAATTTATGCATTCTTCCTCTACTGCAGGATATTTAGGCAGTTTTTACATTTTTTCTATTTCCCCACAATATAATTTAATTAGGTGTTATCAGACCTCTCTTTAGTTTATGCCAAAGGGGGAGGGCCATAAACTTGTATCTTATTACAATTTTCATTTGTCTGTATCTGGCAGACAAATAAGGTGGAGCAGCTTTCTATAGCTCTGTTAGCCATTCAAATTTCCTCATTAGTGAATTGCTTGTTTGAACACTTCAATTTTCATGCTGTGTTTTTTTTTGTTATTTTATTATTAGAATGTAAGGATTCTTAATATCTGTGTCATTATTCTAGAAATACATATTTTACATATTATGTATAATCTTATATTTCTATATTTTATACTTTATTATCTAATATAAATACTACATATTATATAATATAAATATACATGTTACATATAAATATATATGTAGACCATATTTATATAGAAATGCTATATGTGTTATATATAGCATAGTATTTTATTATAAAATGTATGTAATTATATTTGAATACTAGTTCTTGGTCAGTGCATTATATATGTTATAAAAATAGAGATATAGCTTATCTTTTATCTTTTTTATGGTGTCTTTTTAATCAGTGTTTTCCATTTGAAGTCTTTGGGTTTCATCATGGCATCTTTCTCTAGTGATTTCATAAAAATATTTGCCCTTATTTTCTTCTGAAGTTTTAGAATCTTTAATCTGTCAGGAATTTTTGTTGTTGTGAGACAGGGGTTGAATTTTATCTTTTTCTACTTAGATAGGGAGTTGTCCTGGCCCTTGTATTTAATTGTTGAAATACCCTTTCTCCTGCAGTGTATGTCTTCACATTGGTTGTCTATCCAGTCCCCATGTGTGTACTTATATTTCTCCCTCCTCAGTTTTATTCCACTGGTTCTGTTTGTCAGTCTTTCCAAAACCTTGATGATTTTCTTTTCTCAATTCAACTTTCTCATCTTACTTTATACATGAATTTCTACTGGAGTATAACATATACAAAGTGTGCACATCTTAGTGCAGAGCCTGTTGACTGTGCTGTGTAGTCACCATCCAGCTCCAGACAGAGCCCTTGGCAGCCCAGACCCTCCCCTCAGCATCTCCTCCCAAGTGAGACCCAAAGCGGGAGGTTAGCGGATTCAGACATCATGCACTCCATGTGTCTGGCTTCTCTAACTCACCATACATCTGTGATACTCACCTGCTGTGGTACAGAGTAGACACTTGGTGTCTCAATCGTTCTGACAATGTGAAATCTTTCTGACAAGGTGAATTGCAACCCTCCCCCATTCTTTCCCCAAATTATCTACATGTCCCTTATTCTAAAATCATTTTTCAGATGAGCTTGTCAAATTTATGAAAAAAGACTGATTGGGTTTTTTGTTGAATTTCGATTTAATGTATAGTTTAGTTTGGACAAAACTGTACAAAAGTACAGTCATTGCCACATAACAGCGTTTCAGTCAACTACTGACTGCATACATGAGGGTGGTCTCCTAAGATTATAATCACATACTTTAACTATACCTTTTTTATTAGATGTGTTCAGACACAAATACATACCATTGTGTTAGCGTTGCCTACAGTACTCGGAACAGTAACAGTAAGCTGTGCAGGTTAGATACGCAAATACATACCATTGGTTACAATTGCCTACAGCACTCAGTACAGTGATATGCCGTGCAGGTTGTGGGTGTGCAGTGGGCTGTGCCAGCTGGGTGTGTGTAAGTGCACTCTGTGATGTTGGCACAACATCAGCTAACGATGTATGTCTCAGAACATGTCCCCATGGTTAGGAGACCTGAGAGTGTATTTACGACATTTGGTCTTCCCATCCACTTCTGTACTTACATGGCATGTGTCTTCGCTGAGTGAGATATTCCTTTGCCATTCAATGAACTTTTAGTATTTTTAAATGTAAAGTTCTTAAAATATTTTATTAAAATTTTTTGAAGTAGCTTAACATGATCAGGATTATTTTTAAATTAACTTCTAACTATTTCAAGATATTATATAATTGGTTGTTGCTGGCATATAGGCACATTGGTTTGTATTTTGACCTTGTGACCTGTATCTTTGAAGGAATCTTATATTTGTTATAATTGCTTGATTGGCAGTTCTCTTAGATTGTCCATGTAAACAAATATGTCATCTGCAGCTTTCTTCCTTTCTAATGCTGTATATCTTAACATTTGTCATTGCATTGAGTATCTAGGGTGTTCCAAATAGTGTTGAATCAAAGGGGTCAAGGAAGGCTTCATTATCTATCCCAAGCATTAAGAAAATGTCTTTGACATTTTACCTTGTTAAAGGATGATTATTTCTGAAGGATTTTATTAGATAACTTTTATTGGGTTAAGGATGCTTTATTCCTAGTTTCTTAAAATTTAAAAAATTTTGAATGGACCAAATCTTATTCTTGAATCTCTAAGATATTACTGGACTTTTTCTCCCTTTAATCTCTTAGTAAAGTGAATTACATGGAGTAGAACCAGTTTTGCATTTTTGGGATATACCTTTTTGGTCACTTTTTGTTTTACTGATTTCCCTCTGTTATATTTGGTTGCTATTATTTTTTGAGAAATGGAATTCCCTTATTTTCATTGTGTTACTGTTTTTCAGTGCTAGTATCGAAGTAATACTCATCTCATAAAGTAAATTGTGTCCTAGACTGAAAAATCTAAAATCCGCATAGGAGGAAACAGATGTTGCTTGAAGCTTTAGTAACAGTGTTTAAGTCACCTGGCTTTAGTGCTGTTTATGAGAGTTGGTTTTTGAATACTGATTTAACTAATGGTTACAAGTATAGTCAGATACCATTCCTTTCAATTCAATTCTGGCATTTTGTGTTTTTGTTTTTTTTCCTAAAAATGATTCATTTCACTTATGTCTTCCAATTACGTTTCTGTTGTGCGTTGCAGTTTCTTGTGGTTTTGCATATCTCCGTATATGTTATTGTTATGCCCCTAATTCATTTCTAGTGTTATTTATTTTGCATCTTTCCTTTCTGGATAATTTTGACAGACATCTTTGTATTTCCTTCATATTTTTAAACAGTCAACTCTGCTCATGTCTGTGCTCTCTGCTGCTTTCTGGTTTGTTAATTTCTGCCAGTAAGTCTCAGGCTATCATTTTATCTCCAGGTCAGATGGGGTTAATTCTCTAGTTTGCGTTTTCTTTTAAATTTTGCTCACACTTTCTCATTACAGATTGTTTTCTACGTGGTTTATAATTTTTTATTACATGCTTGTCTTTGATGTCTTTCTTTTCTTATGAGAATCCTGTGGAAGTCCCAAGAACTCTCATTGTTGGAAAGGTTCCTCCAACATTTTATAATTAGCAATTCAAATCAATGTGTTATGTTAGATATATGAGTATTTTATTATATTAGGATTTGACACTCATGTGGGATACAGGTTCAGGCTTCTATTTCTAATGAGAGGCATTTGTGTTTTCATCCAGAGCCTGAGAAAGAGAGGCTCTTCTGCCCGCCTGCCTGTGGACGGGTTGTTGGCATTCCTTTTGTGCAGGGCAGGTATGCACAGTCCTTGGGGGTGCGCTGCCAGCACCTGCCCCCTGCCCTCCTGTGGGCAGACCCCAACCCCAGCCTGCTGGGCCCTAACAGACCCCCCTGCCTGCCACTGCCACACTCAGCTGCCTCCCTTGCCTGCTCTTTGCCCCAGCTCTGTGCTTTCTCTGTTCTGGCATCTGGGATTTCTCCTTCCTTCCTTTCACGTTTACTAATGCTTCAAAATTTGTGCCTGTCCCTTTTTATTTACAGTATTTATGCATTAGACTGGGAGCAGGGTCTGTGCTGTTTTTACAATGTGTGCTCGAAATGGACATCTCTAGACTTTCTTCTCTTCTTATAGTTTTATACTTGAGACACTTGTTGACTATGAAGTGAGAGTATTTAAAAGTGCATATATTGTCATGCTGATGCGTGTAAACACACTATCGTGACGATGCGTGTAAACACACTGACTATCCACACTGGGTTTTCTGGGCAGTACAATTTCAAATTTTGTTCCTCCTAAGCTCAGGCCACATGTTCTGATTTGGAGTTTTAAAGAAATGGAGAGTGAGCCTGGAAGAATTTACTAAATTGATCCCAGCTTTCTAATGTTTTGCTCAGGGCAGATAGCAGGGAAGCATTGCAAATAGGGTTTTGGCTGACAGGCAGGCTCCTGTGTGCACACACAAAGCCTACCCCACAAAAGTAGAGTCTGCTTCTCCGAATTCAGGCCACTCTCTTGCAGCTGAAGCCTCTGCTACTGCTCCCTGTCAGCAGCTCCCAGCTCTTACACCCCAAGTGGCCCAGGCCTCAGCTACGATGCAACTCGACTCAGCCCTGTTGTGTTTGGGGGACTGAGGTGCTGGACTCAGGGTGAGACACTCACACACCTGCCCTGATTTCCAGATCTTGGCCTAGCATGGGCCCCTCCCAGCCTGTGTTAGTTTTTTTTCACACTGCTGATAAAGACATATCTGAGACTGGGCAGTTTACAAAATAAAGAGGTTTAATGGACTTACAGTTCCATGTGGCTGGGGAGGCCTCACAATCATGGTGGAAGGCAAGGAGGAGCAAGTCCCGTCTTACATGGATGGCAGCAGGCAAAGTGCAGGGAAACTCCCCCTTATAAAACCACCAGATCTTGTGAGACCTATTCACTATCACACGAACAGCATGGGAAAGACCTGCCCCCATGATTCAGGTACCTCCCACTGGGGTCTTCCCATGACACATGGGAATTGTGGCAGTTACAATTCAAGAAGAGATTTGAGTGGGGACACAGCCAAACCACATCACTGTGCAGCCAGCCACACACAGAGCATTGCTGACCAGGGATGCTTGCCCGGGCCTCAGCATGCAGAGTTTCTATTGAGGTCTCAGTGTGCAGCCAGCCACACGCAGAGCATTGCTGACCAGGGACGCTCACCCAGGCCTCAGAGTGCAGAGTTTCTATTGAGGTCTCAGTGTGCAGCCAGCCACACGCAGAGCATTGCTGGGCAGGGATGCTCACCTGGGCCTCAGCATGCAGAGTTTTTAATGGGGTCTCAGTGTGCAGCCACACAGAGCATTGCTGACCAGGGACGCTCGCCCAGGTCTCAGAGTGCAGAGTTTCTATTGAGGTCTCAGTGTGCAGCCAGCCACACACACAGCATTGCTGGGCAGGGATGCTCACCTGGGCCTCAGCATGCAGAGTTTTTAATGGGGTCTCAGTGTGCAGCCACACAGAGCATTGCTGACTAGGGATGCTCACCCGGGCCTCAGTGTGCAGTTTCTATCGAGGTCTCAGCGTGCAGTCAGCCACACACACAGCATTGCTGACCAGGGATGTGCACCCGGGTCTCAGAGTGCAGAGTTTCTATCGAGGTCTCAGTGTGCAGCCAGCCACACACAGCATTGCTGACCAGGGATGCTCACCTGGGCCTCAGCATGCAGAGCTTCTATCAAGGTTTCATTACATTGGTGTGAGGGATTGAACCATTGGCCACAAGCTTTAACCCACCCACCAGCCCTCCCCTCTCCTGAGATCAGACTATATCCCACGGCTCAGAGCCCCCACTCACCCATCACATTGTTGGTCTTTTTGGTGTGGACAGCCCCCGTCCTGTCACCTCATTTGCATAAACAATCAGGTGTGGTCCGAGGGGCCCACCACAAATGACCTCACTCCCGTGACTCAGGAGGCTGCAAGGACTCAGGCTGCTTCCAGGAACAGGACCAAGGCTAGCCAAACTCCTTATCACACAACATGGCTAAAACGACTTATCATTCCAGCTAATCACCGACTCGTTTCTTCCTCATTCTCTCGTCCCACATCCTCCTCCACTGCCCAGGTAGTCAAGAAGATCACCACAGCTCCATGTGTGGCCCTGATGGCTCCATCAGGCTTGGTGGCCACCACCAGGCACCAAGGCTTTATTCGTGGCCCCCAATGGCTCTGTCAGGCTTGGTGGCCACTGCCGCTTAGGCTGACATCCTTCAGATTCATGCCTCTAGCCCTAAACCATTCTGACTCCAGAGCAAATTCTTATTTCTCTGAGCACAGCACCTGGGAGACAGAAGTTGGCTGATTGCATCAGTGAGCGACTTACAGAAAAAAAAAATTACTGGGTAAGCACATCTGAAGAAACAACTCATTGAGGTTTCTGATAATGAGACTTTCCCTTCCTCTGCAGTAATGCCTTTTGACAATAAGCTTAGCCTATTCATCTCTCCCAGCGTGGTGCAGCAGAGCTCCTCTCCTGAAAACCTGGAGGCATGGAAGATGTACCGTCCTCCACACGGTGCTGGACGTGGGGCCGTTGTGGTCCTGGGTTTACTCTGCTCATGTCATTAAGCCCCATCTGCCCTGCATGTGTCCCTCTGAGTGGTCAGTGGAGCCAAATGCCTGGTGCTCTGTGATTTTAGGTCTAAGCCATTTTAGAATCTCTGCATTTAGCGTTGTATGAATTCACTGCTCACTGCACAATGCGTCCTTTGCTCTGAATTGACCCAGTTGAGATTCTCGGTGTCCAGCCCGAGTCTATTGCATACGGAACGTCTCTGTGCATCAGAGGCGCTTTTTCACCTGCCTTGGGTCTCTTGGCATCTGTCTCTCAGGCGGAGGAGCCACTCACTGCATCCGGCCTTCCTCCTGTCATTTTGTTTGCCTTTGCCCTCCTCTGAACTTTAATTCTCCTCCACCATGAGAACTGACCAGAACTTGCCCCAAATGCAGCACCTCTGCTTTCAAAGCCGGGGAAGGAGGGGCAGGAGAGGGCCAGGGGCTGTGCTGTCTCTAATGTGGCCTAGAGGTCAGAGGAGGGGCCTTCATCAGAGCATCAGCCACCCCTTCCTGGGCCCTTGCTTCCCCACAGAGGGCATCTTGCTGCTCCCGGCGAAGCAATAATTGCTGAAAATGGGAAGTTAATTGGATGTGAGTGCAATGCCATTTGGCTTTTTGCTTAGCCAGGGCCAGGCGTGGGGGCAGGTTTCCGAAAGGGAAGCCGAAGACTCCACACAGCAGCTGGAATGCCGGGGCCTGAGCAGCCCCCAGAATGGCTGCTCTTCTTTCTCAGCAGTGCTGGAGAAAACAGCCAAAGGTCCCTTGAAAGTGAGAGCTGGGCTGCTCACCATGTCCTTCTGCACCATGAAGAAGAAACAAAGGAGACCCAGAGACTTCAGAGGCTCGCGGGCCCCCGGAGCGCCGGCTGCAGAGCAGCACCGTCTTTGTAGTTTTGCAGCGACTGTAATTAATGCATCTTCCTGAGGCTGCTGTAAACAGCCCCCGCGTCTGACTTCCGCCCACCTTTTTTACTCGATGATTTAAATTGTTTTTCTGACTTTATCTGTCACTTTATTTACCAGCTCTTAACCTTTCTTCTTTTTTTAAAATATAAATGAGTATAACATCCACTGAAGATTACGATGCCTTCTGGAAAGTGTGGCTGAGGCTGTCTTCCTGGAGAATATCCTCTGCTTGCCCTCCATTTATCTTTTTCTTTTTTTCCTGAAGTCTAATAAGCATTAATTTCCCAATTCCTGAATATGCCTAATGATTATATTTTTTCATTTAACAAGTAAAAAGCAGCTTAAAGGGCTTTCTAAATCTCTCACTTGGGTACACTGTATTCTCACAGAGTGACGGAATTTGGCACAAACATATTGGTTATAAATGAATATTTTATGACAATTAAGAGCATTTCTGTGGCTTTATTATTTGTTGCTCCACCCTCTGGTGAGACCTGTCTTTCCTTCAAAACCAAATAGACCCCAAATGTCAGATACTGGAAATGAGTGAGTACAGGGATGCAGGAAAAAATTCAGGAAGGTGCAAAAGTCATGACCTCACCATTGATGTCTCCATCACGGTGAGATCGAGGTCGTCTGTCAGATCACACAGTCTTCCAGAACAGACATTCAGCTCTGTTTTTACATTTTAGAAAACCCAGGAAGACTGGGAAAATATTAAAGGCCACAGTGGTCCAGTTTATCAGCAAGTAGTGTTTTATTCATCATTCTTGTCCCTGGTTTGTCAAATTAAACACATTATCTGTGGACCTTCAGCAGATACTGCAGATTTATCACTCGAGGATATTATTCAACGTGATGCCTTCTCTTCTCTTTCTGACTTAGCAACAACAGTTTAGAAAGGAGAAGGCTTGCAGAGAGAGAAAACGAGGGCCCTGAGGAAGAGCTGTGGGCCTGGCTCATCGCTGAGCTCTGGCTGTGTGGGGCCAGAGGGTCTGAGATGGCGCGTGCAGTGCCCAAGGCTTTGGCAACGGAGCCCCGCACACTGGCAGGCTTAGAACAGTGCAAAGCTCTCCAGGCCCTGCACCCCCCAGGGTCTGAGATCAAGGTCTTAGCGGGGCCGTGCATCTCTGAAGGCTCCAGAGAGGGTCCTTCCTGCCTCCTCCAGCCTCTGGTGGCCCTGACACCCCTGCCATTCCTCGGCTTACAGGGGCCTCCCTCCCACCTCTGCTGGGTCACCAGGTGTTCTCGGGAATTCTGGCCTCGCCTTCCCACTGGGCACTTCTGTCTCTGTCCAGTGTCTCCTTCTTAGGGACACCAGTCCCTGGATTAGGAGCCACTCTGATGGCCTCATCTTTAACTGGCTTCCCTCTTCGGAGACCATTTCCAAATCACATCCCATACACAGGAGCTGGAGCCAAGACTCAGACGTGCTTTCCTGGGGGACATAGTCCCCAAGCAGCTGGCTCAGCTCTGTGCTTTGCTGGGGGACATAGTCCCCGAGCAGCCATCTCAGCTCTGCAGGGGGTCAGGTGCTTGCGCAGAGCTGCCTCATCCTGCGGGTTCTCGGGTGCGGTGAAGGATCCGTCCTGGGGATGCACCATGCCTGCTTCTGGTGAATTATTTTCTGCAGTCTTCTACCTTTAAGAGGGACCTGGCTCCAGACAGAAGGTACAATTGCCCTAAGGAAATGAGGTCACCAGGCGGGCTCTGCACTCTGACCTGGTCACAGGGAGCACGCCTGGCCCGTGCTTTCCACTGGGACCCCAGGTGATGTTGCTTCTGTCCAGGAAAAATGCTTCTAATCTAACAAAATAGTATTAGAATTATCATTGTTATTATTACCTGTGTATGTATTTTCTCTCTACATGTCTTTGATGATGTCGTAAACTGGTAGATCGAGTACTGTTTACTTACATAGAGCCCATCCTCATTTTATCAGCTGTTTTGCAGCTGAGTTGGGAGTGGGGAGGAGAAGCCTGTGAACGTGTTATTTCTGGTTGCTATGTTTGCTGTGTGGATGGGCAGGACAGGAGCCTCCAGCCCCTGTGAACATGTTATTTCTGGTTGCTGTGTTTGCTGTGTGGATGGGCAGGACAGGAGCCTCCAGCCCCTGTGAACGTGTTATTTCTGGTTGCTGTGTTTGCCATGTGGATGGGCAGGGCCGGAGCTCCCAGCCCCTGTGAACGTGTTATTTCTGGTTACTGTGTTTGCTGTGTGGATGGGCAGGACAGGAGCCTCCAGCCCCTGTGAACGTGTTATTTCTGCTTGCTGTATTTGCTGTGTGGATGGGCAGGGCCAGAGCTCCCAGCCCCTTTGAAGGTGCTTTCTGGACCTTCTCTGCTTGGCAAAAACAGCTGAAGGTAGAAGGCGGTTAAAGGCTTTTCTTCTATTTCCAAATGGCATGGCCATACACATATCTCTTCTTTTTCTTCAGGCGGCCTGCAGAGATTAGGAAGCCTGATGTTGAGAAATGTCACTGGTTTCTTTGGGGTAGAATTCGGAAGAATGCTTTTAGAGGGAAATCATAGGATTGGCCTTAAGTTTAAGGGACACTTAGAGGAGACAGAGGACAGGATATGAACCCCATGCCCTAGCAAGTGGATACGGACCCCGTGCCCCCGGCGAGAGGATACGGACCCCGTGCCCCCGGCGAGAGGATACGGACCCCGTGCCCCCGGCGAGTGGATACGGACCCCGTGCCCCCGGCGAGTGGATACGGACCCCGTGCCCACGGCGAGTGGTGGGGAGGCTGCCAGGCAGGACAGAGGTGTGGGTTCTTCTTTGCTCCAGAGCAGGGGTGTTCGAGTCTCAGTGGCTCATGTCACACCAGGTGACTGGAGCAAAATAGCCCCATGTGCTGGTTTGAACATGAAGACAGCTGATTCCACCAGGTTAACCAGCCTTCAGCCTGGTGATGTGGTGGTTCTGGCCTGGCCGTGGTCCCCGCCCTTTCAGAGACCCTGGTCTCCTAATGCCGCAAGGAGAGGTGGCCTCCCTCCTTCTGGTGCACGCTGGACTCTCCCCACGCTCCCTGAGCCAGCAGAGGCTCCTGAGGGTCTGCAGCTGCCCCGCCCTCCTGGGCTTCAGCCAGTGTTGCCTTGCGCGGGACATAGTAGCTCTGGGTAAAGAATGGCCCCCGGTCAGTGTTCAAAAAAATTAGGGCCTTCTTCCTAAGGCCACTACTGTTCAAACAGTGTTTTCCTTCTGACAGTTAAATATTTACTTTCTCCAGGTGGCGTCGGTTGGTCAGTGGAGTCCGCCTGTCTCCGCTGGGCTGCGTCGGTTGGTTAGTGGAGTCCACCTGTCTCCTCCTTGCTCCTGGCTTGCGGTTCTCTCCTCTGCCGTCTCTGGCTGGGCCTTGCAGGCTCTGGCTGCTTCTCCTGCAGTTCATTTTGTTGTTCTTTCCTCTCTCGTCTGAAATGGCCTCTGTCCTAGATTCAGGAGGGAAAGGAGGAAACCGGTGGGGCCTGGCCGCTGCTTCTCCTGGCCTTGTTCTTCAGGCTCCCTTTGAAGGTTTCGAGCTTCTGCTCTTGCTCTCCTGCCTCTTCCTCCATGCCTGCTGCTTCTGCGAGCTGTAGTTTACATTCTGGCTGGCCGCAGCCGGGTCCTCAGGACTTGAGGAGAGGGTCCTGTCAGGGCCAGCGTTCTGGTGGGGTTTTCAGCCATGAAAATGTCCAGAGAATTTTGGTCTGAGCTGGAGAGGAGACAACAGCGTGGATGTGACACTGGGGAGAAAAAGCTTGGGCCCTGATTCTTGTCTGGCCATCTTGGATCATAGACGAATTATTCACAAGAGGGTCTCTGCCTAAAACTCACCATGGTGGCTTTCTTGGTGTACTTTTCATGTCTAAAATGTATGTAAAGTTCAAACTTTAAGGCTGCAGAAGGAAGTGAAGGCTTTTGATGCTGTTTACAAATCTCTGGTTTCTGACTCAAGACCATGACGGTATGGGGGAACCCAGGCCTGACCTTCTCCCAGTTTTGGGGGAGCTGCCTCCTGCGATTCTCCCTCGGTGGCCCTGTTGGGGTGGGGCCCATTTCCTCTTTGAAAATGACATCCCAGTCATCTTACTTTCTCGGCTGTGAACACTCACAATATGTTCCACAGGATGCCAGGGCTCTGCTCCGCTGGAGAAACCTCCGTCCCAAACTCTGTCTTGCTTTCTCAATCATATTTTTAGAAAGTGAGGCTGGGTGGCTTGTGGGTTCCAGAAGCATTGAGGTTGAATCACAACTGTGAAAATATGGGAGTGAAAAACACAGTGGAGACACAAAAGGAGCATCGTGTCAGGATAGAGGATTGTGGAGGGTGCCCATGTGTTCCCACTGCAGCTGGCCCCAAGGTTCTCCCTAAGGTTTTTGGTCCCATCTCTTTCCCTCTGGAACTCACGATTTGGCCAAGAATGAGCACTCTCAGGCTGCTCCCAAGGAGGCCCAATACCAGCCCATGGGGGCCGAGAGCCACGTCAATCCACATCTGCCCCTCCTGGCATCAAGGGTCAGCCAGTGCCCTGCCTTTTAATTTTCCATTTATTTAAACAGGATCACATGATTTCATTTGAGAGTATTTCCTCCACCACTTCTGAGTGGAAGCCAGGAGACGAGGTGGCTTTCAGTTCCATTTGACTTCCTGCCACTTACATTTACCTTTCACGTACCTGTGGAAGGATGACCAGGGCCTGGCCTAGGCATGTGGGTAAAGTCCTGGCTGTGGCTGGGCACTTTCCACAGGGGCCGGCTCTGCCTGGGGCTGGGGTGGGTGAGCCCTGTTGGTTCTAGGACCCCGGACCTGCCTGGTCAGCGGAGATGATGGAGGTTCGGTATGGGAGGAGCAGGTGTGCTGTGCCCGTGAATGGCAGTTCCTGGGCCAAAAGGGTCGAGTGTCACGATGGTGGGGTCATTTGAACCGTTTGTCACCAGCATACCTAGGGCAGTGCCAACTGACACAGTGCCCAGAGCCGAGTGGCTGCTGGACCATCACTGCTGTGTGTCCTGTGTTCACGCAGCCCTGCAGAGGACAGGGCCGTGTGGTCAGGCCTCTTGATGGGGCCTCCTTGCACCTGACCTGTCACGGTATACGTGGAGGGCACTCTGCCTTCCTCCCGGTGTCCTGTACGTCTGAGTGGAAGTGCTTTGTGGGGTGAGGGCACCTCTGTGGGGCTCAGGGGGCAGCTTTGAAACAGTGGCCAGGGTGCTCCCCACAGCCAGGCCCACTGCAGCTCCCTCCTGTACCATCTCACGTGGAAGAGGGTCTCGGTTTTGTCTTTAATTGGTAAAAGTTGTTTTAGTGTATGATTATGTAAGAACTATGAACACAAGGAATTATCTTACATTGTAAATATTTGAGTAAAAAGAATAATTTCGATCAATAAGGATGCATATAGCATGCATCACTCAGCTTCGCCAAAATCCACGCCATGCTGTCCGGCTGGCATCTGAGGGCAGCCTTGGTGCCCGTCCTCGGCCAGTGGACCTTCCCACATGGATGTTGTTTGCTTTGCGTTATTATGGTCCCCCCCAGCGAGCCCAGCCCACCAGATCAGACCATCTCCTCCTGAATCTTTGCACAAATACCTTCCATCATCCCTGGTATTTTACCTGTGAATTACTGTTAGGGAAAATATATCAGTAGCAGAGATACTGATTCTGTAATTTTTCCTAAATAGGCACTTACTCCGGATGAAACCACAAAGCCTAAATAATACATTAGCATGCGAAGCTCACCGAGCTCCTTCCCTCCGCGCCGACCCCGGTTTCCATCTAAATCGATATCTGTGCTGCCTCGACGGGGCCCGGCATGGGCCGTGCTTGGCATACAGAGCAGCTGCACCTGAGCAGCAGCTGAGGGGTCTTAGGGAAGCCGCTGCCCCTTCCAAACATGACTGCCTTTGAAGCCCCTATTAATTGTCAATAACAACTGCTACCTCCATTACAAAAGGAATTGAAAGCAAAAATAAGACCCGGACAATAGAACGTAAACGGAAGAGCAAATCCCACTCCGGATTGGAATTGTCTGCCGGGCTCGTTAATCCCTGGCCTGGCGCTGGGAGTGTGGGTGCCGCTTTTCTTAGGGTTTGCTTTCTGATCTTGTGTCAATTACTGCACAAAGCTTCACACCACACAGCGAATCCTTTTTATAAGTGTTTTAGTTTTTGTTCAATATTTTATGTTTCTGCTTCTAAATCTTACTTGCCGATATCCAACTGATAAGCTGAGCAGGGAAATACAAATACACCAGCCATCATCCCCCAAGGTGGTCACATATGTGTGTGTTTCTTTAGCTTAAGTGAGGTTATTTGATACTCGTGTTTGTTCTGTGTGGAGTTAGGCCTTGTCACATATAAGCAGTTGTGTTCCCACAGGGCTATTAAAGAAGTAAACCAAGTTGGCCACACAATTCAGCCTCTAAAATCTGACATTGTTTTCTGGGGAAGGCGGCCGTGCTGGGGGTGCCAGGAGAGACTTGGGGATGTCAGTATCTCTCAGCATGGCCGAGAACAAACACCCATCCAGTTGTATCATACCATGGGGGCCTTTGTCTGCTTTTTAAAATATTAACAATGTATTTTGGATGTTTAATAATAGAGCAGATGAGGGTACATCAACTGCATTGTGGCTTTACCTGCCAATCTAGTTACCAACCATCACACTGACAAGGAGGCGCGGCTCTCCCACTCTGAAATGATGCCTTTCTCTTCTGAGCTCCTAAAGTGCAGGGTGTTTTTCAGACTCAAAGGTCAAGTCCTTCTTAGAATAGGGCTGCATGTGTCTTTGTCCAGTGCATGTTTGCCTGCTTTCCTCGGGGCACCTGTCACTGCAAAGCCCAGCTGCCCGCTTACCCATCTGAGAAGAAAAGCTTATTCTGACATTCACAAACCACCCACTGCCCACAATCAAGCAGACAAGGACTCTGCAGGCCCCAAACCCCACTCAATCTTTTCGTTTCTGTTTTCCTTTTTCTTTTTTAGGTAAATTTTGTTGCTTATTGAAAACTTCCTGTGTGTATGACATTTTTCTAAGTGCAGTAGCAGAAAGAGGCAGTGGAAAGGAATTGAGGTCAATGTTGAGAGCACAACTGAAGTTGCTCATGCCTTATCCTCCCTGGAAAGCCTTCATCAGCTCCTGCCAAGCTGGCCTTGGCCCCCTTCCTGCTCCTAAAGCAGTTTTCTCTTCCATTGCTTGTTTGTCACAAGGTGTCTTAGTTTCTGCCCCACAGATCAGCCCCATGGGGTCAGGAGCCACATCCTGGTGGTCGTCTTCTTGGAGGGCCTAGGATGCACTCCTGGCTTACAATGCCTATGACCTTGTGGAGGACGTGGGCAGCGAGTGTCCCTAGAATCACAGCTGCACGGGTGCCCTGTGTGCCCAGGGAATGCCCAGTGCATGTCTTGGCAATCATTTTGGCATTTTTTTCCTCTTAAAAATCTAAATGTGTGTGTTTCACTAGAGATCTTGAAGTTACGGAGGGCTGCAGAGCGATTATTTCAGCTGAGTGGACAGCTCAGGGAACCTGTGTTCTTCTGATTGATTTGCTTCTTGGAAGGAACTGACTGTAGGTTTGCTGAGACTGACCAGTCAATTAAGTCAGCACTGGCCATCCAGATGCCTGGGTTTCTGATGTGCAAGTGCTGAATAGCAGTGAGGACTCGGAACCTCACCGCTCTAGAGCTTTGCTGGGATGCACTGGGCATGTTCACAACATCCCGGAGCTTTGTTGGGGTGCACTGGGCATGTTCACACTACCCCAGAGCTTTGCTGGGGTGTGTTTGGCATTGTCATAGAAGACAAAATGACCCTCACACATCAAGAGGAATTGAAACTGCTGATAGATACCAGTGGTTAGCAGCTCTGTTTGGAGGTAATGGTGGTATCTACCAAATATAGAACCCATGTGCCAGGCCCTGTGTGTGTGCCGGCATGTGTGTCTGCATGTGTGTGCCTGCGAGTGTGTGCCAGGCCCTGTGTGTTTACCTGCGTGTGTGTGCCTGCATGTCTGTGCCAGGCCCTATGTGTTTGCCTGCACGTGTGTGTGCCTGCATGTGTGTGCCTGCTTGTGTGTGCCTGCATGCATGTGCATGACTCAGGAGGGACTGACATGACTGAGTGGCTTGATGAGGGCAAGGGTAAGGAGGAGATGACAAACTGGGCATGAAGATTTGTTTACTCATTTCAAGATAGGTTAAGAATGTGTGTGTCTGCTGAATGCAAGCTCAGGGTCTCTACGCAACTGTCTTCCTTAGTTTCAGGAAATACTGTAGTCCAGGCAGTGGGGGACACCGCAAGAAGGGAGCAGAACAAGGAACTCGCTCCTCGGCTCTTCTCCTTTGCAGTGGATGGGACAGTGCTGCAGAATGTGCGTGTTTGAAAACTTCTGCTTGAGTTATTTCAAAATATAGATTAGAGAAATTTTTTTTAGAGTGTTAATTACCGCAAAGAAAAATACACACAGCCACAGTAGAGGCCAAGATGTCTTCAGATATTGGGAGCAGCACTGGCCACGGAGTGCAGCCATGGGAGCAGAGCCTCACCTGGGGACTGAGAGAGCAGAGACTCACCTGGGGTCTGAGAGAGCTGTCTGTCAGTGTTTCCCAGGACACAGGCCTGGGAGCGCTTACGTGGTGAGCTCCTCCTTTAGCGAGATGTTGGAGAAATAAACCAGGATTGGCTTCTGGCTACTCCTTGTCGACATGGGCTTAGGTGAATTCATTAAAGTGGTTTTCTGTGCTAAATTGTTGAGAGTTTTCCAAGATGAATGAGTTTAAAACTTGTTAATAATGAGTCACAAGAAAACAGCCACCGTTCTGCTTTGTGCCGTGATTTTTGTTTATCAGGGATAAATGCACACTGAAAACAAAGCCCTTTCCCATTTCCCATTGAGGACTAAACAGGAGTGCACAGAGTTCAGACTCACCAGGGCGACCCTGCTCTTGCCATCCCCTGCAGAACAAGGTGAAATTGGGCAACCGTGGAGGGAAACGCTACTCTTGATCATTGAGGTTTCTAAGGTCCAGGGATATTGTCTTCTTTTTCTTCCTATTTTTCAAGTAACCCAACAGTGCCCTGCTCCAGGGGTGCTCAGAACGCATTCCAGACTCATGGCGGAAGCCTCCGTGGGGGAAAGCCTTCTGGCGTGGGCAGCCTGATGCTTTGCTGCATCATTAAAAGCCAGAGGCTGCCCCAGACAGAGTGCCCAGGTGCCTGGGCCTTGGCTATGAACACATTACAGGCTGCCCCAGACAGAGTGCCCGGGTGCCGGGGCCTTGGCTATGAACACATTACGGGCTGCCCCAGACAGAGTGCCCGGGTGCCGGGGCCTTGGCTATGAACACATTACGGGCTGCCCCAGACAGAGTGCCCGGGTGCCGGGGCCTTGGCTATGAACACATTACGGGCTGCCCCAGAGTGCCCAGGTGCCGGGGCCTTGGCTGTGAACACATCATGGGCTGCGCTGGTCTTCCCTCAGTAATCACCGTGGGAAATCATGGAACTGGAGAGTGGGGGTGCTTCCTTGGGCCCTCATTAAAGGATGACCTGAAGTCTCGTGGTGGAGGCCGTCAGGAAGGATGGAAAACGCTCGGAACCGTGTAGGAAACGGAGTCATCATGCTGTAGGGTCAGCAATGGGGAAAGTAAAAGCACTCAGGTGATGCCCCTTGAGTTTCACAATTTAAATTCATCCTTGAATGTCTCCTCTCACCATGTCTGTGGAAGCTGCTGACAAGCAGAGGATGCACTTGGCTGGGAAAACCTTTCCTACCAGGACAAGCCCAAGACCGAAGCTTCTGGGGACCTGTCACCCATCTGGCCCTTCAGGGAGGAGGCCAGCTGGAGTGTGGGGTCTCGCCTCATGGTGGATGGGCGAGGCTGCCCGGCTCAGCCAGGGCAGTAGCAGCAGCCATTTCTCTGCCTCTCCACAGGGACCTTGTGAGGTCACCTCATTTTTTATTTTAATACTTACTAGGACAGAGGTGGGTAGATTCTAACCCATGGACAGCCCCACCTGTTTTAGTAAATAAAGTTTTATTGAAACTAGGGTTGGCCGATGTAGTGGTCTTTTCTGGTGGACTAAAATGCTACAGCCTGGGCAGCTTCAGCAACAGGAGTTCATCCTCTCCCCACTATGGAGGCTGGACATCAGAGATCGAGGTGGGGCAGGGCTGCTCCTCCCGAGGCCCCTCTCCTTGGTTGGCAGGCTGGACATCAGAGATCAGGATGTGGGCAGGGCTGGCTCTTCCAGAGGCCTCTATCCTTGGCTGGTGGGCAGCGCCTTCTGGCTGTGTCCTCACAGTGCTGTCCTTCTGCACCCATCTCTCGGGGGGAGATTTATATTCTGTGCTAATTACCGATATATTCCCTTCTTTTTAAAATGATATCCTCTGTGTGTGTGCGTGTGCGTGGGTGCATACACACACATTTATGTATCTATTTAGGTATTTGGTTTTTGCCGGCATCACTGATGAAGTTTCTCATGGTCTTGTCCTGAATTAGAAAAGCATTATATGCATTGGTCATTATCTTCCATGTTTCCTCCCTCTTACCTGCTGCTTTCACTCAAGGCTTTTGAACTTGTTTTCCCTTATAATTACTGTGGCTTGAATAGCATCCAATTCTTTCCTAATACCTGCTGTGTTCTAACAAAGCAAATATAGGCATTAGAACCTTAGAAACCAGAGGATGTCAACAAATTGGAGGAAATTCAGAGAAAAGCAACATAAATGATTAAGAGACTGAAGGATTTGTTTGTGAGAAAAGTGGAAAGGAACTAAGTGTGTTTGTCTTGGTAAAGCAGCAACTAAGGCAGGGCAATAAATGCCTTTAAGAATTTTAAGTATAGAAATCTCAAGGAGAGGGAATTATTTTTAGGGTGGTAGAGGGAATTTAATTACCTTAAGCAAAAACCGTCTGACCCGATGTCCGTCTAGGAACAGCCTCCTCTATAGAGGGGGCTCCGGCTGTCGGGGGAGCCTGAGTGAGGACGGCATCCACACTTCCGGCAGGACCAGGGCCTTGGAAGAAGAAGGTTATTGCAGTGATCCCAGTGGCTCAGGCTTCTTCCCTTTTTATTCAGCAAAACACAACTCCTGTGCACTCCCTTAGACTTGACACAGGATCCCTACTTTTGTCTTTCTTACCTATTCCGTTTCTGTATCAGTTTCTACCATAATCATTGGGTGTTGGCTGGTGGGCTTTGGGAGCTGAGACAGCCACGTCAGAGGAGGAGCACATGGTGCATTTTACCCCCAACATGGTGGGCAAGGCTGCCCCAGCCCCTGACTGCTTCTGTCCTGACGGCTTCACCATGACCCCGGGCCGGCCTCTCCTCTCCGCACCCACTATCAAGCCCACAGTGACCTCGGGACGTAGGATGCAGGCCAAACCCCACTTCTGTGCCCTCGCCCCTCCCTCTCCTCTTGTCCCTCACGTTCCCCGCAACCCAGAGCTGCAGGTGGCCTCTGCCCAGGCATCACCTGTTCCTGGGACACCCCCTCACCCCCTCATCTCTGAGAGCTCAGTTCAGGCAAAGCCCACTCACTGTAAGAAGTCTTTCTGCGTCTCTACCCAGATGGCTGCACAAGGCCACCCTCCCTGGAGCTCATGTATGTGTAGTGTTGGCTGAAGGAGGTAAGTTGCAGTAGCTGAGAAGCACAGGTGTAACTCACAGAGCCACAGTGATAATGACAGTGGCAGCAATAACGGGCAGCACTGGGGCTGGGGTCACCCCACCTGGGCTCTGGCCATCACACAGATGCTCCTGAGTTCAAACCATGCTCAACAAGGACACAGGGCCCCAGCTTGGGCTCTCACCAAGAGGATGAGCTGCAGTGCAGAAGCCTCAGGGCTGGGCATTGAATCTGGGTCCTGGATGGCCGGTGTGGTTTGGAGCAGGACCGCGGCCAATGGCTGGACCTGAGGAGCAGGGTCTGGGATCCAGGGATGTCTGGCGAAGCTGAGGGACTGGTAAAACAGTGGAAAACCGTGTCCTGCGGATGCCGGGGGCCGCTGTGCTGTGTCTGTGCGGCCCCAGCCACACCAAGGCCGAGCTGTGGCCTCAAGACCGAGCACAGGGTCCGTTTCATGCTGCGCGGCTCCCCCGGCATTGCCAGGCACAGCCAGGCCTGCAGATGTGGGGTCCCTGAGACCAGGTGGGACTTGGAGGGGACACAGCCCGCTCACCATCTTCCACTGAACACTAACTCTACAGCCTGGTTTGCTCAATATAGGTCTTGTCTATGATGGGACCTCAAAAAATCCTGCTGATTTAAAATAATTTAAGCGCCCTCTTTCATTCTTTGAATTTTTTAGAAGAAAGATACTAAGGAAGGAAAAGAAGTAATTGCACAAATAAAAAACAGTTAATCACGAGGCCTTGTGGGCATCCTGTGCAGCCCCATCCCTGGCCTCTACCGCGCTGTCTGACACGGTCACTCCAGCTCACGTCCTTGTAGCCACCCTTAAAGAGAGGCGGCGTCAGAAACACCACGGCCTCTGCCCCCTCCTTCTATCGCATGTCCTATCCATGTGCTATTTAATTACATGCCGATTGATTTAGCATATATTTGTTCATTGGAAATAATGCTTGAAACAAAATAAATATCATTTGGTGACAAAACACACTCTATTACAGAAACAGCCCCAGGATCGGGGAGGCCCCTGCAGCTGTGGTCTGAGTGGCATTTTGCCAGTGCTGGGAGCCCGTGGTGGGAGGATGGGCCTGCGTGAGCCCTTCGGTGGTCCGGCTGCAAGTGCTTCCGTGGGGGATCCAGACCCAGTACAGTTACACGGTATCTCATGCTAGCGTGGGTCACGTTAGAGTGAGTTTCTACTTCCTAATGTTAATGAATTAATTTCACTCTGTTTATACTTTCTTATATTCTCTTTTTTTTTTTTTTTTTTTTTTTTTGTTTTTGAAACAAAGTCTCCCTCTTGTCTGCCAGGCTGGAGTGCAGTCGCATGATCTCGGCTCACTGCAACCTCTGCCCCTGGGTTCAAATGATTCTCCTGCCTCAGCCTCCCAAGTAGCTGGGATTACAGGCACCTACCACGACGCCCAGCTAATTTTTGTATTTTTAGTAGAGACAGGGTTTTACCATGTTGGCCAGGCTGGTCTCAAACTCCTGATCTCAGGTGATCCTCCCGCCTCAGCCTCCCAAAGTGCTGGGATTACAGGAGTGAGCCACTGTGCCTGGCCTACTTTCTTATATTCTTAAAGAGAAACAAACTGAACGTTTGGTTAGGAACCGTCTCTACCACATACGGTAACAGTACACCGAGGCAGCCACTGTGGGACAAGAGATCCATTTCAAGCCGAGATGATTTTCCTTGTAGAGGCCTCATTTTCTGAAACAAATTTCAAAGTTAAGTGCACGTCACTAGTATAGGCTAAAAATGTGAAGCTCCCAGAAGTTAGCATTTCCAGGCAGATCCAGCTTCACGGTTTTCTACGTCACAAACAGGGATTTATATGCTCCCGGTTATAAATTCCATCAGAGCATGCACGCTACGCCTGTCTTCTCTGGCCACCTTAGCCGTGTGTTAGAAACATCATACAGGCAAGAGCCTTTTCCTTCTGCAGACAGCGTCCTGTCCTGTTGTGCTAATTTGTATGGCCAGCGGCGCCTGTGAACAAGCACACAGACTGTTCCAGTTACCCACCACTTCAGCAGCGCATGTGGCCTAGCTCCAGCTCCACACGTTCCTTGAAGAGGAATCAGGCTGGTCCTTTTAAATTCCCTTCCCTAGCCATTTAGAAGTCCGCAACACATACCCCATCTTGGCTCAGAATCTCTGGGAACTTTCAAACCCACTACTCGCTTGGCCCCAGAAACTGTGAGGTGCAGGGACACATGGAATCCGAGAGTGTTCACAACACTGGGGAGTGCACATCCAGGCCCCAGCCCACAGTGATGGGCTCGGAGGCTCTTCTGACCATCTCTGAGCAGAGGCTTCCATTGGAACTCCCGGGGCTGACTGCAATGCAAAATTAAAAGAAGGGGACCCCGATGGGCACAGCCTCAGGTGGCTTCTGTCTCGGAAGCTCCTTGTGCGTGTGTGAAATCCTGAGGTGTGAGCTGTGGAGCCGTGCAGAGTCCTGCGTCCTTCTGTCCCTGCTGGCCGCCCAGCCCTGGCTGGGTGCTCCTCCTTTGTAGCACCCCAGACCCCTCTGACAAGGGTCCCCACGTGGGCTGCTGCTGGGGAGTCAGTCATTCCCTCCTGTTCCCAGCCCTGTTCTCGGCTGCTGAGTTAGTCAACGTCAGCATCAATGCTGAAACTGTGTGGTTAACATAGAAATGAGGAAAAAGACATAAATTCTCATGGGGCATTTTGAAAGCTGACCTCACCCCTTAAAGTAGCCACACCCCATTTCAGAAATGCCTCTGCTAGTTCAGGCCTGGACTCCCTGCACACAGGTGCTCCTGGGCACCCCTCTCTGCCCCCAAGCACTGGGATGGAGCCTGGAGCCTAGACCCTTCTCCCTGCTCCTGGGCCTCATCCTCCCCTCCCCAGGGAGGGGCTGGGCACTGGGAACCTCAGGAGCACTGGACTCCCTGGGAAGCCTCTCTCTAGTGATTCCAGCGGGGCCTCTTTGATGTTCCTAGCTGGGAAAGCCAAGGTCTATAATTACCATGGCCCTTTCTTCTGAAACAAGCTCCTTCATTTTGAGCCACTCTTGTCAGCATGTGCTGGCGTTCATTTGCAAATGCACCTTGCTATCGTTTTAAAGCAAAAAATGCATTTCAAGAAGCACCACTGGGCCCTTTGCCATGGCGTTTGTTAACGTTATTAATCTGATTTAAATGAAAATTATCCTTTATATTGCTTCCCACATAGGCACACTTTTTTTCTCTTTAAAATTGGAAGGTTATACCAAACGCAATGTTTTCCTTTCCTGCAAGGATGTGTGGGGCTGTTTTAATACAGATTAGTGAGAGTGCAGCAGCAGGGCACTGTAGGTGGTGAAGCCCGGTTATCATGTGTATGATTAGTTTCACCTTGTAGCTATGTCTCTGAAAATGCAATTAACAGTTTCATATTCAGCGTAGCCAGCTTTTATTCCTGCCGCATGGTGTGCAACATTTGCATCATAAAAAAAACCTAATTGGTAAACACGGTCTTGCCAGCTTCTCTGCGATCCACCCAATTCTCTCCACGTTAATTGGCTCAGCTTCAGCACACGCTGGATGGAATTTCAAAGGACGCCGCAGATTAGAGAGCTGGCAAGCACTTGTGTTTCACGGAACTGACTCCAAGGAGACTCGGGGAAAAATATTTTAAATTAATGCCAATTGCAGGCGACTTGCTTGTCCAATTGTTGCCATGGAGACCGTTGGGTCTGCTAATCTGATGGGTGTGTGTGTATTTATTGGGATCCATCTCTAATGACCTTCAGAGAGGAAGTCAGCCATGCTGGGCTCCGCGCCTCGGACAGGGAGGCCCCTGAGTGGCCCCTTCTCGACTCGGCCCTTCTCTGGTGACTTTCTTACACTCACAGCCCACTCCCCCTCGCCCTTCAGCCAGGCGCGTCTGTGCTGTGGGCCCGGCGGGGCACAGGACGGGGTCTAAACACACACAGGCCACGCAAGGCATCTGTGGCTTGTGAAGTGTGACACTCTGCCCGTGTCCGTGGGGAAAGTCATCCGGACCTCCCGAGCCCTGCCCATCCTCCCCACCTCCCTTGTATGAGAGACTCGGAATCATCAGGGGGCTCCTGAAATCGGAAGCATCGTTTTTTCTCTGAGAGGCATCCGTGTTGATTTGCTGATTACGAGTCTGAATGAGAGTTCTTGGGAGTGGCTCTTATTCCCTGAACGAGGAAAAACAGCGGGTGTCAGGCCATGCACTGTGCGTGTTTTCCACCGAGGCCCCCAGAACCTGAAAAGGCCACGCAGGTGACACACTGGGACCCCACAGCCGTCCCTGCCACGTGTGAGGAAAGACATGAAACTTCCCCAGGGACGTGGCTGAGGCTTTCTTAGCGGAAGCTGACCCTTTTGTTCCCCCTCCTCCTCGATCGCGGCTTCCGTGTCTATTTTTGTCTTAATTACTAGGCTGTAGTGAATGGATGTGTTTCCCTTAGTGTTGGACCTGGGACCATTAGACAATTGTAATAGACAGACATGTTTGTGATTTGTTTTGAACTCCTAATAATAGCTGGTTGCTTAATTGCAGAAAATAGGAAGAAAGACCTCGTACGTTCTCTGCTACTGGCAAAAATCAGTTGTCTTTAGTTAAAAATTAACAATATGAACTGCTGGTGAGTAAAGAGAAAGGGCTCTGCTTTCCCCTGAAAGTGGATTCCAGATGCACATACAGGGGTGAGGGGCGGGGGCGGTGAGGACCTTTCTGTCTTCCTCCCACCCCTCCCTCTATCTCCCTCTCTCCCTCTCTCCCTCTCTTCCTCTCTCTCTCTCTCTCACCACCCCTCCTCTCACTTTTTCCCTCTCTCTCCCCATCTCTTCTCTATTTGTCACACATTAACTAAAAAGACCTCAGAGTTTTTAATCGGTAGACAGGGGATTTGTTCATTTTAGGTTAAAAACAAAATGAACAATCAGAGAACAAGTGGGGAAGAGGGAACTAAAGGTATAATGGCTTAGAGAAGTTCAAAGATCAACAACCAAATCACTAGATTCAAAGATTCAACGTGGAGTAGAAATGAGGCACAGACTGGCACTCTGCAGTGCTCATGAAGAAAGGTCAGCTGACCGCCTAGACCCCCTGGGTATCTGGAGCTGAATTGTTTCCCTCTGCTCTATCTGAGCCTCTCATTTCAGCAACCCACTTTTATCTGAGGGATTTGCAAGATACAAGGGAAGAAAAAGAGAGACAAATGAGAGAGCAAAAAGGGAAAAGATGATATTCAGGAGAAGTTCTTATTCTCTTAAAAATTAGGAAATGAAAGTAAGCTTTTGCACTAAAAATACTTGATAAAAACAATCAAATCTTTTTTGAAACAAGAGGAAAGACAGATGGAGATAGGTAGGGGATGGATGGATGAATGAACAGGTGAATGGGTGGGTAGATGGATGGATGTGTGGTGGATGGATGTGTGGGTATATGGACGGGTGGATGGATGAATGTGTGGAGGGATGGTTGGTTGGGTGAGTAGATGAATGGGTGAAGAGATGGCTGGCTGGCTGGCCGGATGGGTGGATGGATGGATGAATGGAGGGACAGAGGGAGAAATGGATGGGTAAATAGATGGATGGATGATGAATGATGGATGATGGATATGGATAGGTGGGTGGATGGATGAGGGATGGGTGGAAGGAGGAATGAACGGGTGAATGGGTGAAAAGATGGCTGGCTTCCTGAATGGATGGGTAGGTGGATGGATAGATGGGTAGTTGGAAAGATGCGTGGATGGAGGGATGGATGACTGGATGAACAAGTGAATTGTTTGATGGATGGGTAGATGGATGGAGGGATGGATGAATAGATGAGCAGGTGGATTGTTTGATGAATGGGTGGATGGATGGACGAACAAACAGGTAAAGTGATGGATGTATGGGTGTGTGGGTAGATGGATGCTGAATGATGGATGAGGGATGGATGGGTGGATGGATGCTGGTTGATGAATGCATAGATGAGTGAATAGATGGGTGGATGGAGGGATGGATGGATGGACAGGTGAATGGGTGAATAGATGGGTGGCTGGCTGGATGGATGCATAGACAAATGACGGATGGGGTAGATGGATGGATGAATAGGTGAGTTGGTGGATGGATGAATGGGTGGGTGATTGGATGGATGGATAGAGGGATAGATGGATGGATGAACAGGTAAACTGGTGGGTGGATGCAAGGATGGGTGGGTGAGTGGGTGGGTGGGTGGATGGATGGGTGGCTGGCTGGATGGATGCATAGACAAATGATGGATGGGGTAGATGGATGGATGAATAGGTGAGTTGGTGGATGGATGAATGGGTGGGTGATTGGATGGATGGATAGAGGGATAGATGGATGGATGAACAGGTAAACTGGTGGGTGGATGCAAGGATGGGTGGGTGAGTGGGTGGGTGGGTGGGTGGATGGATGGATGGGTAGGTGGGTGAGTGGGTGGGTGGATGGATGGGGTGGGTGGGTGAATGGATGGATAGGTGGATGAGTGGATGGATGGATGGGCGGGTGGGTGGATGAGTGGGTGGCTGGCTGGATGGATGGATGGGTGGGTGGGTGAATGGATGGAGAGATGGATGGGTAAATAGACAGATGATGAATGATGGATGATAGATGGATTGATAGATGTATGATGGATGGATAGATGGGTGAATGAATGGATAGATGAACAAGTGAATTGGTAGATTAATGTATGTTTGGATAGATGGTAGGTCAATAGATAGAGGGATGGATGGATGAACAGATGAATTGGAGGATGGATAGATATATGGATGGGTAGATGTGTGGGTGGATGGGTGGATGGAAGGAAGGAAGGAAGGCAGGCTGGAGGGATGGATGGAGAAATGGATGGATGAATGGAAGGATGTGTAGGTGGATGATGGATGGATATATAGATGAATGGTTTGCTGGAGAATATTCAGCAATTGCAATAGCTCTGATTAATGAACACTCTCTTGGAAACTTGCCAAGTCTGTGCAGGGAGCTGCCTGGCTAAGCAGGAAAAGAAGGCACAGGGCCATGATTCTGAAGTGGAATTCAAGGAACCCAGTATCTCCCTCAAGGAGCCTGCTCTTCAGCTTATGGAAGCCCTCCTAAGCTTGAGGGGGTAACATTAACTTTTCTCCTTTATGGTTGATTTTCCTTCAGATTCTTACAGGTGTTCACTGGCCTTACGAGTCATATATGAGAGGACAAACATGGAAGTGCTTGGCATCCCGCCTGTGGGTGGAAGGATGGGCACATGAACTTTTCTAAATCTCTACTTCTGTCTGACCACCTCCACTCTCCATGGAGATGTGGCTGAGCCTAAGGTCTACTTTCCTCTTCTTCTGGAGAGATAGAACTGAGGGTTTGATTTGGGTCACAGTCACCCCTACTTGGAGTAAAATCTGCATTTGCCAGCTCCCTTTCATCTAGGTGTGGCCAGTGGATCTCAGCTAGAAGGTTAGGTATGTGCCTTTGCTCCTTCATTTCTCTTTCTCATCCCTGCTCTTGGAATGCAGATGTGATGGCCGGAGCTGATGCTACACCATGGTCCAAGAGGTGACCTGGGAATTTCAAGAGGGGAGAAAGGAGGGCTTCATGGATGAGTCCCCATATTAGCCCCGACCTGCCTGCTTTCACATTTTTATATGAGAAACAAATGTACCATGTTCTTCAAGCGGTGGTAATAAGAGCTGGTGCCAGCAGAGGCAGCAGTCCAGGGCCACTGCCCATGCCTCCGTACCCACTCCAAGTCAATCACTGGACATACTTTTTAACAATCTTCTTTCTACGCTTTGTGAATTTTGGAAATTCTTCCATACAGATTTGTTACTCCTTACTTTAAAATGTTCTTCTGTGGCTTACTAAACACTATGGATTTTTTCTTTGAAATATTTGCCGTCTGAGTGATGTAAGCTTGCTGGAGTCAGTCTCACCGTGATGTGGTGTGTAAAGCCAGCGTCGTGTCATCTATGTATCAGCCCCCGGCAGTTCCCCCTTCATTCCCTAACCTTTTACCTATTCACGCACTCACTGAGCAGATTGTTTTAAACATCTGCTTCCGAAAGGCACGTGTCAGACACTAAGAACAGTGCACAAAGATGTGTGGTTCTTGCCCCCAACACGTGGGACTCTCTCAGCCAAGGAGTGGGAGGGAGCAGTTATCCAACAATTTCAGGACGAATGGCTCTCCTACAAACTCGGGATCGGGGCAGCTTCATCCACATTCAGAAAAGGATGCTCTTCTCACCCAAGTTGATTCTGAAGTCTTTGGTGAGTTATGGAATATTTGATCTCTTATTGTTGTAGTTTTTCAACCAAAAAAAGAAAGAAACCATGATTTGACCAAGAAAGAACTGTGGGGAAAAAGCACCTCAGTGTAAAATAACAATCTATGACCAACTAATCCAGCTGGATTTTTTCTGAGTAAGATTGTTCTTTTTCTCTTTTTAAAAACAAAACTCATCTCGCATATATCTGCTCTCACTTTCTCTGTGGGTCCGAGGGAACTCCTCTGTGAGACAGAAAATTAGATGACAGTTTTTTCAAACCCCTTGTCCCCGATTATTAGTTTGTAGGATAAGTTCCCAAAAACCACAGAGGGGACAAAATATAAAGTGTAGTTTCCTACTTTCATTTTCACTTTCAGTGTTATATAATTTTATATCTTCCTTTGCTTATAGCTCCTTAAGAACCTAAGCATCATGATATGTTCTTAATTTGTACCATTTTCTACCACTTAATATGGTGATCGTCGGTGACGATGGTCTGACGGTTTGGGGGTTTCTTTTAAACATGTGCTCCCTCTTCTGGTTGAATGGATGCTTCAAACTGGAATGAAATCAAACACCTGTGCATCTTTTGTGCATCTTTGATTCAGGCCATTGGTATTTGTTAAAATCATAAGGGATTTTGAAACAAAGATGATAGAGAAGAGGCCTCTACCAACTTTTAACAATCACCGGGAGACATAGACTCTGGCATGCTCTTTTGTAAATTTCCCCTTCTTTCTATGTTGTGAGAAGACGGGCTGATGTGAAAAACTTTCACAGCATCAAACAGGCACATCTGATGTCTTTAGCAATGACGTACAGACCCAGGTGGGGTTTTGTGTGGGTAAAATCACCGCAGAGATCCTAGCAGAGACCACTCTGTCATCTGCACACCTTCCTGTCATTTGTACACCTTTGTGGTGTTTGCTGGGATCTCTGTGCAAGGTGCAAGGTGACAGTCCTATTTCAGGATTCCGTCTGTGTTTACAAACTGGTAACTTCTAAAACCTTCTCCGTGGAGGCGATTGTTATTCTAAGTGGAAAGATCTTGTTAAAATGGGGCTCTTCCTCCCCTGCCCACCTGGGACCATCTGGAGTGGGGGGAGCAGACCCACTGGTCTTTGCAGCATCTGAGGTGCTCCATGGGGGGCCCAAGGCCTCACTGAAATTTAAAGGAGGAGTCTTAGTCATCAGGAATAAATTAACTTTTGTTTACTGTGTGTAAGGCAGCAGAGAAATAAACAATACTTTTTTAAAAAATAGACTTTTTAAAGTATATAAACTTCTCATACTGGTGTTATGTGGGTAAGTTTAAGTTACCCTGAAAATATATTTATTTGGAATAACTTTTACTGGTGCTATATAAATGGGGTGCTACTGTATCTTCCTTAAAACTTGAATTTTTTTCCATAGTTTCTCATAGTTTCAAGATTTCTTCATTGCCTGTTAGCCTAAATGCACAGTGGGCAGGACAAAACAGAACTGATGTTTGTAGAAGTAGCTGGTCAGTGGTGTTTCTGAGGTTTTGAGTAAATCCATCCATCTTGGAATTCTTACTTTTTCAAGTGTAGAAATGATGTAGTGTGTACCCCACTGGGAACCACCCAATGCTGTTAACACACTTTTAAACACAGGTTATTTGTGTGTCTGTGGGTTCACTCTCTAGATGTCTCTGTAGCACCTACAACGTCTGAGGCCTGAAGTAGGTGCTGAGCTGGTGGATGGGTGAGCAGAGGAAGGAAAGGACGGACCTGGAGGATCCTGGCCCCCCAGGATCTCGTGGTAGTGGAGGAAAATGAACTCCGTCCTCCCGTGTTGAGGCTTTACCTTGTGCTGAGCTTGCTGAGGGCTGCTGGGGATGCCGGAGTAAGCAGGGCAGTTCACACAGGCCCCTGCCTCCTCCACAAGGACAGGGACAAGATGAAGTGCTCTACGGGGTCCTGCAGGGGCATGGCTGGAAGTGAGGGTGGAGGGTCTGGGGCAGGCAAAGGCCAGCCTGGTCTTGAAGGATGGGCGGGAGACAGTGCCTACTCAGTGGGTTTGGCTGGTGCCCATGGTGGGGCAGGATGGCATGGGGAATTCTGGGAATGGCGTGGCGTAGATCAGTGATGATGAGTGTGGAAATCCAAGAGTTTCAAGTGTGCAGTGAGTGTGTCATTAGCAATGCTCATAGATCCAAATCAGAAATTTAAATGCTTGGTTGGTGTTACCTCGTGTGCTGTTTCCAACAAAGCTCAAAGATTGATCTCTTTATCATGTGCTATATACCCAGAAAGAGCTGTGCCCAGGCAGGAAGGAGGTTTGGAACTCCCAGGATAAGCTTTGCTTTTTGGCCAGAATTTAAATGTGTCCTTATACTCAGCTTGATGTCGTGGTTTTTATATTAAGTGGGAAAATTTTACTCATCTAAGATTTTTGATTAAGATTATCCAATTATTAAGAATCCTGGCCTTATCATTGGAAACATTTTATCTATTATATTTTTAATATGCTGTTATTTACAAATCACATATACCAACATTTCTCTCATTTGCGGGTTCTGCTTGTACATGCTGAATCGGCTTCATTTGCATTTAAAATAAGACACTATCTTTCCCATGGATAAGAACAAGTTGCTATGTAGAATGAAGACTTCTTTTGGGAAATTCTTGGCAAAGAACCTAGCTGAGTGGTGACGGTTAATAAATAGCACGTATTGTGTATAATCGTGCCTCAGAACTGCTTGCATTTGAATTGGGTGGAAGCAGATTTGATCATTGATCAGAGCGTTTTCAAGTCCGACCTGGAGAGTGAGATGGTGAAATGTCTGAAGCGTCGCCTTGTGCATGGGAACCTTTGCAGGTTCACTGAGGGGGTCGGTCACGGGCACCAGGTGGGGCCTCCTGGGGCTCTGTTCGTTTGGACAAATGAGAAGAATTCCTGCTATGCCTGGTGGAACTGATCACATAGGAAGCTCTGTGAGTGCAGTGACCTCGGGGAAGTGCAGGGAGTGCGGGGAGCTAGAGGCAGGAAGAGCATCTTGGAAACAAAGGTGAAAGGAGAAAGCCTGTGTCTCATTTCAGAAGAAGTCTGAGTATATCAACGTGATAAAATTGAACAGTAAACATTTACTCACCACATTTAGTAGCATATGTACTTAGTAAAACTTTTTAAAAAACAAACTTACAATGACTAGACCATGAGAAAGACAGACACGTGCGTGGAAGAGAAGATAGAAAGAAAACGGTGATACTAGAGTCACTGAAATTCTAAACATTCGTTAGAGGCCCGCATGCGCCAAGCGCTGTGTGAAGATAAATCACAACGTGGCCCTGAAGGTTTAAGGCCCCATGGAGACACGTCACTGCTGCCTGCTGGTGGGGGGCAGGCTGCTGCTTTTGGAATGACTTCCTTTATTGTTCAGGTGCAATTTGTAAAATAAATAAGAATCAGTGGAAGACAAAAATATGAAATAAATGCTAAGCTGCTCTTTGATAGTGAGAAAGCACCTGAGGGTGTTTCCGCCGTGTAAGCCGCCACCACGCGCGCGGGACAGGTTCATCTGTTTATGAGGAAGGACAGAACTGAGTTGAAATGCACAGACCTGGCGGGGAGCCCCCGCGGCCTTCTCTGTAAACAAAGCCCTGCGTTTTGGTGTCTCACTCCTGTTTTCTTTCTCCTGAAAATGAAAATAAGAATGGGCAATTATTCCATATTTTCCCATCATGCAATCAGTAGAAATTTTGGTGGGTGTAATCATTGATTCATGGATCCGTTCATTCCTCAGAACCCATCAGGCAGTGTGTATGCACATGCCCACACACATACACGTGCAATGCACACCCCACACACAGCACACCCACACACACTCACACATGTGTACATGTACACACCCACACACACAGCACACCCCCACACACAGCACACCCACACCCACACACAGCACACCCACACACAGCACACCTCCACACACACCCACACCCCCACACACAGCACACACACTCACACGTGCACAAGTACATACCCCACATATACACAAAGCACACCCACCTACACACCCACACCCCCACACACAGCACAGCCACACACACCCTCACACACGTGCAATGCACACAACCAGATACATACACACACGTGCACATGCATGCATCCACACACATGCAGCACACACACACCCACACACCCCCACATGTATATACCCACACACATACAGCACACCCACCCACACACAGCCACACACAGCACACCCTCACACATAGCACAGCCACACACACCCTCACACACATGCAATGCACACACCCAGATACATACACACACATGCACGTGCACACAGCATAGGGACCAGGCTGACTGTGATACTTTTCTTTCTAGCCCCTTCCTGTCCCCTTCTGTGTCTTCATGCCTTCATCAGATGCACCTGGCGCTTCCTCCACAGCAGGGCCACATCTCATCACCACCGGCCATCGTCCGCTCTCTGCTCCCTGTGGGAGGTGCCCTGTGAGGCCCCACTGCCCTCCGTAGTCCCTGCGTCTGGGTCCCCTCCATCACTGTCACACCCTGTGATCACTCTCCCCTTGTCCTCTCTCCTTGATGTGGCCTTGGTGTTGGGTGGGCTCAGGTGAGGTTTACGAGAAGCAAAGGAAATGTTAGGGCCAGGACACCTCCTGCCTCTGATCCCTCGTCCCCTGCTTACCCTTCCTGCCCACCCCCAGCACCAGCCACACCCCGCACTGCCGCAGCTCCACCTGGGATGGGCTGACGTGTGTTCCCCAAGTTCACCTGGGAAGCGCCAACACCCGGGGCCGCATAAGGCGACTGTATTTGGAGAAAGTGTCTTTCAGGAGGCGATTGAGGTTATGTGAGGTCGTGGGGTGGGCCTGGCTCCAGCAGGACTGGTGTCCTTGAAAGAAGAGACACTGGAGAAGAAGCCACGTGAGGACACAGGAGGAGACGGCCGCCCGCCAGCCTGCGCAGTCTCAGGAGAAACCGAAGCCCGGACCTCAGACTTCAGCCCCCAGAACTGTGACGGAGTACATTTCTGTTGTTTGAGCCGCTCAGGCTGTGAGGCTTGTTAGGGCAGCCCTAGGGAGACTAGCAGGCTTCCCGCCAGAGGACCACACAGGAGGCCCTCCTGGTCCAAAATGTCATGACCGCATGATGGAGCTGGGGTGTCCATGGGGTTTCCTGTCTTTGAGACATGATGCGTTACAGGTTTACTTTTGGAAATGTGGGTACAGCCAGGGTGGCCCCAGTCAGACCCAAACAAGTCTCTTGGCCTAAGGGACCCTGGGCCTACCTTCCTCTGAGTGACAAGGACACTCAGCGTGCACAGCCACACCAGGTGGCTCCCAAGCCCTGGCATCTATCTCCATAGGGGTGGGATGGCCCTTAAGGAAGCCATTGCCGTCCACAGCTGCAAAGAAATGAGGTTGTGGAAATGGCAAGTGAGTGATAAGTGTGTCTGCATCCCGGGCGGCTCTTCCCTCGCCAGATCTTTGCCTGGCGCTGGGACTCACCCTTGCTGGGACTCACCGCAGGTGTCCAGCAAGCTTGTGAGGCTCAGGATGGCAGGAGGTCAGCTGTGTTTCTGGGTTGTCAGGGAGATGTTCTGGATGCCAAAAGAAGGCTCCAGGGCCAGACCAGGCTGGCACTGAACTGTACCACCATGGAGGAGCAAACATGATTTGGACTTTCCTTGGAAAAGTTGGTAAAAATCGATGGAGTCTTTGCATTTCCATTCATGCTGCCTATAGGATCTGTCTCTCTAAAAAGGAAAAGGGATGTGAACTCAGTAATTCCACGAGGAACACAGTGTTGGCTGCTTTCTTAGGGTGTCACATCTGCAAAACTCCGTAAGTTGGTTGCAGGTGCCTGTGCTGCCCCAGGAGAGGCAGGAGGAAGGGGCAGCAGGTGCCCCAAGAAGGGAGAGGTTCACAGCAGAAGCCTTGGTGAAAAGGAGCTTTGAACATGTTTATTTGGGCAGTGGCTGCTGCTAGTACCACCTTTCCATCAGATTTGACATGAGCATTCCAAAGAAATTCAGATGCAGGCAGAAACCCCTCAGCCTCTAAGGTTTTACTTTCCTTCATGATCCCATAGAGTTAAAAGGAGCCGTGCAGACTTCCCACTCTGAGTGCACTAGAGACACGCATTTGCACACACGTGCATTTTAGACGCAGTGTACTGAATACTAACAGCATCCACGTAAGATGTGTGCCTCAGCGTGCATGAGGACATTGCTGTGGGAAACCACGGTGGGCCCTTCCTGTCTCTTCTGGGGAGAACCCCTCGTGGGCCACGAGCACCACCTGAGCCTTCTCCAGCTGTGCAGTGACTGACCAGAGGCCTCACCGCAGATGCTTCCTGCCCTGCACCTCCCCCTGCACCCCATCTTCCAGCTCTCTAAGACAACGTGGACAGCAAAACGCTGCAGCTAATCTTATTTTGTGCATATCAAGTGGGCTTTACTAGCCCCTACTTTTTAAACTCTAGCCAGTGTTAGATTAGTGAATTCCAAACCAGCTTAGGTCTTTTGCTTAGTGACCTTTCTCTTTGCATTTTTTTTTAAAGAAATCAGCGAAAGCCAATAGTAACCTTTCCATATTCGCCACCATAAGCTGCACCCACCTTAAGAGTGACCACGACTGGGTGCGGTGGCTCACGCCTGTAATCCCAGCACTTTGGGAGGCTGAGTTGAGCGGATCACATGAGGTCGGGAGTTCGAGACCAGCCTGACCAACATGGAGAAACCCCATCTCTACTAAAAATACAAAATTCGCCAAGTGTGGTGGCTCACGCCTGTAATCCCAGCTACTCGGCAGACTGAGGCAGGAGAATTGCTTGAATCCAGGAGGTGGAGGTTGTGGTGAGCCGAGATCACACCATTGCACTCCAGCCTGGGCAACAAGAGCAAGACTCCGTCTCGAAAAAAAAAAAAAAATAGTGGCCACACAGCTCAGACCGCAGGTACTTCATGGGTGCCAGGCCGATTTTCTCAAGCCGGAAATGCTGAGGCTTGTGAGGAAAGGGGGAGGTGTGTGTTTCTCCCGCTTCCATCTTACTGTTTATGTATCTATTAGCATTTAGCATTTCTACAACACACTTCATACCCTAAGAGGTTTTAAAATCAGCCATCATAAACATTACCATTATCATGAGAGGAACAGAAACAAGCATTTTAAAGATGAAATTTGGCAAAGTAGAAGAAGATTTTCTAAAACCATTCTTTAAAAATGAACTCAGAGTCACAGAAGTGAAATTTACATGCATTTGCTTGAAGGAGATGGTTTGTAAAACCTCTGGGAATCAAATACTGTCATGAATTTTTTAAAAAATGAAAAATTTAGGAAGAGCAGAGTATAGTGGGATCAATATTTTCCATATAAGCACACATAGCATTATCAGATCCTGAAAATGAAACTGTCAGGAAAGTGATAAGATGTGCCTCTTTCTGTTATCTCAGAGAAATATAATGTAAACAAGCAGCAAACCCAGTGAAAAAGGATTGTTTTGAATTACTTTTTTTAGAGTCCACTAAGGTGTTATTTATAGCAAAGGAATGCATGCAGTTCTTTAAAAATAGATGCTGGTTAATTTTTTAATCTGCTGGTTTTTTAAATATAAAAAACCTAAAACTAGAACCACCACCCAGCTGTGGACACACAGGAAGCATCTGGGAGGGGTTAGGAATAAAATTCGGGTGCCATTGAGGGTAGCTCTGAGTCCTGGGGCCACACAGGAAGTGGGCGGTTCCCTCTCTCATCCTCTGGGATGGGAGGAGGCTAGGATGGCCCCTAGACCCTGCCTACTTCTCTCAGGCAGAAACATCATGTGAAGTCTTCTTTTTGGTGATAAAACCCATTCTTTACTCCCAAATTGGGCACTGGAAGCATTAACAGAGCAATTTTTGCTTTTCCTATCACCTTAGAGAGTCACCAAGTTTTCCAAACGAGGAGCCGAAAAGCAGCCATGGGGGCTGCTCCCATCCGAGAGCCGGAGTCTTCTGGAACTCAGTGAAATGAAACACTGGCCAGGCTCCCAAGGTGCTGACACGTTTCCTATACTGCTATGACAGTAGCAAATGATTTTTCGTAGCTTGTGGAATTGTAAATGAAGTTTGCTGATTAAGTCGGCAACAGTGATGAAATTAATAGATGCTCTCAGAGTCATTAGACAAGCTATTCTTTAAAAAAAGCAGAGGCCCGTTTTACCACTGGCCTTGGCGTGTTGGGAGGTGCCGCCAAGCCCATGTGAGAAGCTCGCCACCACCAAGAAACCTGGATCCCGCCAACCGCAGGGCTGGAGCCCGGATGGCGTGCTTCCCCACCCCTGTCAGTCAGCTCGGGTGGCCACGGTGAAGCCCCACAGGTGGGGCAGACATCCATCCTCTGCAGTCCCCAAGGCCTGGGTCTGGGACGCCTGTGGGCAGGGCTTGTTCCTGGGGCCGCATTCCCTGGCTCACGGTGGCTGCGTCGTGGCCACGTCCTCAGGGGCTGTCCTTCTGTGTAGATGCAGGCTGTGTGTCTCTTCCTCTTCCTGAAGAACACAGGTCCTATTGGATTGGGGCCCCCTCAGGACCTCATTTTTTTTTTTTTTTTTTTTTGAGACGGAGTCTCGCTGTGTCTCCCAGGTTGGAGTGCAGTGGCGCGATCTCGGCTCACTGCAAGCTCCGCCTCCCAGGTTCATGCCATTCTCCTGCCTCAGCCTCCCAAGTAGCTGGGACTACAGGCGCCCGCCAACACGCCCGGCTAATTTTTTGTATTTTTAGTAGAAACGGGGTTTCACCGTGTTAGCCAAGATGGTCTCGATCTCCTGACCTCGTGATCCGCCCGTCTCGGCCTCCCAAAGTGCTGGGATTACAGGCGTGAGCCACCGCGCCCGGCCTTACCTTTACCTCTTTAGAGGCCCTGTCCCCAAGTACAGTCACATGAGGGTTCAGGGCTTCCCCTGTGGATTTTGGGGGACACAGGTCAGCTCATGACAGAAGCCAAACATCTCCTGCCCTCTCCTGTGCTCTTTCCTCCTCCCCTGGATCCAAGCGGCCTGTAGCAGACCCCCACTTGTGCTGCCAAACCCCGGCCAGGACCAGGGCACTCCATCTCCTGCCAGGAGTTCCACAGATGAGATCCAGCCCAGCCGTGTCCACGCCAGGGTGGTCCAGGCCAGCTCCCCACCTCACGGGGCTTGTTGAAGAGCCTTGTGTGGCTCCTGCTCCGTGGACCTGCTGAGCTTTGAGGCAGCCGGGAGTTCCTCCCCGGCAAGTCCATTTCTCTCGCTGCAGCTGACCTGCCCGAAACGTCCTCAGATCTGCTTCCAGGGAGCAGGCCCCGGCCCCAGGATTCCTGGACATTTCCCAGGCTCCCTGACCCCCGTGGTGTCCTTCACATCCTCCTCTTCACCCCTCAGATGAACCCTAAGCTCCAGGGAGGGAGGGGCGCAGTGGGAGCTTTTGTTTTCTCCCTCATCCACACCTGCGGCATTTGGCCCCGTTGTTCCTTCACTGCATGCTGGCCAGGTTGCCATCCGGCTCACGAGGCGCCGTCCACTGTACTGGGGATTCGGGCAACAAAAGTGACTCTCCCCACCAGAGGTTTTAGTTTACAACATTTCCCCTCACCGTGAAACTGGAAGCTTTTTAGGGGCCGAAACTCTGTGGCACTAATTTTTCATATGACCTTCTCCCAAAACACGTCCCTGCCTCTCTCATCCTCCGTAGAACCAACTCTTAATAAAGGGGTGAGTGAGTGACCATCCAGAGCACAGCCTCTGCAGGGGGCGGGTCTCTAAGGCAGCACTCGCCTGATGACCACGCCGTGTTTCCCGCGGGGGCTGCTTGCCTCAAGCCCCCGCTTTGCACCTCAGTTCCCATAAAAGGGCATTTGGTGGTGAGATGTGGCTCCCGCCTCGGTGGGGGGCAGAGCTGGTCAGTGCTGGCCATGGGGGCCACCCCATGTCACCCGAGGTGACTCCAAGGGAAGAGGCACTAAGTGCCATTTCTGAATCTGAAGCTGGCGGCCATCGTCTCCACTGAAACAACGTGATCCCAGGACCTGGAGACAGCTTGGCCAGCTTCCGGCTGGAGGAGGATCTCCAGGAGTCCCAGTGCAGCAGCGGGTGCCTCCGGATGACCTCAAATACGATGCAACCCCATAGTTTACTGAGCACCTCCTCGGTGCCTGGCACGGTTCCGGGTGAGGGCACAACAGCCAGTCACGCAGACTCATGTTCCTGGAAGGCCAGCGGGCCCATGCCTGCTGTTTGTGTATAAACAGATGAAAAGTGTTTGCTAATCTCCCTGAGGCAGTGCCGGGCTCTCAGCACGGATTGGGAGTTGGCATCATGACAGGGCGGTCCTGAGGCTGCTGATGGTTTTCGGCCGTTTTACCATCTACTACACTGCCTGCGTCTGTCTGCATGGTGGGAGCGCCCGTGAGGCTGAAGTGCCGCCCTCCCGGTCCTCAGGTCCCCCTGCTGTGCACGTCCCCAGCCGTGGACTCAGGCCCTGTGGTCCTGAGGGGTCATGGGTATAGGAGGTAGGTTTGGAATCAGCTGTACCTGCTTCCAGATTCTGGCTCTGGCTTTTGCTGCTGCCTGAACTTAGGCAAATTATTTAAGGCTCCAGCTTCCCATTCTTTGCACGTGAACTCTACCTCTGGGTTGCTGTGAGTGTGGAGTGTGGTCCCCTCTGTGACATGCACAGCCAAGAGCAGGCCTGTGGGAGAAGGCCCTCTGCTCTCTACCTGTGGCCGAACCTCAGCCCCACCCTGTACCCCACCTACGGCCAGATCCCAGCCCCCACCCTTCACCCCGCCTGCGGCCCGACCCCAGCCCCACGTTGCACCAGACCTGCGGCCAAACCCCAGCCCCACCTTGCACCCCACCTGCGGCCAAACCCCAGCCCCCACCCTGCACCCCACCTGCGGCCAGACACCAGCCCCACCCTGCTCCCCACCTGCGGTCAAACCCCAGCCCCCACCATGCACCCCACCTGCGGCCAAACCCCACCCCCCACCCTGCACCCCACCTGTGGCCAGACACCAGCCCCACCCTGCTCCCCACCTGCGGCCAAACCCCAGCCCCCACCCTGCACCCCACCTGCGGCCAAACCCCAGCCCCCACCCTGCACCCCACTTGCGGCCAGACACCAGCCCCACCCTGCTCCCCACCTGCGGCCAAACCCCAGCCCCCACCCTGCACCCCACCTGCGGCCAAACCCCAGCCCCCACCCTGCACCCCACCTGCGGCCAGACACCAGCCCCACCCTGCTCCCCACCTGCGGCCAAACCCCAGCCCCCACCCTGCACCCCACCTGCGGCCAAACCCCAGCCCCCACCCTGCACCCCACCTGCGGCCGGACACCAGCCCCCACCCTGCTCCCCACCTGCGGCCCGACCCCAGCCCCACCCTGCTCCCCACCTGCGGCCGGACACCAGCCCCCACCCTGCACCCCAACTTCAGTCATGCTTCCCAGTAGACCTCAAAGCCGAAATGTCAGGCAGCTTCCTGTTAAGAAATAAAGAGGAGGAGGAAGAAGGAAAGGTGTGCAGGGCGTTAGTGGTGACCAGGTGCTTTCATCCCGGCCTCTCCACGGCTTTCACGTGTTGGGTGATTCCAGCTGAGAACCCTCTGGCCTGAAACCAAGCATGGCCCTGGGGCTTTTAAACCCTTCTCTTACGGGCCTTGGCAATTGTTTTTGAAGTGATCACTTTAACCTTTTGTTTTAATCCTCTGGTTATTCCCCTGACTGGGGAATGCAACCTGAGAAGCATCCTTTGGCAAAAGAGAAGTTTTATTAGTGAGGCAAGCAGTTAATTAAAAAAATAAAAACTAGGTTGGGCAAGGTGACTCATGCCTGTAATCCCAGCACTTCGGGAGGCCAAGGCGGGTGGATCATTTGAGGTCAGGAGTTCAAGACCAGCCTGGCCAACATGGTGAAGCCCCATCCCTACTAAAAATACAGAAATTAGCCGGGCATGGTGGCACTCACCTGTAATCCCAGCTTCTCGCGAGGCTGAGGCATCAGAATCACTTGAACCTGGGAGGTGGAGGTTGCAGTGAGCTGAGATCCTGCCATTGCACTCCAGCCTGGGTGACACAGTGAGACTCTGACTCAAAAAATAATAATGAAAAATAAAAAAAAAAAGTAAAAATAAAAACCAGAGGCCAAAGTTCATCAGGTAAACATCTGAGATCAAGTGTGGTATGTCGGAGCTGCGAACCCCAGTCTGCACCCCACCTTTGAGTGGCTGAGATTTAATAAAGTGCAGTGAAGTCTCAGACCCACACCCCCACCTTGATGTTTCCAGTTACGGAACTCGTTATCAGGTGGGCCAGGGACTCGCGGAGAACAGCTGCAGACAGCACCTCTTCCCCCTGGTCTCGTCGTGTGGACGAGTCTCCCGATGACAGGTTTCCTGGAGGCCTCATCTCCGGTGGGTGCCAGCAAGTCCAGCCAGGGAGCAGGTCCCAGAACTCAGGTTCCCAGGCCAAGCTTTCCCCTGCCTGTGTTGGTGGAAAACGCAGGGTAAGTGGGCAAGAGTGAGAGAACACAAAAGCCTTCAGCCGGGTCTTTATTGGGCTGCTTTATCTTTGTGTAGCTCCGTGGCACGTGAAAACGAGAGCGTCTGAGGTTGGTGAGAAATTCGGGCAGCACACGGTGCTCAGTCACCATGAAACTAATTTCACATTGGGAGCTGAGTTGTGAAAACGGTTTTGCTGTTTATTTAAAGGAGATGAGAGTGGACAAGCCGACTAGAACCCCCTGATGGCTTGAGCGAGGGAGAAGGAGGGTTTGTGTTCAGGCAACTAAATCTGCCTTCTCTTCTTTTAGGCTGGAAATAAAAGCCGGTCAGTGCAGGGGTGTGAGGGGCTGGCTGTGGGTTCTCTGGCATGAGGCTCACGTTTACAGGAGGTCCTCTTGGTGGGCATAGTGTAGGGGCCAGGGCGGACCCCTACGGCCGCTCGGAGGAACAGCCAGGATCGGACCCGGGACCGCCCCACACTGTCAGCACTGTAGGGGTCACTGTTGCTGCAGCTCACAGTCCCCTGGCCCCCGGATGCCTCGCACCCCGCACAAAGATGACTTCTCTACCCAGAACACAACCCTCTTACGTGGGGCATGAAGGATGGAGTCCAGCCAAACGTGCTTCAAAATCTCAGAATTACAACTTGAAGTAGAGTTTTTTTTTTTTTTTTTTTTGAGATGGAGTATCTGTCACCCAGGCTAGAGTGCAGTGGTGCAATCTCTGCTCACTGCAAGCTCCACCTCCCAGATTCAAGTATTTGCCTGCCACAGCATCCCGAGTAGCTGGGATTGCAGGTGCCTGCCAACACACCCAGCTAATTTTTGTATTTTTAGTAGAGATGGGGTTTCACCATGTTGGCCAGGATGGTCTCGATCTCCTGACTTCAGGTGATCCACTTGCCTCGGCCTCCTAAAGTGCTGGGATTACAGGTGTGATTAAACATTACATTTACTGAGCTTGAAATGTGAGGTAGCTTATTCGGTCTACATTTAGACTCTGTCCAACACAGCATCTACGTTGGAGGCTGGACACGGGCTCCTCTCACGGCAGAGCTGCTGCTCCTCCGCGTCTCACGCAGGTGGTCTGCTGTCCTCAGCGGATGGATGGCGTGGTCAGAGCCCAGGAGCCTCCGGGCCAGCCCTGACTGCTGCTCCTGGCTCTGAGCTAGTGTTTTAATTCTTTAATTATTTCATGGCTCTTTTCCTATTCCACAGAGGAGTACAAATTAATTATTTGGTAAGGCACTTAATTAAAAGTAGAGCTCTGAGGCTGCCGGGTAAAAGCTGAAGCCAGGCTGCAGCCCGGGCCCTGGGCCTCTCCCTTGGCCCTGCAGTCCTTTTCCCGGGCCCTGCATTCCTCTCCCCCAGCCCCACACTCCTCTCCCCCTCGCCCTGTACTCCTCTCCCCTGCACTCCTCTCCCCCCACCCTGCACTCCTCTCCCCCCACCCTGCACTCCTCTCCCCCCACCCTGCACTCCTCTCCTCTGCACTCCTCTCCCCTGCACTCCTCTCCCCCAGCCCCACACTCCTCTCCCCACCTCCCTGCACTCCTCTCCCCTGCACTCCTCTCCCCCAGCCCCACACTCCTCTCCCCCTGCCCTGCACTACTCTCCCCTGCACTACTCTCCCCCAGCCCTGCACTCCACTCCCCTGCACTCCTCTCCCGTGCACTCATCTCCCCTGCACTCCATTCCTCCGGCCCCACATTCCTCTCCTCTGTGCAGGGGCTGGTCTGGGGGCTCCACAGGGTCCCTATGACCCACTGGTCTCTGCCTGCCCCTCCCTGCACTCCTCCCCCCAGGCTCTGCCCCTCCCTGGCCTCCTCTTTCTGTAGAAACCCGGCTTTCTGTCATGCCTCCCCCCACGTTTATCTGCAGGGACATTCTGGCTGCTGACGTGGCTTTGCCCACCCAGCCAGGCTAATGTGGCTCCCTTCTCCTCCCTGGTCCTTCCCTCTTGAGTGAGGCCCACCTGTGGCCCTTCCAGCCCTTGCAGGGCCAGTGTGGATGGCAGGAATGACTGGCTGTGTGGGAGGAACCTGGGCTCCAGGCGCCAGCCAGGGGGATTTATGGAAAGAGCAGCCCCCTGTCCTGAAGTCAAGGGTCTGTCTCCGTGGCCTTCCCAGGACAGGCAGGAACTGCTGGAGGGGGTCCTGCCCTGTGGGGCCTGCCCCATCCTTGGAGCTGAATGACCCAGGTGCTGTGACCTCAGTGGGAGCCCAGGCCAGGCGGGCCCAGGGGCGCAGTTGCTCCACAGACACAGAGCAAATGGAGCCGCCAGGCAGCCCCGCAGGGCACGTGGGCACTCAGGAGGCAGCTCTGTGCAGAACTGGCAGGCATGACCCAGGCCCCATCAGATGTGCCCCCAACCCCGTCCTCCTGGGGAGGGCAGACACCCCACGTCAGGGGACCTGGGGCCGAGCCCTCCCTGGGCCCCCGTGCCGGCCTCATTGCACTGTGGGACTGCTCCTCATGCCTGTTGAGCAGACAGCAGGACTTAGAGCTTGGTGACAGATGGGCAAGCAGGCGACAGCTGCTGGTTTCCAGAGAAGCTCGTGCCTCCCCACACCCGCCCCGGGCCTAGGATGTGTCAGGGAGGTTGGGTCTCCTGAGGGCCTGGCGTGGGGGAAGATGGCTCAGGTCATACATGGTCCCCTGGGGCAAGGGAAAATGGTTTGCTAGGAGAAGAAAAGATCCATTCTTTATCACTGGATTTGAAACAAAATGACTTTTTTTCTTTGCAAGCACAGATTATTTTCAGGAGCAATAAATGCCTTAAAAAAAGAAAAGCTAGAGACGAAGAAAGCTAGAGAAGAAAGCTAGAAGGTCCCCTGACCCTGTTCTCAGTTAAGGGCTTGTCCACACCAGCCAGAGCAAACCCACACCACCCTCCAACAGGCATGGGGGACCGGCCCTCGGGGTGGTGGGAGCCCCCATGTGCACGCAGGAGCTGCCCGCCTTGGAAGGAAGGGCTCTAAGCCGTGTGAGAGACCAAAGCTCCCCTGGCACTGACTGGCAGGAAAGCAAAGATCTATCTGACCAGTAGGTTCTCTTAGTAATATTTGTTACTGTATGAATGTTTGGGGTCCAAGTGCGGTCTTACTACGTGGATCTGTTGTGTAGTGGTGAAGTCTGGGCTTTGAGTGTAGCCATCACTGAATAACATAGATGGGCCCGAGCGGCGAATTCTCACCCTCCTCTCCCTTCCCAGCGTCCCGGGTCTGCAGCGTCCATTGTCCCATGTGCTACATCCATGCACGCATGTAATTTGGCTCCCACTTAAATGTGTGAATGTGCAGTATTTGACTTTCTGATTCTGCATTGTTTCACTCAAGATAATGGCTCCAGTTCCATCCATGTTGCTGCAAAAGACAGGATTTCATCCTTTTTTATGGCTGAATAGTATTCCATTGTGTGCAAAAGACAGGACTTCATCCTTTTTTATGGCTGAATAGTATTCCATTGTGTGCAACAGACAGGACTTCATCCTTTTTTATGGCTGAATAGTATTCCATTGTGCGCAACAGACAGAACTTCATCCTTTTTCATAGCTGAGTAGTATTCCATTGTGTGGACACACCACGTTTTCTTTATCCATTCATCCACTGATGGACACTTACGTCGATTTCATGTTTTGCTATCGTTCCAGTGTGCATTTCCGAAGGGTAGTCTACTTTTGCTTAAACTTGAGTTTGCCGTAGAAGTCAGATTTCCATGGATGACCCCTCCTTCTGCACCTCCACATGCACACGTGGATCCTCCCCTCTGACAGGAGGTGCTACGCCGCCTGCTCATGTGGACGCTGAGGCAAAGCAGGCTGCCCATGCCCTTTGCGGGGCTGGCAAGCCCTTGGTCCACACCCAGATGCACGTTCAGGGGCTGAAAGGCCCCATCCTACTCTAAGACTGCAGGTTTGCTGCCTTCCAGGAATTTACAATTCATGGCAACAAACCTTGGGGTGTGTTTAACAAATGCTCATTGAATTGGGCATTTTTATCTCCCAGATGTGGCTGGACTGGTGAGATCTCTCCCTGAGTGACAGGCAGGCCTGGAGAGAGTTGGATGAAAATAAAACCAGATAGAAACCGTAGAGTGTGACACAGCGTTTGTAAGCTGGGGACACAGTGTTGATTTAGGAACAAGGAGCTGTAAGCTGGGGACGTGGCATTGATTTAGGAACAAGGAGCTATAAGCTGGGGATGCGGCGTTGATTTTAGGAACAAGGAGTTGTAAGCTGGGGATGCAGCGTTGATTTAGGAACAAGGAGTTGTAAGCTGTGGACACAGCGTTGATTTTAGAACAAGGAGTTGTAAGCTGGGGACGTGGCGTTGATTTAGGAACAAGGAGTTGTAAGCTGGGGACGCAGCGTTGATTTAGGAACAAGGAGTTGTAAGCTGGGGACGTGGCATTGATTTTAGGAACAAAGGAGCTGTAAGCTGGGGACACGGCGTTGAATTTTAGGAACAAGGAGCTGTAAGCTGGGGACACGGCGTTGATTTTAGGAACCAGGAGTTGTAAGCTGGGGACACGGCGTTGATTTAGGAACAAGGAGTTGTAAGCTGGGGACGCAGCGTTGATTTAGGAACAAGGAGTTGTAAGCTGGGGACACGGCGTTGATTTTAGGAACAAGGAGCTGTAAGCTGGGGACGCGGCGTTGATTTTAGGAACAAGGAGCTGTAAGCTGGGGACACGGCGTTGATTTAGGAACAAGGAGTTGTAAGCTGGGGACGCAGCGTTGATTTAGGAACAAGGAGTTGTAAGCTGGGGACACGGCGTTGATTTTAGGAACAAGGAGCTGTAAGCTGGGGACGCGGCGTTGATTTTAGGAACAAGGAGCTGTAAGCTGGGGACACGGCGTTGATTTTAGGAACCAGGAGTTGTAAGCTGGGGACGCGGCATTGATTTAGGAACAAGGAGTTGTAAGCTGGGGACGCGGTGCTGATTTTAGGAACAAGGAGCTGTAAGCTGGGGATGCGGTGCTGATTTTAGGAACAAGGAGCTGTGGGCCAAAGTGGAAGGCGCTCGCTCTAACGCTGCCTCAGATTCATCCCAATGACTGTGGGAAACACAGGCATCTTCCTCTCGCTCCCTGGTCTCTGTCCTTGTCTAAATTCCCTTCCCTAAGATGTGTTGTTTGTTTTCTGCTGGTTATTTTCTGTCAGCTTTAAGAGGAGAAATATGAGGAAACTTTGCTGTGCTGCTTCGTGGATTAAATTAAAAAGGAAGCAGTGGCGGGTTACCATTGCCACCCAGTGTTAAGTGGCTCAGAGCGAGTCACCTGCCCTGACCTGCATCGGTATTTTCTCCTCTAGAAGCAGACCAGTATTAATGGCCTGTAGTGAAGTATCGCTGTGTCAATAATATTTAAAGAGGAGGAAAACAACGTGATACATTAGGTCTTCTCTGTGGGTTTCAAAGCAACACCCAACACACTGGTCACTGACACAGGGACTTTGCGATAAATTATTCAAGCCACAGCTCAGGGTGTAAACTGCAGCCGTGCATTTTGAAATTAGGCAGTAAAATAACAGCATTGTGTATGACTCCAGACACGGGCGCAGGGAGACCCAGTGAGCTCAGTGCATGGGGGGCCACTGACCCCCCTTGGGTTTTGTCTTCCGAGGCCATTGGCATTTTAGGGAGAGATCGTCCAGCTCTGGGCCTGTCTGCTCAATCGACGCTCTCCAGAGAGGCCTTCAACCCCCGTAGGGTCAACACTCATCTCAAATCAGAGATTTGAACTTCCGACCTAGGATGGGTTCTTCCTGCTGTCCTGGACCCGTGCTGGGTTGGGGGTGGCTCTCCAGGACCTAGCTCTGTGGCCCACCCTGCCCCTCTCTTGCATGAAAGTGGAGCCAGGGCGGGGACTCAGGGACAGGACACCTCCCGGCTGGCCGACCTCTGGCTCTCCAGGCCTGGCAGATGATTCCGATCGCCACCTCCCCATGTTTCCTGAGCCCTCATGGGAGTTTCTGGAAGCTTCCCACTGCTCTTTCTCTTCTGTGGTTCCTGGCCCTGGGTGGACGCGTCATGGAAATTACATTTCTGAAAGGGGAGGAAAAAAAAGCACATGGGGTATGTCCTGGCTCTGACCAGGTACGGGATGTCCCCGTGGGGTCTTTTTTTGCGGAGGCTCAGGGCTGCTTAGGTGGTTTTTTTTTTTAATTTCATAAAGTCATACAACCTAGGAAAAAATCTATTTTCCTCTTTTGTCCTTGGTCTTAATGTGAACACGGACAGGTACGCACCGATATAGGAAACCTGCTCTTCAGAGAAATCCGAATCTATTTACGTTTTGATAGAAAATCTTATGAGCCGCCCATAATATGTTGTGGGAAAATGAGTTAGAGCTCGTGATCAGAAAATGGAAAGTTGCAGCTCACACCTCAATAGAGGCCACCCACCTGCGATGATCCTCCTGAAGCGTGGCCTGTGGGAGGGGACTGTGACCTGGGCAGACCCCGTGGGCTCCGTCATAAGGGAACACCTCCCAGTAAGACGGGGGCTCCAGGCTCAGGCGCCCAAACCACAGCTCCCCACTGGGAGTGACCCGGCCGCCACGCGTCTGTCTCCTGGCGTCTGTGTGTCCCCTTCAAGGGGCCTGCGTGGGCAAAACTGAAGATACTGTCTATGCTTCCTGAGCAGAAGGAGCCAAAAGGTCTTCCCATCGCATACTTCTTCTTAGATTTAGGCGTGGGCAGTGATTCCAGCTGGACTCTGGAGGACAGTCCACAAGCTCGGCTGTCCTGTGGCCACGGTGCCTGGGGGCTCCTGGTGGAGTGTGACCCCCCACATCTGCCTCTGCTCCCTGCTCTCTGTTGGGCCACCCCAACCCCTCCAGGGGACCCCCAGATAAAGGCTTGTGTGCACTGGTGTTTTCCAGAGCAGAAAATCCTCTACAGCTTTTGTGTTTTATTTTGTTTTGTTTTATTTTTATTTAGTTCTGTGTATTCTAATGTGTTATTAAAACCTTAGCACCATAAGGCGCTGATTTCAGGAGCCCTCCTGTTAGAATGAGGTGGTGCTGAGAGACCCACTCAGTACAGACCGTGTGGCCGGTCCCCCAACCTGCCAGCTCTTCCCACAGGCAGAAGCTCAGAGGCTGCAAGGGACTCCGTGGCCATGGCGATTCCACTCCCAACTCATCCTGGAGAGCGAGAGACTCGGGGCCATGAGCAGCCCCTCTTTCCAGAGAACGTGTCGCCATGCAGTCTTTGATCACGTTTAAATGAACAAAATTTGGGTGTTTTGTTTTCATGGAACTCACCTTTAGGGTGGCCTTCTCACAGCAATGATTCTGCTTTTCATTTACAGTAGTGATACACAATTTTCCATGTATTAGATGATATAATTAAAAAGTGAGGCTTTAAAAACATACTGAGTGCCTGACAGCTCGGGTGGCACATGGGGACCACCAGTCTCCCTGGGCGAATGGGCTGTGGGCCGAGTCCCGGCACTCAGGCGTCTGTTCTCAAATACTGGCTGGAGCCTCCTGCATGTCTGGGCTGTGCCTGTGCTGGCCTGATGGTGATGGAGGCCCTGACTGTCATGCAGGCCTGCGAGGGGCACGGGCTGTGACCGATGCTGGGAGCCTTTTTTGAGCCCCGGGAGGGTCTGATCTCACTCCTGCTCAGCGCTTAGGTGCCCTTGGCCTCGTCCTGGGTCCCCAGCCTTGGGTGCATCACTTCTGGGAGGGTCTAATCTCACTCTTGCTTGGTGCTTAGGTGCCCTTGGCCTTGTCCTGGGTCCCCAGCCTTGGGTGTGTCACTTGCTGGGATCTGCTGAGAACAGCCCCGTGCAGCTCTCACCCCAACACTCCCTGTAGCCCATCTCCACAGATCCTCACTGGGTCCCAGGCAGGCTGCAAGTCTGTGCTAGCTCCAGGGTTTAACAGGAAACAGGTCCGCCCTCCCTCGCCCTCCCTCACCCTCCCTCAGCCAGAGGGAAACCGGCCCTGAGTTTCTGTGCCCTGCACGGGCAGCACCCGGTGCCACCAGGGCTCTGTGAGTTTCCTTCAGTGAAGAGGACGTGTAGAGGAGCTGGGTGGGGCCAGGACTCCACCAGGAAGTGCAGGCCGGGCCCACGGCATTGGGTTCATAACAAGTGGCAAGACCCATTTGTCAAAGAGAATCTGTTCCTGGTTAGGAAAAGGAAACCTCAGAAATGCCGGCCATTGCCCTTTTTAAAGTGTCTCTGTGGCAGGAATTGTCCGGGTACTTTCTTGGGGATCCCCTTAGCCACCCTCCGAGGATGGGATTGCGACTCCCATCACAGGGAGACTGAGAAACAGCAGAGCCCGTCATGCCCCAGCCTGTTGCCCTGTGCTGCATCAGGCTGGGTGCCTCTCAGGGAAGCTCGGTCGCCTTGGCTTGTGACAGGCTGGAGCATATCCAGCAGCCCTGGCAGTGGAGATAGCAGTGCCCCTGCATCCACACCCCAAAGCCTGGCAGTGGAGATGAGCAGTGCCCTCATGTCCACACCCCGCACACCTTCAGAGTCAGACGTGGACTCTGGCCAGGGCCAGGGAAGTTCGCTGGACTCTGGGGATCTGGGGCACATCTTGCTGGCAGGGTTGACACCAGCAGCTCTCTCTGCCTGACTGGAGACTCGGCCCCCCTCCCCAGTCCTCCTCGGTAAGCGCTGGGACTGGGCTGGTCACTCCTGCCTGTCCATTCACTCACCCACTGTGCGCCAAGTCCTCCCTCCCACTGTATCGGAGGGAAGCTCGGTGACATTCCAGTGTCCTAGTCCACGTGCTTTGTGCCCCAGGCAGCCCCAGCTCCTGAGCACCGGCCCAGCAACATGAGAGGCTGTTTCCTGGGACTTCACTGGGAAGGGGACCAGCATGTCCTACTGTCAGCACCGCCCTGAGCCCTGACCCCCAGCCTGCCCTGCTCCCCCATCCACCGATGTCTCCTCCCTTGCCTTGTGTCGCTCTCCCCCTGCCCAGAACTTGCCAGAGGTGGGTGCAGGGCGGGGACCGTTGGGCATGGTGGCATGGAGTGTGGCCCAAGCCTTGGGGAGAGGGTGGGTGGGGGTGCCCTGAAGGAAGGAGAACCTGGATCCCAGAGGACTTGGAGCCCCTGGAGGCCACCCCTGTGCGCAGGTGCCGTGATGCATTCCTGGCCCGTGCCCAATCTCTGCTGCACCTGTCCCCGTCCCTCCCCTCTGTGCTCCAGGTCACTCGCCTGCTTGGGAAGCTGTGTCGCTACACGACCCTGGATCCTGCTTATGATCTGTTGAACTCCACGAGTGCCCGGTCTTCCCCGGTGGCGCTCATGAATTATTTATCTGGGCCCGCTCTGCCCTGGGCTCGCACTCACATTAACTCGTGTCCCCAGCTGCAGCTTCACCTGGGCTTGTTTTCGTCTCGGTGTATTTGGAGCGCAGAAGAGCAACTTGCATTTTTCTTCATAGAGGGATGGAGGGCAGGTTTTGTTGAGAAATACAAATTTGATTTATTTCCAAGAAAACAACTTTTACTGTCAAAGAAGGGACACGAAGCAGCTCTGCATTTGGCAGCCCCCAGAAGAGTTTTCTTTGCAGCTAATGAGGAGGAGGGGGAGAAGGCAGGTCAGCGCAGCCCTGGGCAGGGCGGGGTGGGATGCGGGGGCAGAGACCTTGGCCGAGTGTGGAAGGAACACAGCCAGCAGGCGGGGGATTGGGCAGAAGGCCTGCCCTGACCTCTCAATGCTGCTTCCCTTGAGTTACCTGAGCCCCGGTTTCCCATCTGTGAAGTGGGGTGGACATGACAAGGATGTGTCATTCCGGCCCGTCAGGTACCCGAAGGTGAGGTGGCACCCGCCCCCGCTGCCTCCCCCAGACCATGGTGTCCAGCAGAATCATGGCTAAGCAGCCACGAAGGCACCCACCCCCCTCATCCCTCCACCCCTTAGACGCACTTGGTCAGAGCGGTGCAGAAAGGAAAGGGCTACAGCAGCCCTCGTCCCTCCGACCCAGCCACAGATGGTGCCCCCCACAAGACTCCGCTTTCTTCTGCCCTCTGAGTCTTACCCCCTTATGAAAACCGCTGTCTTTCTTTCTTTTCTTTTTCTCTTTTCTTTTCTTTTTTCTAAGGTGTGGTCTTGCTCTGTCACCCAGGCTGGAGTGCAGTAGTGCAATCTCGGCTCACTGCAGCTTAGACCTCCTGGGCTCAGGCGATCCTCCCACCTCAGCCTCTCGAGTAGCTGGGACTGCAGGCATGCGCCACCACGCCTAGCTTAACTTTTATATTTTTAGTAGAGACAGAGTTTCACCATGTTGCCCAGGCTGGTCTCAAACTCCTGGGCTTAAGTGATCTGCCTGCCTCAGCCTCCCAAAGTGCTGGGATTACAGGCATGAACCACTGTGCCTGGCCAAAAACCACGGTCTTTCGACTCAGCCTGAGCTGTGCCGGGATCTTCTTGCCCATTCAGCCTCCAGCCCGGGGGTATCTGCACCTTTAGAATGTCAGTTCCTTAGCGCAGAGGAATGTGTTATAGCGGTAGGAGTTCAGGATTTAGGTCTTGCCTTTTTCTTCATTTAACTGGCATGAAAGAGACATGTTTGCATATGAGGACACAGAGGGTGTCCCTGATTTTCCTCAGGTCACACTGCCCATTCCTGGCTTTAGACACAGATGTGAGAAGGGGATGCACCCCAAGAATGGGACACGGGTGTGGCGATGCTGCCCAGAGCAGCCCTGCCCAGGGTGCAGCCCAGCACTGACATTCTGCACCCCACTGGGGGCCAGGAAACAACCCCTTTCTTGTAGGTGGTTTTTTAGAAAGTGTGGACGTGCATGACCTGTGGACCGGGTCATGGGCATTTCTCGCCTGTGCATCCCTCCCCCGGTTCCCTCCAGCCCCCCTGTGCTCCCTGGGGCTTGCAGACTGAGTCTTCCAAAGGGTTTGCACCCGTCTGACTCACTGTTGTTACTTATAGTAGCACTAAGAAGGGTCCCTGATTCATCACTGTTCTGATGTACACACCTGCCCGGGAATGCGTTTGGTGTGTTTGGTCTATCAGCACGTGAAAGACAGGGAACCCTCCTGTGGGGCCATGTCAAGACGTGCAGGCAGGACACTGTCCTCTGCTCTGGAGGTTCAGTTGCTTTAGCTGGGCCCGGCCACTGCAAACCAGCCTCAGGAGAGCTGGGGGCACGCCTGGGAGTTGCAACATGTGGCAATTTAGGGGGAAATGAGAGAGAGAGACAGAGACTGCACTGATAATTCTCCGTGTGACCAAAGCACAAAGAAGCCTGTCTTTGGGAGACAAGCTGGAAATGGCCAGGACGCCAGTGGGGGCTCCGGGGAGAGACAGCATGGTGTTCCCTGGTGCTCCCATGGTGCCACAGGACATGCATCACTCACAGTCCACAAACAATTCGGGAAAGGCAGGGAACGCAGCTTCTCCTCTCCGTCTGCATGAGGCAGCTTTGACCCTGGCTTGGAGAAGACAAAAGGGGGAGTGGTGAGGACTCCGGTCCCCTGCATGTCCGGACAGTGTTCTCTGGATCCCTGCTGCAGTAACGCAGGGAATGGCAGGTGTGGGGAGAGCTGGGGGCATCAGTGATGTCCGGAGACCCTTCTCTGGATCCCTGCTGCATTAACGTGGGGAATGGCAGGTGTGGGGAGAGCTGGGGGCATCAGTGATGGAGGTGTCAGAAGTGATGGGGCCACCCCACTGGGATGCTGCATTGAAAAGCAGATTCCCTATTGCCCTGAATGTCCCACTTTCTGCAGAATGGATGTTCTTAGTCCCCCATCCGCTCTGTAACTGTGGATCCCACACTGCATAATAACTGCCCCATCTCTAGAGAAAGACTGATAGCATTTAGGACAGGCCCGAGGAACCTGTATTCCAACTGTTCACCCAGTGTGAACAAAACCAGCAGGCCGCTTCCTCCAGCTATTCAGCATCCAGACATAAAACTCAGCAGTGGGACCAGGCAGCTCCTGCTGTCCACCGGGTCTGCTCTGCCCCTGGGAAGTCTCTTATGCAAGAGATAATGACTGACAGGTCATCACACCCTATTAGTGACCGGACACTACGCCCCCATTAATGACCTGTCATCTCACCCCGTTTAGTGACCGATCACCCCATTAGTGAGGGGTCATATTGCCCCCGTTAGTGACCGGTTGTCTCACCCCCACTAGTGACTGGTCATCACGCCCCCTTTCCCTTTAGTGACTGGTAACCTCGCCCCCTTTAGTGACCGGTCATCTTGCCCCCGTTTAGGTTCCAGTAAGCTCCACACAGCACCTTACCTTAAGGGAGGAAGAGATTTCAGAAGCAGATCTGGACACTTCGTGCTTCCTAATCCCAGGAAGAAATGGAATCTCTGTGTTGCCGACCAAGCGTGGGCGGCGTGCTGGGGCAGTGCAGCTGTTTCATGGCTGGCTGTGACCTTCACGGGCTCATTCCCCACTGGCTGGTGGAGGGGGATCATCACTCCCTAGATGTGTACCGGCAGCTACTCCAGTGCATGAACCCGTTATATCCTAAAGCGGGGTTCTCCTGGGACACAGGTGAACCCCAGCGTGTCCAGCAGCCTCCCTCTCACTGCGGCTATAGCTGATACCGTGCAAATGACCCCAAAGTCACTGGGCCCCCTCGCTCCAGATTCACTCTGGAGGGTCCTGGAGGAGGGGTGGAGTGGGTCAGAAACCGGCAGCTCCTGTCAGTGGGTGGGCACCGACCACCTGCTCCAAAATGTCTCCTCTGCCCAGTTACTTCCAGTCCTGCCAACTGGATGGTCCTTGGGTTTCATTAGTTCTTCCAAGGGCAGAACCCCGTGGAAGAGTGAAGCCTTCATTATTTCTAATTTAGCACTATTGGCTTGAATCAAGCAGTCCTAATATCAAACCGTGGTAATGCTGAGTGAATGGGAATTTTGAGTGAGGACGAAAGGAAGCGTGATGTCTGAATAGTGCAGATGTCGCAGAAAGGCAGGCAGGAGGGAAAGGACCACAGAGAGGAGATGCCACCTGGGAGAGGCAGGCATGGCCTGTGCTTGGGGAGATGGAGACGGATGCAGCCAGTTCTGACCTCCAGCCCCACCTCTGCCACTGACCACGGTGACCACACACGGGGTGCCCTGCCTCTCTGGGCGTCAGTTTCTGCGTGTCTACAAGGAAGCAATTGGACTAGCTGACCTCTCAGGCCATTATCTGCCGCCAGAGTCCATGGTCCTAAAGCGAAGCCTCATCCGCTTGGCAGTCTTGCCTGGGTCCTAGTGGTGGAGCCTTCACGTTGCCTCACATCCAACAGTGACTCGTCAGAGGCAGACATACTTGCTGGCAGCTTTGCAGCACCCTCTCCATAGCTTCCCCCGGACATACGAGAGCGGGGCTGTAGATGAGGGTATCTATCTCATGCTATTGCCTCACTGAGCACCAGAGAAGATGGTCAGAACCCCTCCCTCCTCCCACCTCCATCCATCTGGAAGCAGGAAGTGTGTTTGTGTTCTGGCCTTTCTCTTGTCAGTAGTGAGAGATTCGTTACATTTCAACCCCAAGCATTTCACATGCGGTGGCATCTTGGAGGAGCTTTCTAAGCGAGGCCGGGTCTCGTCAGCCAGGTGGGCTGTCTGGCTGGTCTCCCTGCTCTCGAGATTCAACCCCAAGCATTTCACACGCGGTGGCATCTTGGAGGAGCTTTCTGAGCGAGGCCGGGTCTCGTCAGCCAGGTGGGCTATCCGGCTGGTCTCCCTGCTCTCCGGATTTGGATGCATGGTTTCCGTGCACCTCCCTCAGGAGTTTGTTCAAGAGCAGCGCTGGCTGTGCAGTGAGTAGAAAACACACTTGCTGTATCTACACAGAGAAGTTTAAAAGAACAGAAGAAGGACAGAGGCTTCAGGACCACAGTGATGGATCTGAGGGGGGCCTGAATCTTAAACCCTATCCGTATAGTCTCCAAGCAGGGATCATATATGGTATAACTACATTTTCATCTCTAATCACTGGGGCGGCATGTCAGTATCTTCTCTTTCTTTCCCATTTTGAGTGACATAGTGTGATATGTCTAATGACAACTAGAACAAATTCTGGTAATGAGGTCACCTTGGGCCAGGATGACTGTCTGACGGCTGTTTTCCATAGAAATTACTTGTGAAGGCACACCACACACACAGAATGGCTTCCTCCAAGTGTAGGTGTCAACAGGCAAATATGCTAAACTCGCAAGATGGAAGTGGCTTGCCCGGTCTCTCTAGTTTAGACCGATAAATTGGTCTACATTGAGAGAGCTGCTGCTTTTTTCTAAAAAAAGAGTGATTGGTTGTGATTATTTAGTTTCCTCCAGGTGCACGCTTTTTATGTGGAATGCACTGGATGGCTTAAATGCAAGTAGGGCCCAAACATCTGATGTCACTTTGTTAAAGGGAGTGTTGAGTGAGCACAGTCGACGCTCCCAGAATTGTGGAGAGGATGGCTGCAGGAGAAAGCTGTCAGTCAAGGCCCATGAACCAAGAGGAGTGCTAGAGACCACCACCTGCAGGTGGGATTTGGAAAAGGGGAAAGAAGTGTGGGCGCTCAGCCAGGGGAGTAGCACCGGGTGGGGAGCAGCACGGGGTGGGGAAGCCAGGAGGCCTCTACACAGAGAGCCTGGGCCTGAGGCCGACAGTGAGGGGCAGGAGGCCAGTGGCTGAGGCAGGGCCTAGTGCAGAAGTCAGGGGCAGACGTGAGTATTGGGCTCGCCACGTCCTGTGACTAGGGAGCTTCTGCAGGTCTTTAGAAGCGGTTGGTGGGATAAGAGCCCATGTCGGGGATGAGCTGCATGTGGGGAGAGCTGGAGTCAGGGAGAAAAGTGAACAGCCTCACCGCGTGGTCAGCTCGTGGCTGCTGAGCACAGCCCGGTGTCAGAGAGCAGGACTGAGAGTCAGCTTCATGGAGGGCGCGGCGGGAACAGCGCCAGCCCCCAGCACCCAGCAACCATCACTCACCACTCACAGGGCCCCTGGCATTCACACCCTGGCCTAGGTTTGGGAACCTTCCAGCCAGAACCGGTGCCGCTGGCTTGGGTGGAGCCTGGCGTGGGATGGGGTGGAGCCTGGCGTGGGGGGGGTGGAGCCTGGCGTGGAGCCTGGCGTGGGATGGGGTGGAGCCTGGCGTGGGGGGGTGGAGCCTGGCGTGGGGGGTGGAGCCTGGCGTGGGATTGGGTGGAGCCTGGCGTGGGATGGGGTGGAGCCTGGCGTGGGATGGGGTGGAGCCTGGCGTGGGATGGGGTGGAGCCTGGCGTGGGGGGTGGAGCCTGGCGTGGGGAGGTGGAGCCTGGCGTGGGGCGGTGGTTTCAGGTGAAGAGGACTCAGGCAGGGACGCTGGTTTACACAAGGTCATTGTTACCTGGACAACTCCCTGAGAATGATGAGAAAATATGAGCCAGAATAAAGAAGGCTGCTGGGTTCCCGGCTGTCTCCATGGCTAATGAAATGCCATTTTCCTTCTTGGTGCTTGGCTGTGCAAGTGCACCCTGTCAGGCAGATTCTCCATCTCACGGGCCCCCTGCGAGTCAGGAAGAGATGCTCGCGGCGCTGGGTGAGCCGGCTCCTCCTCAGGGATTCCAGGGAGGCTGCAGGGCTTACTGTGCCGCAGTTTCAGCAACAGCCCCAGAACATCCGTGTGTCCAGGCACCAGGACACTAGCGCTGTTGGCTCACACAGCCAGACCCACAGCTTTTGAGCTGATGAACTGCATTACGTCCAGACAATTTCCACTTAACAGTTGTCCGTAACGCTCCTCCCTGGGCCAGCAGCCACATGAGAACAACTCAGCACAGGGATTCCAGGGACTGGGTCGGCAGCACGGTCTCAAGCCTACACTCACAAGCTCACGTGTGCACACACACACGCTACTCCTCCGGGGCATGCAGGCAGCGTCCCTGAGAATCCCTGCCTCAGACTCACTCCCAGGGCTGGTGGACACATGTGGGCGGGGGCGGGGGAGGCCACAGCCCTGAAAGTCATGGGTTCAGGTTTCAGCTGTGTCAGAAGCACCTGGAAGCTGGGGTGGGATGTGATCAGCACCCTCTTCGTCTCTGTGACTCGGGGTTTTGGGGGAGACCCCGCACTCTGCATTCCCCTCCTCATCTCTATGACTCGGGGTTTAGGGGGGAACCCAGTACTCTGCATTCCCCTCCTCATCTCTATGACTCGGGGTTTAGGGGGGACCCTGCACTGCATTCTCCTCCTCGTCTCTGTGACTCGGGGTTTGGGGGGGACCCTGCACTCTGCATTCCCCTCCTCGTCTCTGTGACTCGGGGTTTGGGGGGGACCCTGCACTCTGCATTCCCCTCCTCGTCTCTGTGACTCGGGGTTTGGGGGGGACCCTGCACTCTGCATTCCCCTCCTCGTCTCTGTGACTCGGGGTTTGGGGGGGACCCTGCACTCTGCATTCCCCTCCTCGTCTCTGTGACTCGGGGTTTGGGGGGGACCCTGCACTCTGCATTCCCCTCCTCGTCTCTGTGACTCGGGGTTTGGGGGGGACCCTGCACTCTGCATTCCCCTCCTCGTCTCTGTGACTCGGGGTTTGGGGGGGACCCTGCACTCTGCATTCCCCTCCTCGTCTCTGTGACTCGGGGTTTGGGGGGAACCTGGTACTCTGCATTCCCTCCTCATCTCTGTGACTCGGGGTTTAGGGGGGAACCCGGTACTCTGCATTCCCCTCCTCATCTCTGTGACTCGGGGTTTAGGGGGGACCCTGCACTCTGCATTCCCCTCCTCGTCTCTGTGACTCGGGGTTTGGGGGGGACCCTGCACTCTGCATTCCCCTCCTCGTCTCTGTGACTCGGGGTTTAGGGGGGAACCCGGTACTCTGCATTCCCCTCCATCTCTGTGACTCGGGGTTTGGGGGGACTCTGCACTCTGCATCCCCCTCCTCGTCTCTGTGACTCGGGGTTTAGGGGGGACCCTGCACTCTGCATTCCCCTACTCGTCTCTATGACTCAGGGTTTGGGGGGACCCTGCACTCTGCATTCCCCTCCTCGTCTCTATGACTCAGGGTTTGGGGGGACCCTGCACTCTGCATTCCCCTCCTCATCTCTATGACTCAGGGTTTGGGGGGACCCTGCACTCTGCATTCCCCTCCTCGTCTCTTTGACTTGGGGTTTAGGGGGGACCCTGCACTCTGCATTCCCCTCCTCGTCTCTGTGACTCAGGGTTTGGGGGGACCCTGCACTCTGCATTCCCCTCCTTGGCTCTATGACTCAGGGTTTGGGGGGACCCTGCACTCTGCATTCCCCTCCTTGGCTCTATGACTCGGGGTTTGGGGGGACCCCGCACTCTGCATTCCCCTCCTCATCTCTGTGACTCGGGGTTTAGGGGGGACCCTGCACTCTGCATTCCCCTCCTCATCTCTGTGACTCGGGGTTTATGGGGGACGCTGCACTCTGCATTCCCCTCCTTGTCTCTGTGACTCGGGGTTTAGAGGGGACCCTGCACTCTGCATTCCCCTCCTCATCTCTATGATTTGGGGTTTGGGGGGGAACCCCACACTCTGCATTCCCCTCCTTGTCTCTATGACTCAGGGGTTCTGGGCGGTACCCTGCACTCTGCATTCCCCTCCTCATCTTTATGACTCAGGGGTTTGGGGGGACCCCACATTCTACAAATTCTAACAACCTCCAGGTGGCACCTGGCGTAAGGGCTGCATTTGGAGAACTGCTGCTTTGCAAAGCCCTTGAAGAATGGGCTGATATGATAGGGAACTGGTGTTATATTAACTCAAAGCCTTCACATCATAGCTTGTGCCTTTCCGAAGTATTGCTAATTAATTAACTTGGAAACGCCCAAGGGTCATTTTAGATCAAACCTTATTTTATGAAATAGATGTAGGTTATGAGCCAATAAAATTTTGATACATTGAAGTCATTAAATCATTTGGTACACTGAGTTATTTTTTAAAATAAAGTAAACTGAATTACTACAAAAAAAAATGGAATCACTCCCTGTTAAATTAACTGAATGAAAGGGAAAAGCTCCTTTTAAAACAGGAAAGAAACTATTGTTTTTACTATTTTATCAATGACTGGAGTCAAATTTGTGTGTGTGTTGGTGTGTTGAATATATTGATTGGTTTAGTTGAAGTTGAGTTTCATCTGTCCTGGAATAGCAGGAGTTTGAGCAGTTTCACCCGTCCCGGAATAGCAGGAGTTTGAGCAGTTTCACCTGTCCTGGAATAGCAGGAGTTTGAGCAGTTTCACCTGTCCTGGAATAGCATCACCGACTATGGAAGCCTTCTCCATGTCTCGTCCACACACATTATTGTCTAAATGGTTCTGGTGACACCACTGTCTGCAGTTCCTCTGAATTTGTATAAGGACCAAGAAATGTGTGGGTTCTTGCAAACTCTGAGGTCACTCTTAGGGTAAAAGGCTGTTTATCCACTCAACTTTGGTATATGAGGAGCCTTTCTGCAAGTTACTGATCTAACTGTGTGAGTGCCTGACAACACAGCCAGAGTGCGCAGGGCATCACCAGTGCCCGTGTGGGAGGCGGGGCTCCGTGGGAACTGGCTACTTACCCCCCACCTGTCCCCAGAGCCCGTGTGGGAGGCGGGGTTTGGTGGGAACTGGCTACTTATCCCTCCCCTGTCCCCAGTGCCCGTGTGGGAGGTGGGGCTTGGTGGGAACTGGCTGATCATGTCACTTCTTTAAGCCTGGGTTTCCTCAGGCTTAAAGGGAGGAGCGTCTGCCTACTTTCCAAGGCTGTGGGCAGATGTGATGCTAATACAATCACGTAGTATCTTTTATTTATTTATTTTTTTGAGATGGAGTCTTGCTCTGTTGCTCAGGCTGGAGTGCAGTGGCATGATCTCGGCTCACTTGCAACCTCCGCCCAGCCAGGTTCAAGTGATTCTCCTGCCTCAGTCTCCCAAGTAGCTGGGACTACAGGCACGTGCCACCATGCCCAGCTAATTTTTATAGTTTTAGTAGAGACGGGGTTTTGCCATGTTGGCCAGGCTGGTCTCGAAGTCCTGACCTCAAGTGACTCCCCACCTCGGCCTCCCAAAGTGCTGGGATGACAGGTGTGAGCCACCGTGCCCGGCCAATCACAGGGTATCTATGGCTGTATCTTATGGCTGCTCAGTCCTAGAAGTTTCTTTTCCAACTCCGACAAATAGCTGGAGTAATTTAGTTTGGCTTTGAAACACTTGACTGAATTTCTAAGATATTTGGAGAATGTTCTTCCCTGTAAGTTGACATAAAAAGAGACAGTGGTTTAAGAACTTTCTTACTCAGATGCAGAGATACTGAATTACCCTCTGGTGTGCAGCCTGCCTATGAAGTTTGCATCTCAGCCTGCATAAAATGAATACCCTGATCAACAAGTTCCTGTTTTGCAGAGAAACCTCAGTGATGTAATAATATGGTCATGATTTCCATCAGTACTGAATTTTTACCAAGTCATCAAAATGTGATGGTCACTGAAACTTAATGAAATGAGGATTACATTTCAAAGACTAAGGAGTCCTCAGTGATTATCTTTATGAGGCTTTTGGGGGATCCTTGTATTGCTGAGGAAATAGACTCTATTAGTTATCTGATGCTATACAACACACTACCCCGAACTCACCAGCTTCGTTCCTGTTGTCACAGATCCCCCAGCTGCCCAGTCGGGGGCTCTGGCTCTGGGACTCACATGAGGGTATGGTTGGCTTGCTGGCCTGGGCTGCGATTGAGCAGGAAGCTGAGGGACCTCTTATGCCTGTGCATCACGCACTGTATTCTATGCAACGGATGCGAGTCATAAAGTCCAGCCCATACCTCCAAGGACCGGCATTCAGCGGCACCCCCTGCAGAGAGCAGAATACATAAGCAGGCGTTGTCAGCCACCGGGAGCACCAGAGGTAGATAAAGGAACCGGAGGCAGCGTCGCTCTGGAGCCGGGCTGCATGGCTCTTCTGTGTAGTGACCAAGTCATCTGGACCAGCTGCCTCAGTTTCCCTATCTGCAAAATGTGGGCTCCCATAGTGTCTGCATTAGAGGACTGTCATGTGTTAAATGTGATGTGAGAACTTAGAATCATGACCAGTGCATAGCGGACACTCAGCAACGTGCAGTTGCCAGTGTCACCGTCATCACCACCATTGCTGCTGCAGCCACAGCGACGTGAAGTGTTTTCTCAGATGTGGAATGTTCTTAACTTTGGTGGTTTTTCCAGAGAAAACCATGGATTAAAGGATAATATTTTCTAAACTGAGAGTTAGCATGTCTTTCTATTGGGAATTTCATTCCCTGATAACTTAAGCAATGTCCTCTCATCTCCTTCAGGTATTTTGAACATTTAAAACATTTTTCTTTTTTTTTCTATCCATTCAGCAGACATTCATTAGCCATCTGCTGTGGACTGGGCCCTGTAGTAGGTTCTGGTTGTACACAGAAAGAGAAACAATCCCTCCTGCCAGGGCCGCGGGGGCGATGGGAGATGGCAGGTAGGCAAGGCCAAGCAGGTGCAGTAGGCCTGGGGGAGGGCGGCCCTTGGTGTATGCAGCTCTGGATCCTGGCCTTGCCAGTGCTCTGCAGAGTCAACTCCAGAGAGCCACCCCCCTCTGGGCCTTCCGCTGGGCAGGTGTCGTAGACAAGAACATCCAGCCTTGTGAGTCGCCAGGAAGGCCCAGGGGATGTCTTTCTCCCATCATGGCGCTATGCTTCCTGGGGTCTCGTCTGTCAGCCCCACGAGCAGTGAGGTTGGCCCCAAAACCAGGACCGACTTCACCACGAATGCAACCTCACTGTGACAGAAAATCAGGGGAAAAGGCTTCCCTTGAGGAAGGGAACAGAAAGTGTGCAGTCCCAGAGGGAAGTGGGGGAGCTGAGGACTCTTGTTCAGAAAGAATCATCACTGGGGACCCCTGAGCTGGATCAGCTGCTCACCTCTGAGCAAAGTCTAGTTCTGGCTTCTGCTTTCATGAGTGTTTGTGACTTTGAAGGGTTTGTTAAAGATGCCAGCATTAAGACCTTTTCATTATTTTCACAAATGCTGTAGCTTTAGGTGTGAATGAATGGACTTGCCTTGCCAGAAACTGTCTTGAGCTCAAAAGCTTTCAAAAGAGTAAAAGACTCAGAGCATTGCTAAACAATTTCCCGAATGGTCCCTGGCTTTGCTTAGGAAGGACGTGAAGCCATAGTATCTTGCTGTGTCTTGTCTAGGAGGAAGTGTTTGGCTCTTGAAAAGAAAGGCCAAAAGACATGCGGTCAGCATAAGACGTCTTTGCAAAGCCACTCCTGACGGCGGAGATGGCGGCAGCACCACACGGGAGCTGTTTGAGAAGCAGATCAGGCAGAGTTTCACCGATGTCTGAGAGCTAGTTTCACAGCCCTGTGCCAGAGGAGCCGTGTCTTCCACAAAACACACCTGAGAGCTGGTTTCAGACTTTCCGGGAAACTGCCCTGGCCCAAGGCATCTGTAAACCTCTTTTATCCTAATTAGTGGTAACAATTCAGGTCCACCTGACCTGTCATTGGCCTTTTTAGAAAACTCCTTGGTATTTAGTCTGTAGATGTGCATGCGACGTACAGGGAGTTCAGGATCTGTTGTGGGCCTAGTTACCAAAGGTGCCTGAGCCTGCTGCCTGCGGCGGTGAGTCCTGCCGGCCCACAGACACATCGGGAAGCTGACCTCCTTCCCTCCTCCTCAGCCACGACTCTTGTCCCAGCTGCCACCAGTCTTGTCAGGGTGATCCCCCTTCCTGCTCCCCCAGCAGCAGCAACAGGGAGCTCTTAGGTGTCACTAGATCTTCAAGTGTCCCTGCTGCAGCCTCTCGAGATGGTACCAGATCCTACCTCTCACTTCCTCCCGCCCCCACCTCCCCTGCTCACAGGTACTGGACAGAGCAGCATTCTCTCTGCTCCCTGAACATGCTCAATTCATCCCACCTGGGGCCTTGTACACTACTCCATGAACACACTCACGTCATCCCACCTGGGGCCTTCTCACGTCATCCCACCTGGGGCCTTGTACACTACTCCATGAACACACTCACGTCATCCCACCTGGGGCCTTGCACGCTCTGGGCCCTCCACCTGCCAGGCACAATCCCACATTTGCCCAGGTGGCTCTTGGCATTCAGGCATCAGCTTGAGTATCCCCTCAGGAGACCTTTCCTGGCTCCCAGATCTCTGATAAACCCCTCCCACCCCTGTCACTCCAGAGCACATTAACCCCTCCCACTTGACGCAGAGCTCAGAGCCCTGATCAGAAATCACCTTGTTCATTGAATTTGGATCAGTGCCACCACAGATGGTGAGTTCCATGCAAGCTTCATGGGGCACAGCCACCCTACCTGTGGGTCACACCAGGGAGTCCCCGGTGCTGGAACGGCACCTGTACGCAATAGGCTCTCTACAGGTGTGCTTAATGAATATGCATTTCGTTAATCAGTTAACTAATTATTAGATTCATGGACTATTAGCTGTGGTTCCTACCCTTGCATCTGTTTTATTTTCCATACCTACTCATAGTTTTTCATGGAAACTACTGTGTTTATGGCTTTTCATAATTACATATACCTCTGAAATTTGACGAAATCTATAACGATTCCTGGCATGACAGCTATCTTTGTTAATAAACTTCGATTTGATTCAACTTCTCTTCCACTATGCCTGGCTTTGACGATTTGGGAGCTTAAGCAGAAGTGTTTATATCCTCTGTGACTTAGTAAAATGCTACCACACCTCTATACCCCCACAGTTTAATATCAACAAGACAACATGGGCTTAGGTACATTTAAAAACAAAATATTACTTAGTTTTGTGATGAATTACAGTTTGAAGAGTGTACCTTAGTTATCTGCTCTAGGATTATTTACCCCAATCTGCGGCACAAGTCCACGGCTACGTGCAAGCATGGTCGGCAGACGCTGGAGGCAGGGAGAGGGATGGACCAGTTTGCGATCTTGGAGGCCCCAGGGTCTGGTAGGGCAGCCGCACAGGCACATGCGTGACTATCCCAGGAGGCAGCACGGGAGGCCTCATGGTGGAGGCTCCAGTAAGGTGCTGGGCAGAGTGGGCGAGAACCTGGGAACTCTGTAGAATGAAGGGGTAATTGGTGGGGGGGGCTTGCATCTGGATTTTAACCCATGGAACTGAGGAAGAAGCCTCATAACTGAACAATAAAGAGAACAGAGGCCACAGAGGAGAGTGCCAGCCGGTGCTAGGAGCAGGAGAATGCCCAACACAGGAACAGCCAGAGGAGCCGCTGGGTCTCAACTCTGCTGGAACTCGGCTGCCAGGCTGAGCAACTCATCAGCGCCTCCTGGGAATCGCCGAGCACCTCACATCAGAGAAGAAAGATCAGAGCTTGATTCTGGGAAGATTCGTTTGCTGATAACGCGATGGGAACCAGCCCTAAGCTGCCATGGCCCTGGCTGAGGCCCCTTTCCCGGCGTTTCACCAGGACATCTGAGCTGGGGTGGCTTTTGCTTCCAGCTCACCTTGTGCTACAAGGACTTGGATGGTGAGCACTCAGGTGAGGGAGGGCCCTGTGCTGGGCTGCTGCCCAGCTCTGCTCTGCCATCCTCGACAGAAGTTCCCTCTCTCCACATCGCATGGGGTACAACACCCCACCTCGGCCACACTGCTTTGTCCAAAGCCTATCTCTAGTTTGTGGCTGTCCTTGGACCAGGCTCAGAGCAGCTGGACCTCCACCCTGGGAACTCCTGCAGACAGGCATTGTGGTTGGGACCCTCTGCATCCCCAGTGCCCAGGGCACACAGTAGGTACCTGGTGGTTATTTAAAGGACATGCAATGGAAAAAAAAAAAGGTAAATTCACATGGAAAAGACAGTGAGGTTTTAGACTCCTTTGAACATGAATACCAGACACGGAGGGCAGGCAGGGGCTGGTGGGGCTGATTTATGCCAAGCCTGGCACCAAGGGCTGGCCTCATCCTTGAATCTGACACCCATGTGACATCTGTGACACTCACTGAAAAGCACAGTTCGGGTCTAGGGAGCTCGCCCAAGTTTGTGTAGAATGAAGCACGTCTCCTCGTGGGGCCGTGGGAATATGAATAGCTGACAGCTGAGGAATGATTTGCCTGCATTCAGGGACTCCTAGGTGCCTGACCCAGGAGAGCAAGAGGACACAATGGTGACCTGAGCCGACATCACAGGGACGAGGAGATTGGGGTGTCTGGAGATGGAGAGGCTCTCAGACATGAGGAGACAGGGGCTGGCATCCAGTCCTTATCCGAAAGTACAGGATTGAAACTTGAAGGAAATCTGGGTTAGAGAAACGGATACAGGGTGCAGATGCTCGGATCCAGTGGTTGGAATCATGGGGTGGACAAGAGAGTGGACAGCAGTGTTGGCAGGAACTGGAGGGCCCCAGCGTGGACAGCAGTGTTGGCAGGAACTGGGGGGCCCCAGAAAGGCCTAGGGGAAGCCAAGATCGAGGTCCCAGGAGGAGGAGAATGTGCTGGGCCTGGGCTGCACCCTGCTGATGGAGGCAGGGTCCGGGCCAGGCCTTTAGTGTGAGTTCTTATCCAGAAACACCCTCTGCTCTCCCCAGCCCCTCACTAGCCCTGCCCAGAGGTCACAGGCGTCAGGAGGCATTTCTGACTAGGGCTTGTTCCATACCCTGGTCCTCTGCTCACTCCCAGACATGTGCGCCATGATGGTGAACATGCCTGAGGGGCTGGGGATGGACGTGGGCACCTCTTCTCAGTGCCCGCCCGCACAGCTCTTCACCCACAGACACTGCGCCCACTTCTGCCCTGTGTCTACACTTGCCAGACCCCCCACCGCCCTGGAAATTTGCAAATCCACCATGCCCAGCAACACCTCCCCAGCACCTGACCCGCTACCTGTGTCTTCCCATGGAGCCCTGCCCACCCCAGCCCCTGCCCTCTGTGTCTTACCACAGAGCCCTGCCCGCCCCTGCCCAGGCTCCCACTGCCATCACCCGCTGAGGTCTGAGGTCCCACCCACCCCTGCCGGCTGAGACCAGAGATGTCCACGACAAGGCATGGACGAGCCCCCAGTCACATCGTCCCATGGCAGGACCGACGGTTCCCACTGCCAGTGAACACTGTTCTTGAGGCTTCACTCTGTCTCTGTCTTCTCGAAGTGGACCCACTAACTCCACAGTAGGGCAGCCCCATGCTCCCAAGGTGCCACAGGGAATCAAGGGCAGGTGGAAGGGCCCTGTTTGAAATTAAAGGGGATTTCCCCGTGAGCTGGGGAGGAGCCCCGTGGAAGACCTTGTGGGCAGGGTGGCCCGGCTGGAGTGGCACCATTGACACCGTGCTGGAGATGAGAAAATGCTAGTGGGAGGCAAACAGACTTGACTGCAGGGTCACTCTGCACATCAACCAGGGTGCTGTCCATTCTTTCCACAATGATCATCGCCGGATCCGCAGGGCCGGCGCTCATGACCTGTGCAGCGTCAACACCGCCAACCCACCGTCCAGCAGTGCAAGTCAGGCAGCTCAGCCTGTGCTCCATGTTATGGCCACACCTGCTACCCCGCCAACGTCAACAGCAGTGGTCAGAGAGATCTAATATAAATGTATCATTTGGCATTCACTCTGGAAGGAAGCTCACCAATGGCTTGTAACACCACTGACAATGAATGGAGAAATGTGTTTCCAGTCCCCCCAACAGAAGGAGGACAGCGCGAGAGGCCACTTTTCATACCCTGTGGTTCCAGTCCACCCTAACGGAAGAAAGACAGCGCTAGAGACTGCTTTCCATGCCGCGTGGTCTTCTAAAAGCATGCTATTTATTTTATCTTTGTTGCTATGCTTTCATCTTTTTAAATTTTACATTGCCATTACAAAAAATAGTACAGATTTTAAAAATCTTACAACAGTGCTTTACATCTTATATCTTGGCCATTACCTGAAAATTAGGGCTTTGATTCAAGGAGAGCCATCTAATCCAGTGAGGCCATCCTCTGCTGTGCAGAAGGATATTCTTTACAGGGTAAGCCCCACCCGGCTGTGGCTGTGTCTCATGTAGACAGCTTGTTTGGCTCTATGCACATCTTTCTCTAAGACCTCTGATTATTTAGCAAAATTATTTAAATGGTGTATATAAATATTGGAAATTCATTTCCCTCCCATCAGGAAAATGACATAAGAAGTCTGTGGATGTCTGGAACTTTTAAATATTGAAGAGCCTACCCCCTGTTATTTCCCCCCACCCTTTCCCCATTCCTCCCCACAGCATGCTATTTGTTATTTTACATCTGCAGGTTTTATGTGGTTCTATTTGGCCTTTAAATCCTGTGTCTGTCCTATCAGCCCATGAACTAAAGGCAGGCCAAGTAGGGCTGTCTTCCCCAAAACTGCCAGCAAAGCTGCTTCATCCCTCGAAGGCCCCTGCACAACCTCCTCCCACCCACTGCTGCTCCAGGGCATCTCATGGGGCCTCTCCTGCAGGCCAGTGAGGCCGCTGCAGCCCAGAGTGCAGGCTTATGTCACCCCTGGCTTCAGTGGGGCCCTGCTATCACAGTGTGGAATTCCTGAGGTCTCTGAAGCCTGTTCTTGTGGTGTGGAGTTCCTGCAGTCTCTGAAGTCCTGTTCTCGTGGTGTGAATTCCTACGGTCTCTGAAGCCTGCTCTCGTGGTGTGGAGTTCCTGTGGTCTCTGAAGCCCTGTTCTCACGGTGTGGAGTTACTCTGGTCTCTGAAGCCCTGTTCTCGTGGTGTGGAGTTTCTGCGGTCTCTGAAGCCCTGTTCTCGTGGTGTGGAGTTTCTGCGGTCTCTGAAGCCCTGTTCTCATGGTGTGGAGTTCCCATGGTCTCTGAAGCCCTGCTCTCGTGGTGTGGAGTGCCCGTGGTCTCTGAAGCCCTGCTCTCGTGGTGTGGAGTGCCCGTGGTCTCTGAAGCCCTGCTCTCGTGGTGTGGAGTTCCCGTGGTCTCTGAAGCCCTGCTCTCGTGGTGTGGAGTTCCCGTGGTCTCTGAAGCCCTGCTCTCGTGGTGTGGAGTTCCCGTGGTCTCTGAAGCCCTGCTCTCGTGGTGTGGAGTTCCCGTGGTCTCTGAAGCCCTGCTCTCGTGGTGTGGAGTTCCCGTGGTCTCTGAAGCCCTGCTCTCGTGGTGTGGAGTTCCTGTGGTCTCTCCCACAGGGCCTGGACCCCCTTCTCTTGGGTGACATAGGCATTCTCTCGTCCTGAGCTGCTGTCAGTCAGCAGGTTAATGCCCATGTGCTCTGGTTTCATCCTTTAAGACCCGAGGTCCCATTTGCCTCATTCCAGGTGCCTCTGCATGTGTCTGTCATCCTTAGAATGATGTGCATTTGAACCAGTGGAGAAAAAACACAGAATGACTGACGTGAGTTTTGACACGATTTTCGTTAGGACCTTGGCATGCTGGGTGCCAGAGAACCTGTTCTAGTGAACGCCTTTTACACTTCCAAGCTGTGCAATCTTGTGATATGCTCCATTTTCTTCTGCCTTGATAGCCAAATGCCAATCATTGGGGAGAAAAATTCTGCTGCTGAATGAGGCAGCGCACGATTTGCCCTCTGGAAATTGAACATTTACCTTAAGTGGTAAAAGGTGTTTTCCATACCTTGATATAAGTTTGCATAGGACTCTCTGCTTTCATAGTTCTCACTTGGGTATGCAGAACTGACATCTTTGTGAATTATTCTCTTTTCTTTCACTGGAGTGTTTAATATGCATTTTAAAATTGCTTCTGTACATATGCAGTGGATAAATTAAGGTACAGAAGAAGGTTTCTCAGTCTACACCATCCCTGGGGAGTTCTTTTTGCTTCACTTCAAGTAGTAGCTATTGTCGCCTCTGGCAGTGAAGTCTCTGTTACTTTACCAATGCTCTCATTACTGCATTCTAAAACGGTGGGTTTTTTTTCTTTCTTTCTTTCCCACTTTTTTTTTTATTGGCTTGGGATTTGTGTCTTAATCAAAGTGTGCAAGAAATGCACTTAATCGTAAAACAGGGTGGCAGTTTTACAAGATGCTTCAGTTAATTAGCACGGAATTGCTGGGGAACGTTCCAGGGGGGTTCCTGGTCTCCATTACATCAAATGAGTTTGCTGTGATTAATGTTATCATAGGAAATACCAAAGAAATTAATAACGATTAAGCCATTACTTCCAAGTGGCGCTCATTACAGCAAGAGCTTTAAGAAACCCCACCAACTTCAATTTCTCTGTCCTGAGGTGTGTCTATGCTGCACTGGGGTGGAATATCCCCAGACTCACCTGGATATTCTGAATTTTCTGATTCATTTTTCTTCCAGAAATCTTCAAATACGGATTCGTGATGGATAAGAAAAAAATAACCTTTTTTATTGAAGGTCTGATGCTTCAAAAATGCATTTATTCATTCCAAAAAATATTCAGTACAAGTACAAATATTTAGTATGTACAAAGCTCTGAGTTGGATACTCAGGGGTAAGAACAAAGATGAACAGAATCCAGCTCTTTTCTTGAAGAACTCATGGAGAAAACACCCACATAAGCAAGATGAATTACAAGGGTGTGTTATTAAATCTGTGATAGAGGCACAGGCAGAGGAAGAGGTGGTGAACTTTCTCTAGGATTATTTCAGCTGACTTTACTGGGTAAATGGGATTTCAGCTGCTTCCAAAAATGGTGCAGATTTGCCAGGCAGATGGAAGTCATGTGATGGAGTGGTGCCTCGTGCGTGCAGGGACAAGCCAGCTTTGGTCACTGGGCAGAGAGGGGGACCAGGGAGTGTCAGGGGCACTGTGAGCTCTGAAGAATGAGCTTAGAATTAGGGTAGGAAACACGAGAATGAGCCCCAGAGAGGGCATGCTGGGCACAGAAGCCACTCCACTGGCTGCACAGCTACCCCTGCTGGGCTGTCCATGTGTGTTGTGCTGGGCACAGGTCCCACCAAGGCTCACCAGGATCTAGGTCTTGCCCTGGGGTGGGCAACCTGTGGGGGGGGGGGTCCGCTCTGAGCGTGACAATGAAGCACACTGCTGCCAGTTACAGTGAGAGGAGGAAACATGCCCCTGCCATCTGCGCAGCTGCATCTGGCCACCCACCCGCACCAATGGTGAGGACGCCATCAGCGTGGCTCTGGCACAGCTTCACTCCCTGCTCTGCTCTATTTTCATGACTTCAGACCCTTGTGCTGGAATAGAGACTTTCCCCTTCTTTCTTCCCCTGGGATTGTCACCTCCCTGCTAGTTGGGATGCTGTCTCTGTCCCCCGGTTCTGCTGAGCAGAGCACCTGGGACAGTGTGTGGGTCTAATGAGCATTGCTTCCACGATGCTTTCTATTTGCCTGCAGATGACCTTGGGTACTTGTGTGCTGGTGTTTCTCAATGTGTGTCCTGAGCTCTTGGGGAGTTCATAGGGCAAAGGTGGCAAGTATATTGTGCAGTTATCCCTAAATTATTATTTCCAACAGTGTGGCCCCAGTGTCTAATACAAAACTGAGCTGGTAGAGCCCTGGCCCTGTGGGAAACAAATGTCTTTTACCTTTCCCTGTGTGTTCCTGGAACTGAGCCTCTGCAACTTCCTTGCCAGGGCCACCAATTTCCCCAGGCCAGCCCAGTGATGTTTTTCCTGGACTCATCCTCTCACCTGCATTTTCTTGGTGGCTGTGTTAAGTCCCTGCACCTTCAGGGATCCCGTTGGCCTCAGGAGTCTGGCAGTGTTTGTTTTTGCTACTCACTTATTTCTTGGGGAATTTCCCCCAAGACCCTCCGTTCATTTCTTCCTCTCCTCTCTCCCTTAGGAGATCAGGAGAGTCAACATCCAGGTCTGTGACTCCAGCCTTTCTCCTGTGCAAGCTCCAGGCCTGTTCAGGAGCTTTTCTGCTTGGGCCTTTCTCCACCATGCACAGCCCAATCTGTCTAAGCCAAACTCCCAGGTGCCCAAGGTTTCTGCTCCCACCAGGACTCAACTCCAGCTTCAGGCTCAGCCACCCCCATTCAGACCCTGTCCACAGCTTCCTTCCAAGCATCTCGCCTCCTCCACAACTCCCAACTCCATGGCTACCCCTGGCCCCCACCTCAGGAGGTTCTGATGAAACCCAGGCAGCACCCAGCCTGCCACCACCTCCCAGCTCCCCACTCATGCCCTTCTCATGATGATTTCACTTGAGAAATCAGAGGTGGGCAAGTGGCCACTGACAAGTGCAGGATGTGTGCAAAGAGGAAATACTGGCAGCCAGGCACAGTGGCTCATGCCTGTAATCCCAGCACATTGGGAGGCTGAGGTGGGTGGATCACTTGAGCTTAGGAGTTTGAGACCAGCCTGGGCAACATGGTGAGATCCCGTCTCTACAAAGAATACAGAAATAAGCTGGGCATGGTGGTATGCACCTGTGGTCCCAGCTACCTGGGAGGTTGAGGCAGGCAGATCGCTTTAGCCTGGGAAGTGGTGGCTGCAGTGAGCTATGGTTGTACCATTGCACTCCAGCCTGAGTGACAGAGCAAGATGAAAAAAAAAAGGAAACATTGATGCCATGGATATTGCAAGATGTTAACCCTTCATGTGCAGCATCTGACATGTGCAGTACAGACTCTCATAATTTATCCTGGATTAAAAATTTCAACGAGTATACATTTCAAAAGGAAATTCCTTTGTGGCTACCTGGACAAGGAGGTCTCTTGCTGTTTCTTCGGCACCTTCCACTGAGCCGACAGAGGTCACTTCCATCGCCCATGGGAAATGTGCCTACTGCTCGTTTTAACTCATGCATGGATATAAAATTAGTTCCCATATATCCCATCTACCAGGATCAACGGGATTTTTTTCTCTCACTCTTTTTTTTCAGCATCTTCTTCACTCTACACACAGCAATAAAATAAGTAAAATGATAGCAGGAATTTACTTGGAAAAAACAAAACACAAACCCTTCTAGGCTGTATGATGGGTCAGGAGACACCCAGGCTGGATTCTTCATCTGCAAGGATGACCCTGGAGATGTGCCAAATAGAGAAGTCAGTGTTTCAGGTCTGAGGAGCCCAGCCCCAGCCGGCACCTGCTGAGTGGTCGCAGACATGCGGCTCCAGCGTTCGAGCCTTGTTAGATCCCCTGGAAAAACAGAAGGAGGCTGGTTCACATCCATTCACACAACCCCGAGACCCAGAAACTCTTGAAAACCGAAAGTTTTCACAACTCACTTTGCAGCAAATCATGCCCTGAACAGATTGATGGAAGGCTCTGTGCCCTCCTCACTTACTGCAGACGATGCCAGTCAGCACAGGCATCACAGGTGCTGCCCAAGGCCACAGAGGCTGAAATGCAGTGAGTGGAATGGACACCATTCTGAAAGCTCTGCATTCCTAGGAAAGGTAACCTCAAGGTTTGGAGAGAAGGCCTGGTCCTGTATCCCCACTTCTCACAGTTACCGCTTGTTACATGGTGTCAGATGTTCAAGGCTGCCTTGTAAACCATAAAACACCATGTGAATTTTTTTAATATTGAGTCAGGTGCCACCCCCACAAATGATCCTGGAGTAGTGGGTCCTCCCCTGCCCTCCGCTGTAGTAATTTACTAGTGCTAGGTGGTACTGGGTAAACATCCAGCTCCCAGAAAGCCAAGTCTATAAAGGGAAGATACTGAAGAATGAAGCCAGTGTCCAAAGGTATGTTACTAACAAATGATCCAACTAATATTGTATTTACACTGGTCACACTGGTGTTCATCACAAAAAGAGAACCGTGCATGAGATGAGCTCATTGGACCTCCATGGACTTGTGTCCCATAGCTTTGTGGCTGCCCAGACCCCTTCTCCCTGGATTCAGCCTTTATTTTTCCTGATCATTCATCCCAAGGTAAATACATCTTCACTCACAGAGGGTCAGCCAGATACTTTTCAATGTCCACCCTCCTGTTTGTTGAGTTTTTCTCTTTTTAGGTATGACTGACTCTCAGTAAACTGCACATACATAACTTGTGCGAGTTGATGACTTGTGGAATGGGTCAGCATCGTTCTCCTTTTCCCCATGTCATGGAGTATTTGTCTGCCTCTGAGTGAGGACGGGGACACACAGCCCTCTCAGCCCACAGTCAGATTTCACCCACTCCTCCATTGCTTTACGGTCCAACAAACAGAAGAAACTCATGGCATTTACAACTCCCAGCCACGTAAATGAGATAGAACCTGCCACACAGAGTCTCTACCTGCACCTTCCATCCCATTTACCGTCATCCGCATTCAGAAAGGAGTGCAGCTCAGCCGACACCTTGACTTCAGCCCAGTGAGACCCGGGCTGGACTTCTAACCTGCAGAACAATAAGTTTGTCTGTTTGTTCTGAAGAGATAGGGTCTCACTCTGTCGCCCAGGCTGGAGTGCAGTGGCACAATCACAGTGCACTGCAGCCTCGACCTCCTAGGCTTAAGGGGTCCTCCCAAGTAGCTGGGACTGTAAGTGTGAGCCACCACATCTGGCTAATTTTTAAAAAAAATTTAATAGAGATAGGATCTCAATATGTTGCCCAGGTGGTTCTCAAACTCCTGGTCTCAAGCAATCCTCCTGTCTCAGCCTCACAAAGTGTTGGGATTATGGGCATGAGCCACTGCACCCAGCCAGCCTGTGGGTTTTTTAAGCCACTAAGTTTGTGGTGATTTGTTACAACAGCAGCCAAAGAAAACAAATATACTTTCAAACACAGAACTTTTTAGAATGCAATCCTTTTTAAAAATGATGATGAGAGTGGTGATGAAGATGATGGTGATGATGATGGTGATGACAGTGATGGTGCTGATGATAGTGACCATTGTGATGATGGTGATAATGGTGATGGTGATAATGAAGATGATGGTGGTGATGAAGATGATGGTGATGATAGTGATCATTGTGATGGTGATAATGGTAATGGTGATAATGAAGACGATGGTGGTGATGAAGATGATGGTGGTGATGAAGATGATGGGGATTGTGATGATAAAGATGATGATGGTGATGAAGATGTTGATGGTGATAATGAAGATAATGGTGATCATAAAGATGATGATGGTGATGGTGATAGTAGTGATGGTAATGATGAAGATGATGGTGATGATGATAGTGATAATTGTGATGGTGATAATGAAGATGATGGTGGTGATGAAGATGATGGTGATGATGGTGATAATGGGGATTGTGATGATAAAGATGATGATGGTGATGAAGATGTTGATGGTGATAATAAAGATAAAGGTGATGATAAAGATGGCGATGATGGTGATAGTGATGAAGATGATGGTAATGATGGTGATGAAGATGTTGATAATGAAAATGATGGTGGTGGTGAAGATGATGGTGGTAATGAAGATGATGGTGGTGATGGTGATGACATGAAGGAGAAAGAGGAGTCTCAGGAAACAAAACAGGAAGCCTTTTCTTTCACAGGAAGGCAGTTAAACCAGGACAGCAGTGTTGCTTCATAAATAATAAAACACCAGCCTAGAACATGTTTTCAAAGCAATTTCCAAAGAGTTTATAGGCCACCGAGATAACTTTTCTTAGTGAGAAGAAGTTCAATGTGGCTGAGTACTCCTGTTGGAATTAGACTTTACAGGGATAAAACTGCAGTTCTCCTGGCACCTGCCTGTGAATCAAGCTTTCTGTGTCTCTGTGTCTGTGAAACTGGGATTCCAGTGCCCCATGCATGCTTTGGGAAGCTGATTCCACGGTGCTGGTCAAAGTGCTGGGCACAGAGGCGTTCAGTGGCTCTCGAGGGCTTCCTGGATTTCCCACACTTATTTGGAGGCATTTTGGGAAGTGCACTTTTGGGTTAAGTTTTTGGTAATGAGGGGGCTCTTATTTTTGAAGCAGCACAATTCTTCAGAAAGTCATAAAATAAGACTCTGAAATGCTATCTGAGCATCTAAATGTTGAGTTGGGTGTGGGGCAGAGAGTGAGCAGTGATTTAGGAGAGGGGAAAGAGAAGAAAGAAGATGATAAGAAAAGAACACCTTGATCTGAGAGCTGGAACCTGCTGGGGCTCTGACCCTCCTGAGGTCCCAGTTCTCATGGCACTGGGCCAGGCCTGAGGGGTGACTGGGGAGAGCCACCCTGTGGTGATGTTTGAGTGGGACCCAAATGGGTGTGTAGGGTTGGAAACCTAGAAATTTTTATTAGTGCTGACTTTGATTTGAACCTTGCTTCACCCCCTCAGCTGTGTAAGCTGGGAATGCCAAATGGTGTTGGGAAGGCTCAGTCTCTCGATGGTGAGATGCTTGCGGTGCTGTCGTCTGTCCAGTCCAAGCCAGGAACCCTGGTGAGGGGCACCGTCTCTTTATGTGCTATCAGGAAAGGGCTATGCTCCAGCTAAACTCTCTTGCCAGTGTTCATAAGAGGCATCTTGACTTCAGAGGGGTTACACTGTGAAAAAGGGTTCGTCTTGAAATTGATGAAATATGGTAATCTTCATACATATGGAGTCAAAAACTAAGTATTTAGCACAAAGTGGGTACTCAAAGAGTGCTAGCTCCCTTTCCAACTCTCTCCCACAAATCTACCTCCATATCCTGTTTTCAGGTCCCTGTCTGGAGATCCCTTTCTTGGTGTTCTGGAATTTCCTATTGAATGAAAGCATGTCACCTACTGATGAAGGGGCCGGTGTCCCTGTTTGCCTGGGACAGCCCTGCCTTGTGCCTCAGATCCCTGTGTTCCGCTACGGCACTGACACTCACTCCCAAAGGTCTCTGTTGAACATAAATTATACCATGGCCCAACTGACAGAGTGCAGGGCACTCACAAACCAAAGCCCTGGCGAGTCTGTGCGGTGGAGAAATTGGGGCAAGAGGAGGATCGTCGAAAGAACAGGCCATGGGGATCAGCCAGGGTTGAGTGGGGTGGGGTTTCACACCAACCTTCAAGTGGGAAGCTTGAGGAAGGGAATCAGAGCACCCAGTGCCAAGCTCTGAGGTGAGTCGGTCAAGTCCATGATGCTGCCTCAGGTTGGCCCTGGTGGTCACAGCTCCACACGCCAAGTAAGGCCATCACAGGGTGTTAATGGCGTGAGACAGACTCAAGGGCCCTGCTGCACCTGCTCCTGTGTTGTGGCCTGCACGGGGTTGTGGATGAACTGTTTTGACCAAATTAGATTGGCAAACATTTAACCTCAAATGGATGAATTCCCCTCATTCCCAAATCACCCTCAAGTTTAACTGTCTTGACTCATTCAGGTGATTTTTTTTTTTTTGGTAGCACAAAACTGGAATGTTAGGGTCAAATGTCATCCTAATATGCTAATAACCATCCAGCCCAGCAGTTGCCAACATCTTGCTGATGAATTAGCCTGGGGGGTGGGGTCCAGCTTCCACATCTCTACATCGCCCCCAGTGATCCTCTGTGCGTGTGGGGCGGACCCCAGTCTGGCCTAGTGTTTCTGTAGACGTGGGTGTGTGGAGCATCTGGGAGCTCCAGCCCAGGTCGGTGGGACCAGGACCAGAACTCAACACTACCCCACCCAGCTGTCCCCATGGTGTGCCAGTGGGAACGGGGGTCCCACACAGAGGGAGGTCACTGCGAGGTGGTCGTGCCCTCAACAGCCTCTTACAGATGAAGACTAAGATCTATTGGGAATAATCTTTATTAAAAAAAATACTGCTTGAACTTGAACAGGGCAAATAACATGTAATTAGGACTTAATGACTGGGTGCAGTGGCTCATACCTATAAATCCCAGCACTTTGGGAGGCCAAGGCCAGGAGTTTGAGACCAGCCTGAGCAACATAGGGAGAACTCGTCTGTCCAAAAATAAAACAAAACAAAAGGATTTAATGATAGAAATTAAGTTTGAGAAATGTAGCAACCCCGGCCATTGGACTGGAAAGATGAACGAGTTAGCCCTGTTCTGGCATCTCCCGGGTGGACTAGCACCGAGGTGCTGTGACAGGAAGCCAAGGGGACCTCACTGAGAAGCGGCATCGTCTGCCCTGGGGATGGGGTGAGGGCATGACCACAGATCTCCCCCCTGCAGACTTCTCTCCCAGGCCCGAACTGTGGCCTGTTTCCACTCAAGGCTGCCTGGCCATTATGGAAATTCTTTATGTGTGGAACACATTCTCAGAGAACGTGTGAAGTAATTACATCCAAGCTGATGGGCTGGTTAGCAACTGAACTGATGTGTGTAACACGTATCTATGTGATTACTTTTAAGAACTGGGTCTTAACCTCAGACATGGTGCTTAACAAGAAATAATAAAACCAAACCAATTCTTAGTTATTTTAGTCCTGGGACTCAGGGCTGCTTTCAATAAATTGTAGATTGCTCCAAAACCTTGTTTCTGCCATTAGTTCCAGTATTGTCCACCTTATTTTTTCCAGGCAACAAAGTTGTCAGTTTTCTGCTTCTGGTCTTAAACACCCCCAGCCCGCTATTCTACAGCGTGCACACAGGAAGGAAAGGATGCCGCAGAAGGGAGGGACTGTCTCTGACTGCAGGTCCACCTGAGGCCAGGAGACTGCCCGGCTCAGCCTGCAGGCTTGCATCTGACTTGCACCGTGGCTGTCAGAGCTGAGAGTGTGCGTCTGCTGAGCACGTCTGTGCTGGGCGCTGCGCTGGCTGAGTGTCTGCCGTGTGGACTTGCTTCTCTGCATGCTGCCTTGCGAGGTGGCCTCATCACCCCATTTAAAGACAGGAAAACCCCGTTCATAGATAGGACAGTATCAATGACCTGCCAGCATCCCATGGCTAAGGGCATGTTCCTCACCATTTCAGGGCTCAAAGACTACCTTGCTCAAGGTTATCCAAATAGTGGGGAATGGAACCAAGAATGCCACAGTCTGTGGGTTGATATGACCCTCTAGTCCATGCCATATATGGTCCTCATTTGTAAATTCCTTCTGGGGTGAGGCTGAGATTATTCCTGACTGGTTCACTTTGAACCTCCCCATGTCTGTAATAGGAACAGGTGTCACGAACCCTTCCTATGCTTGTCACTGAAAACCCTTCCCACCGGACTCTTCCAGCTTGTCCACAGGTGTTCCTCAAGTACCTGCCATGTGCAGGCTGCACCTGACCCCGGGTGTGTAGGTACCAATAAAAGGCCTGGGGTCTGACTTCAGGAAGCTGTAGTCTTAACATTGATGAAAATAATCTGTGTATTAAATAGTGTAAAAACTAAGCACCCTTGGTCTGCTGTCCTGGATCAGGGTGTCCTCTAATAATGAGAGACCTGCTGGTGACCGAGTTTGACAATTCTATTCCTCTGTGTATCTGAACATATGCATTAAAGTCAACACCAAGGAACAGGAAACGGGAAGGGGAATAACGCTCCCGCTGGGGGAATAACGCTCCCGCTGGTGGAATAACACTCCTGCTGAAGTGTGGCCATTCACATTCGGATCTCATCCTGCTGGCAGCGGCGTGTTTTCATCGACCAGGAAACACACAAATATTTGTAATCGTTTATGCTAATACGCAAACATTTTAAAAGCACTTTGCTTCTCCTTAAATTTCAAAGAAAAATAGAAGACTCTGGATTTTTCAAATTAGAAAATGACCCACTTTCTTCTTCACTGAAACTGTTTCATAAAATACTTTCACATCCTGTGTTTCCCGCCAGAGTAGGGACTGCGCCGCTTGTGTGCACCCGCCGGGCACTGAGGCCTCTTCAGCAGGAGGGAAAGTGAGAGGGTGGGACACAGAGTGGCTCTTCCAGAGCCTCCCACACACCCCGGGTCCAGGTGTGGCCGCCGGGTCTCCACACACCCCGGGTCCCGGTGCGGCCGCCGCCGGGTCTCCTGGGCTCACTGTGACTCAGGAAGCCTCTTTCCCACTGGAACTCATCCTCCATAAACCTGACAGAGGCTCATGTTCGGGCTCCCATAAGTAGACACATGTGTTTAGTGCCTTAGAATATGAGTGCCGAATTTACTAAGTGCCTTCGAGTGTGAGTGCTGAAAGGCAGTCACCTGAAAATTTCATTTTACAAATCAGGAAACTGAAGAATAGAGAAACTAAATAACAAAGCCAAGATTACACCGTTATTAAATGGATGCTTTAATGCTGAGACAGGTCTCTTGGGCACTAGACCACTTTCCTGCCCTCTTTTTAAAATTGTTGTTGTTTTAATCGACTTTTTATAATTTTTTTTTTTTTTGAGACAGAGTCTGTCTCTGTCATCCAGGCTGGAGTGCAGTGGCACAATCTCAACTCACTGCAACCTCCACCTCCCGGGTTCAAGCAATTCTCCTGCCTCAGCCTTCCATGTAGCTGGGATTACAGGTGTGTACCACCATGCCCAGCTAATTTTTTTGATTTTCAGTAGAGATGGGTCTTCACCCTGTTGGCCAGGCTGGTCTCGAACTCCTGGCCTCAAGTGATCCACCTGCCACAGCCTCCCGACGTGCTGGGATTACAGGCATGAGCTACCACGCCTGACCTTATAATAATTCTTAATATCTATATTGTGTGCCATTGTGAAATTTTTGGAAAAAATCAAAAGAGGAAAGAAAAATATTTCTTCATAATCTCTCTAATAAACTATAACTACTGTGAATATTTTGGCATATTTCCTTCAAGAGTGTTACAGATACATATTTTAATATAATTGAGAATTTCACTTCCATGGTTTTGGTTTTTGCTTGTTTTTTGTTTTGTTTTGGTTTTGTTTTGTTTTTGTTTTTGAGACGGAGTCTCGCTCTGTCACCCAGGCTGGAGTGCAGTGGCATGTTCTTGGCTCACTGCAACCTCCCCGTCCTGTGTTCAAGTGATTCTCCTGCCTCAGCCTCCAGAGTAGCTGGGATTACAGGCGCCCATCACCATGCCTGGCTGATTTTTGTATTTTTAGTAGAGACGGGGTTTTGCTGTGTTGGCCAGGCTGGTCTCGAACTTCTGACCTCAGGTGATCCACCCGCCTCAGCCTCCCAGAGTGCTGGGATTACAGGCGTAAGCCACCATGCCTGACCATGTTTTTTTGTTTTTGTTTTTGTTTTTCATTTATCATTGTATCATAAAAATATCTTGGTCTTTTCAACATTTGTAATATCATTTTAACGGATGAATAATTTTTCATCCATGAAAATATATTTACTTAGCTATTTCCCTATTCTTAGAGCTTTTATTTCTATATCTAATGTTTACTGCACATTTTTTAAATGGAAAGAATTAAAGATGTATTTTTAAAATTGAAATTAGATGGTTAAAATGTATCTATATTTTATCTGTTCTTGACATGTGCCACCCAACTCCTTTTTCAGAAAGGTTTTATTGATTTACAGTTTAAAACAGCACCTGATTATGATTCTTCCCATGCTTCTTTTGCAATGATGTTTTTGTTATGGTAAAATATACATAAAGTAAAATTTACCATTTTAACTATTTTCACCTGTACAATTCAGTGGCATTAAGTACATTCACAGTGTCATGCAACCATCTCCACCATCCATCTCCAAAACTTGTTCATTTTCTCAAACTGAAACTCTGTATTCACTAAACAAGAACTCCTCAACCCCTCCCCCGGCCCCTGGTACCCACCGTTCCACTTTCTGTCTTTATGGATCTGATGACCCTAGGGACCTCAGAGAAGTGGGATCATAATATTTGTCCTCTTATATATACAACTCATTTCCCTTAACATAATATCCTCAAGGTTTACCCGTGTTGTAGCTTGGATGAATGTCCTTCACTTTTAGGGCTGAATAATACCCCGCCGTGTATAGACCACATGTTTTTTATCTGTTCTTCCCCTGATGGGCACTCAGCTTGCTTCCACCTTCTGGCTGTTGGGAATAGTGCTGCTATACATGTCAGTGTAGAAATATCCATTCAAGTTCCTGCTTTTGCATTACTTGAGTGTTTACCTCACGTGGAATTGTGGGGTCAAATGGTAATTCTATGTTTAATTTTTTGAGGAATTCTCAAGCTATTTCCCAGTGTGGCTGAACCATTTTACATTCCCACTAGGAGTACACACGAGTTTCAGTCTCTTTACACCCTCATGAGCCCTTGTTTTCTGGTTTTCTGAGGATGGCCGTCCTGAGGAGTGTGAAGTGGCATCTCATGGCTCCTGTTTGCTTTTGCCTAATGGCTGGTGATGTTGAACAGCTCACCATGGGCTCACTCTCCATCTGCACGTCGTCTTTGGAGAAATGTCTATTCCAATCCTTGCTTCTTTGTTGTTGGGTGTAGGAGTCTTACATATGTTCTAGATACTCCTAATCAGATATGTAATTTTCAAATGTTTTCTCTCATTCTTTGGGTTACTTTTTAACTGTTTAGATAATGTTTTTTAATACACAGAAGGTTTTAATTTTGATAAAGTGCAATAAAGTGCAATTTGTTTATTTTTCTTTGTTGCCTGTGCCTTTAGTGTCATACTGAGAAATCAGTGCCAAATCCAGTGTCATGAAGCTTCCCCCTAAGTCTTCCTAGAGCTTTATAGTTTCATCTTGTAAATTCAGATATTTGATCAGTTTTAAGTTTTGTATATGATGTAAGTTACAGGTCCAGCTTTATTCTTTTGCAAGTTGTCTGAGAACCATTTGTTGAAAAGCCTATTCTTTTCCTCATTGAATGGTCTTGGCACAATTGTCAAAAAGCATTTGTACACAAAAGGGTTTACTTCTGGGCTCCGTTTTATAGTCCATTGGTCTATATGTCTGCCTTTCTGCCAGGACCATGCTGTTTTGATTACTATAGCTTTGTTGTAAGTTTAAATCAGCAAGTCTTCCAGTTTTCTTTAAGACTGCTTTGGTTGTTTGGGTTCCCATGAGATTCCATATAAATTTTTGGATGGGTTGTTCTATCTCTGAAAAAATATCAATATTTTTGGTAGAGATTATGTTGAATCTGTAGATCACTTTGGGTAGTATTAAAAGCTAACAATAATGAGCCTTATAATACGTGAAGATGGGATGTCTTTCCACTTATTTGTGTCTTCTTTCATTTAACAACACTTTGTAGTTTTCAGTGTACATGTCCTTCACCTCCTTAGTTAAGCCTACCCTAAATATTTTATTCTTTCGATGCTATTGTACATGGAATTGCTTTTTAAATGTCCTTTTGGCATTGTTTATTTTAGTGTATAGAAGTACAAATGATTTCTGTATATTGATTTTATACCCTGCAACTTTACTAAATTTGTTAATAAATTCTATTAAGTTCTAACAGATCTCTTGTGTAAAATCTTTATGATTTTCTACCTATAGGATCATATCATAAGTGAACAGAAACAATTTTATGTCTTCTTTTCTCATTTAGATGCCTTTTACTTATTTTTCTTGCCTAATTCCTGTGGCTGGCACCTCCAATACTGTCTTGAATAACAGTGGTGAAAGCAGGCCTCCTCATATTGTTCCTAGTCTTAAAGGAAAAGTCTTCCATCTTTTACCCTGGAGTGTTACATTAGCTGCAGATTTTTCATATATGGCCTTTATTATGTTGAGGTGATTTTCTGTTACTCCTAGTTTGTTGAGCGTTTTTATCATGAAAGAGGGTTGAATTTTGTCAGATGCTTTTTCTGGATCAGTTGAGATGATGATATGGGTCCTTTCCTTCATTCTGTTAGTGGGGTGTATTGCGTTTATTATTTTTTATGTGTTGAACCATTCTTGCATTCTAGGAATACATCCCACTTGGTCATGGTACAGCAATCGTTTTAATATGCTTCTGAACTTCCGAATTTTGTCTACTAGTATTTTGTCGAAGATTTTTTGCATCAGTATTTATAAGGGATACTGGTTCTTAGTTTTGTTTGCTTGTAGTGTCTGTCTGGCTTTCGTGTCAGAGTAATGCTGGACTCACAGGATTAGTTAGAAATTGTTTCCTCTTCAATATTTTGGAAAAGTTTGAGGAGGAGTGGTGCTAATCCTTCTTTAAATGTTTGGTAAAATTTATCCATCAAACCAGTGACTGCAGGATTTTCTTTGGGAGGTTTTTGACTACGGTTTCAGTCTCCTTACTCACTCCTGGTGGGGTCGGTTTTCTAGTTCTTCATGACTCAGTCTCAGTAGGTTGCGTATTTCTAGGAATTTTCCCATTTCTTGTGTTATCCTGTTTGTAGGTGTGCAAATGCTCATCACACTCACTTATAATCCTTTTCACTTTGTACCATCAAATAATAATTATTAATAGTAATAGATAAATAAAAAGAATACAATAATACTATTTAAAAGTATTAATTGATGATTTATTTTGAATCTTGTATCTGTTGTGTGTACCATCAGTGTTTTTCTTAGGGATTATTTGGCCATAATGCTCTGATCGCATTTTGATTCCATGGATATGCTTCTCTTTAAACATCTCATCCTCTTACTGTACCCCTCCTTAATTTATGGAATTCACCCCCCCAGGGATTAATACTTAAGTCCTAGATGCCAAAAATACGTGTCTCCTAAGCTCACAGTTAGGATGCACTGTTGCTGTGGAGAGGGGATGGGGGTTGGTACAGGGTGCTGCAGATTCTGGGAAGTGCACATCAGATGAATTTGTGGGGACTTATAGTCACCTTGGGTGACTCTTGTCCCCTGCTCTAGAGTAACAGTGGGCTCTCAGGTGCAAGTGCTTGAGCTGTTTATTAACCCTTCTGAACCTCTCTGAGCCATGGAGGTCAAATGTATTTCCATTTCCCAAGTGGCCATTCGCTCATGTGGTTCTGATGTTGGGTAGGACCTTTCCTTCCCTTTTCCTTCTTACTCTCTAGGTGTCCACCATTCAAAACAGAATGGGCTCAGATGCAGGTTTTCATAGTGGCATGAGCCAGGCATTCTAGCAAGGTTGCAGATTTAAATGAACCCTTTACTTGGTGGCAATTGAAACAACTTCTTTTTGTAAATTCCAAACATGAATTAGTCACACAAATGAATTCCAACTCACAGGCTAAGAAACCAAAAGCAGTCAGGCCTTCTGTGTAACAGTTTATCCTCTGGGAAAGTGAGGTTCCCACCATGACCCCTGAAACTTGATTCCTCTGTGGGCCCTTGATTCTGGTGGCCATGCATGGATTGGACATTCCCTAGGGAGGAGGGCAGCCCTGTCTTGGCATCACTCTGTCAGTCCTTCCCCTGGGGAGCACTGGCAGCTCTGAACCAGCTGCTTTTGTTCACTGTGTGCAGGCTGATGCCCACGCAAGAAATAGCAACTGGTAGACCCAAAGAGGGCTAGGGATAGCCAGTCAATTGTTGAGTGCACATTGAGTCGAACAGATTCATTTGTGTCTGAGGATTTTTCAGCATTTCTTCAGCCAGGGACCCAGCCTCTTCTGGTAGAGTCACAGACTGGGACTGGCTCGCAGCCTTGTTTAGTCTAACTTAGGTAAAACCCTCTCGGTAGACACCTGTGTCCACACACCAAATGAACCCAGATGTGGACCGGAGCGATCACGGCTACAGCAGCAGCCCAGCCTCCCCCTCCAGATGTGCTCCACGTCTCTTGCTGTCTCCAACACGTCAGGGAGCCAACCCTGTGTCTTCTGCTCCCTCACAGCCCTGGGCATGCAGATAACACACTGTGAATGTTCTTACCTTAAACCAGCCGTCCCTAGGCTTTTCTCATCAAACAGCCATAAACAACAGTGTACTAAATGCCAGCACGTAGGAAGAATAAAATCTCATCCAAACACAAGAGAAACACATCCTAGTTTCAGCAGCACACGAATGGCCTGGGGCAGTGTCCCAGCAGCTGACATCCTGATGAGAAAACGCACCTGTCAGAATGTGCGGGTTTCTCCCTTGGTCTCCTGGGTTCCTTCCAACCTCTGACTCTCTTTAGAAATATGCAAAGGCTACGTATTATTGGAAATCGCACCAATTTGGGGGTTTTCTCAGATGCACTATTTGAGACTCTCCTGACCTCCACGTATGAAGACCCAGAGCTGGGTGCAAACTGTTCCACACCCCTGGGCTAATGAAGGGATGGGAATGCAGAGCCCAGGCAAACCCCGCAGGGTGTCCGCCCTAGCACCCTGCGGGGCTGAGCTGCGGTGCCGCCTTGCCCTCCTTGTCTTTCTCTTCTGAGCTGTGCCCTGCCACTTAAAACCACAATGGTTGGGAGTTGTCTGAAGAAGAGAGTTGATCCTGGAGAGCATTTCTTCAAATGCTTGGATAACCCTCCTGCTGTGTGCTGTCTGGAAGCAGACGCAGGTGCAGAATTGAGGAGTTGCTTCTCTCAGGGGATCTGTGATGGGCCTGCGGTGCTTTCCCAGGTTTTGCCTTCAGAGAAGTTGAAATGGCTTAAAAATTACTGGTAAGCCCTCCCCTGGCTGCTGATGAGACCTAGAAATAGCTCCCACCCAGGGGGATGTGAGCCCGGCTCAGCATTCTAGATAGGTCTCCCAGCTGCAAGGAATTCCATGCATCACAAACATGATGGTACCCTCCCCTGTGTTCCTTGGAATTGCTTTTCTCCACCAAATTACCTGTGATCCAGCACAAATATAGAGTATGTTTGGCAAAAAGAGGTAGCTTAATCAGCAGTGAAGAGATGTGCCTGGATAGAAAATTCGCAGCTACACCAAGCTGCTTTTTAGTGTGAGGCACAAATCCAGCATTCGTGTGTGCTGCTCCTGGTACCTGGGATGGCCGGTGGATCCGTCTTTCTGGACTGCATCTCCAGGGGGCTCCTTGGGGACGGTGAGAGGCACACTGGCCCAGCACCCTCCACCCCACCCGCTTCACTCCCACACTACCCAGAAACAAACTAGGAAGTGGCATTTTGTAAAAACAAAAAGATTGCCAGCAATTTCTAAATTTTTAAATTTTAAGTCTAGTATTTCGGTTTATTATTCTTTTAATTTATCTTAAAAAATAATTTTGCAGGAGTAAATAGAAATGATGACCAAAAAACATATGAGATACTTAAACACCTCACCTGATTTGGTTCTAAAGATACCAGAAAGAACTTCTGTGCTTTCCCTCCCAGGACACTCAACTGCATGGGAGAGGCCACCCCCACTTCCACCCCTGAAAAGGGGGTTTCTGGGGCTCGGCAGGGAGGCGGGGCCTCGCTCTGGGGTCTGGAGCTGTACTGCAGGCCTTAATATCACCCCGGCTGAGACCACTCCTCTCACACAGGCACCACAACCCACACCACACACACACACCACACACAGTACACAGGCACCACCCACATAGACACACATGCAGAGACTACACACACCACACAGCACACGTGCACCACACACACACACCACACACAGTACACAGGCACCACCCACATAGACACACATGCAGAGACTACACACACCACACAGCACACGTGCACCACACACACACCACACAGCACACACAGTACACAGGCACCACCCACATAGACACACATGCAGAGACTACACACACCACACAGCACACGTGCACCACACACACCACACAGCACACACACAGTACACGGGTACCACCCACATAGACACACATGCAGAGATTACACACACCACACAGCACACACAGTACACAGGCACCACCCACATGGACACACATGCAGAGACTACACACACCACACAGCACACATGTACCACACACACCACACAGCACACACAGTACACAGGCACCACCCACATGGACACACATACAGAGACTACACACACCACACAGCACACGTGCACCACACACACCACAGATCTAGGAATGCTTCTGGAACTTTCACTTTTTAGTCAGGAAACTGGAAGTGGCTCTGCCTGTTGCAGCCTCAGATACGAACCTGAACACCTGAAGCTCTTGGAACGGCCTTTCCAGAGAGTTCTGTGGAAGAGACTCTAACACACATGCATCTTCAAGCGTTTGTGCATTCCATGGTGAGGGAAAGGAGAGAATATTTAAACCAGCGATTTCTGCTTCGAAATGCGGATTTGCTTACATTTCTCCAGCACCGCTCTTATGCCCTCATTCCTTTCTCGGTCGCCCTCACCCTCAGGAGGGATCCTTTGGCCATGTATTCCACTCTTAACCCCAGCTTCCACCAGCTGCCCCGGGTCTGAGTCCTCAGACTTGGCCCTCCTGTCCCCCAACTGCTCTGATGATGCAGCTCTGAAAAAATGAGATGTCTGTGAGGGGTGAGGTGTCTCCTGTCCAGAGAGTGTCCAAGCAGGGCAGTGTCAGGATGTCATAGAAGTCTTTAGGGACACCGGACCTCCAGCCATGTGGATCCAGGTTGCAGGGCAGCACAGACAGCAGCCGGCAGCAAAGGCACCCGTGCCAGCAGCCTCATGGTGTGAAGAAGGTGGGCAGGTGGTGACGGGCACTCCGCTGTATCCTGGGAGGACACTCTCCATGCCACCCAGGCCGTTCCCTCTGTGCCCGGGGAGTGCCGCCAGCCCCTGCTCCTGAGTTCCCACTGTGCTCGGGGAGTGCTGCCAGCCCCTGCTCCCACGTCTCCATCCATCTGCCTCGTGCACTCCAGAGACACAGGCCCTAGGAAGGAGGCTTCTCACACCCGGCTCTCCTGTCCTTCCCGAAAGCTCATCACATATTGAACACGGAGCCCTCCCCAGAGCTGCTGGGGACTCTGTGCAAGCTGCACACGGGTACAGTCAACATGGTGCATGCACAGGACCCCCAGATGTCGCTGAGGACTTCTCGAGCCAGAGGGCTCACCCCGTGGGTCCGGTGGTTCCTGGCACTGGACGGCTCACCCTGTGGTCAGGTGGTTCCTGGCACTGGACAGCTCACCCTGTGGTCAGGTGGCTCCTGGAACTGGATAGCTCACCCTGTGGGCCAATGGAGGCCGTCCCCTTCACTGTGTGCATGGCTTTCTCCCACCTGCCGTGCTGACGTCTCGGTGATGGACATCTTCACGTCCTGGAGAGGGAAGTCTCTGTGATATGAAGTCTGCTGTACCCAGGGACACTGTGAATGTTTCCACCTGAAAGCAAGCAAGTGTGTTCAGAGCATTCGGTGGTCTGGGTTTGAGCATCACCTTTATTTCCCCTGGGGTTCCTGTCCCCTGGCAGGCAGGCCTGTGCACACCTACCCCCAAGTCTGAGGGAACCAAGAGGCCTGAGAAAGAGGCTGACAGACCCAGTTTCTCAGAAGGAAACATTTACTAGAGATACAGGAACAGAAGCCACACCTGTGTCTCCATGGCGTGAGATGAGATGATGGCTCCCTCACCCCTAGACCCACAGCTCTGCACCACAGGGGAGGGGCTGCTCAGGGAGCCAGCCTATCACCTACCCACGTTCCACCACGGAGTCAGCGTCTCCCTCCCCACCCTCGCCTGTCTCCCTGTGTCCCCCACCCCGTCTCAGGCATGCACACTACCCACCCTCGCCTGTCTCCCCCCGTGTCCCCCACCCCGTCTCAGGGATGCACACTACCCACCCTTGCCTGTCCCACCCTCGCCTGTCTCCCTTCGTGTCCCCCACCCTGTCTCAGGCGTGCACACTACCCCAGGTTCCTCCCACCCATCCCTGCACCGGGCACTCTTCCACTCTTCACTCCTCCTAAGTTGTCCTGCGGGGTTCGGCCCCATCGCCCGCGTCTGGCGAGGCTAGCTGCACATTCTGTGGGGGGCTCTGGGGGGCTCCCAGGGCCTGGACTCCCTGCCCAGCCCGAGAGGCTTCATGGTGCAGCCTTGACTCTTTTCTTGGGTGAGCCTGGCCTCCCCGCAGGGTGTGCAGAAACAGACACAGAACAAGGAGAGCAGGCACCTGGAGCTAGACTGTGAGCTTGGGAGGAAGATGGGCAGCGAACGCAGTGCGGGGCGCAGGCTGGAGACGTGAGGGGGCATCAGAGCAGCAGGATCAGCCGGCAGTTGTGGCAGGTGCAGCAGGAGTGAGTGGGCGCCCAGGCCAGACAGGCGGGGCCAATGAAGAGAGGGGGGCAGCCAGCCAGTCCCTGCCAACCATGGCTGACTCACTGGCATCCACTGCCGGACTCAGGCCCCACCTGATCAGAGGACAAACAAATCAGATGGAGCAGGGCCATGGTCAGGGAAGATGGTGGGAGGTGGATCCTGAGACGGTGTTGCAGTCCGGCAGGAGGGACGCACAGCAGCTAATGTCACTGGCAGTGCCTGAGGCCTGAAGACTGCGGAAGCGGAGGGACGTTAGCCCGTGATTCTGATCACGGGAACATCGTTTAGTAAGGCGTTTCCCTTTTCACCCGGTGTTGAGATGTTGATGCAGTGCACCTGTCCACTTTGCTGCAGTGGAAGGGGGGTCCCAGAGACCGTGATGGAGCCCCATGGGACCCTCCTGTTGACAGACTGTGAAGGCCTTAGTCCCTTCCTATGAGCATCAGCAGCGCCTCCGGGGACTGAAGGTGCCAATAGGGAAGATGGAAAGGGGTGTGTGCACCGGGCGCTGTTCCCAGGACACAGCCTGTCCAGTTCTCTTCGCTGTTCTTACACATCCCCAGTCATATGTTAATTGTTGTGAGTGTCCTTTTTTTTTAACCAAATAATCTTTGCAAGGAGTAAAATTCAAATTTTCTGAAGGTTTTGATTAAAAGAGCTTTTGCAGTAAAAGTTTCAGATAACAGATCATCCTTCTCTGAACCGTATTAGAGTGGATATTCATATGCGTTTCATCCTTGTCTCTGAGAGTGAGGCTGGTTGGTCAGGGGACGGCACCTGGGGCATGGGAGGGTTTCCTGGGTTGGGGTCCTGCCAGGAGTACGTGCTCTCAAGAGTAGGGTGTGGGCAGCAGGTAAGATAAAGCTGTGTTGGATGAAATCAAACTAAAACAAATGAAGGTCAACCAGCTGGGAATATTGCTAGTGAAGAACTAGCAAACTCAATGGAAACCTTCTTTAATTTTTATTTTGTTAATAATAGAGGAGCCACTCTCTTATAGGGAATGGCCACCCGCCATCACCATAGCTCATCTGCCCAACACATCTGCACCTGACTTCCGCGTCTGCACCTCACTTTCCTGGTTCAGTACACAGTACTTCATGCAAAGAGCCGTTTGCCAACATCACAGCTTCCAGCATCCGATATGGAAAGAAGGCGCTTTCACTCCACGCAGACCTTGCTTGTCTTTTCTGTAGAATAGTTGTAGAGGATAAGCCTGCTCCATGGGTGAGGCGGCTGCACAGCAATGGCAGATTTTGTTGTCACCACCAGAAGCAGAAATCACAAATAACAAAGGAATCTAGAGACGTCAGAGAAATGGGAGGTCATAGAGCAAAAATACCACCCAAATACCGACAAAAATAACCCATTACATATCTGAACATTTTAGAGCAGGACAAGACCAGCAGTGAGCATTTGACCCACCCAAATACCAACAAAAATAACCCATTACATATCTGAACATTTTAGAGCAGGACAGGACCAGCAGTGAGCATTCGACCCACCCAAATACCAACAAAAATAACCCATTATGCATCTGAACATTTTAGAGCAGGACGGGACCAGCAGTGAGCATTTGACCTGGCACAACCTCCGTTCACTCAGAAACGCCTGCGGGTTTGTATTTCCCACCAGGCGTTTGCTAGGTTTGGAATTTTCAAGGTGAGACAATTGGACCCTTTCCCTTACAGAGCTTTATGATCTCACAGGAAGATTAACATGCACACAGATACTGAACACACAAGAACAGTGTTTCCATTGAGATATACACACCATGTGGCATTAAATGTTTAATCTGTCATAACACAAACTTTAAAGTTTTATTTTAAATTTTTTTACCAAGATATTTTTTACAAGTTGGTGATGCACAAGCTAAATAAAAAGCATCTCAACCCAAGATCTCAGGACTGTGATTCAAGTACAACCTTTATAACTTTCCTGCCAACTTCAACTTAATGAGTCAGATAGTTGCAAGCTGGAGGCTTAAAGAAGCCTGAATTGTTTGAGGAGACCCTGAGGAGCCTCGGAACTTGCCCGGCCCCAGGAAGTGAATCATCAGTGCCTGGGAAACATCTGGAAATGGAACCCTGTTCGGCCCTCTCCAGTCACAGTGCTTAATCATTCATTTATTGATTTCAAATAAATTTACTGTTTGTGGAGCTATAGAGCAGGAGACTTTTATCAAGTAGGAGAGTCCCGTCTAGATAGTAAACAATTACCACTTGTTCCTAAGGGTCTTGGAATATGGGCCTGTATTAGTCCATTCGTATACTGCTATGAAGAAATACCTGAGACTGAGATGGCCTGGGCAGGCTGTCCTGCAGCAAGCATGGCATTGACTCAGCCGCCAGTGTCTGAGCCCCTCAATGATGTTCAACTCCATGCTTAGTGATGCCTTCAGTAAATATTTATTATTCCAGGCACTGTGCTGGGTAGCACAAAGAGGAATAAACTCCTGTCCATGTTCTCAACAATTTTATAATCTAGAGAGGCAAATAAATAGGGAATAGATGAATGAAACAAAACTAAATTGAGGGAGTCTTTTTAAAAAATTGAGATAAAATTAACATAGCATAAAATTAACCACTTAAAAATGAACAATTCAGTGGCACTTGGTACATTCACAACATTGTGCAACTGCCACCTGTATGTAACATTTTCACCATCCCAAAATGCATCATTTTACTTTCAACTTTGGATCCTACGTGAGTCCCTAACCGACAGCATATATCCCTTATCTTACATACAAAGTATACCTTATCTTAAATGCTTGGGACAGAGGTATTTCAGATTTTGGATCTTTTCAAATTTTGGAACATTTGTGGTCATCTCATATATGCAGATGATTGGTTCTAAGACACCCGCCCCCTGCAATGTGTACCAAAATTCACGCATACTCAAGTCTCAAAGTTGGCCCTGCAGAACCCACATTTATAAAAGTCAGCTCTCCGTATACATGGGTTTTGAATCCCACGAGTACTATATTTTCAATTCACATTTGGTTGAAAAAAATCTGCATATAAGTGGACCTGCATGATTCAAACACATCTTGTTTTAAGGCCAACCGGACTCACCAGTTGAGCTTCCATAATCCAAAAATATGAAATCCAAAATACTTCAATGGGCATTTATTTTGAACATCATGTAGGCACTCAAAAATTTTCAGATTTTGGAGCATTTTAGATTTTGGACTTTTGGATTAGGGATATTCAACCCGTAGTTGGTCATACTTTTAAAAATGTATTCTGTCAGTCTCTCTTTTAATTGGTGAGTTTGATCCCTTTTCATTTACAGTAATTTCTGTTAAGGAAGGATTTACTTCTGCCACTTTGCTGCTGGTTTCTGTATGTCTTACACCTTTTTTCCTCCTCAGTTCCTCAAATATTGCCTTTTTTTGTTTCTTTGATTTAATTTTTAGTGTACTGTTTTGATTCCCTTCTCATTTTCTTTTCCTGCACATTTCTTTTTGTTATTTTCTTAGTGGTTACCATGGGAATTACAATTAACACCCCACATTTATCACAATGTAGTTTGAATTTATACCAACTTAGCTTCAAAAGCACACAAAAACTGCTTCTGAATAGCTTCCTTCCCAGCTTTATGTTGTTATTGTCACAAATTATCTCTTCCTACATTGTATGCTGTTAACATAGATTTATAATTATTGTTTTATGCATTTGTCTTTTAAATCATATAGAAGACAAAAGGAGGAGATACAAACCAAAGCTACAATACTGGGTTTTATATTTACCTATGTAGTTAATTTTACTGAAGTTCTTTATTTTCTTGTATGGCTTCTGGTTACTGTTTAGAATTTCAGCCTCAATGACCTGCATTTCAGCCTGTCACCTTTAGCATTTCTTACAGAGCTTGTCTACTAGTGACAAACTCCCTCAGCTTTTGCTTCTAAGGGGATGTCTTAATTTTGGCTTCATTTTCAAAGGATAGTTTTGCCTGATACAGAATTATTGGTTGACAGTTATTTTTCTTTCAGCACATTAAATACATCATCCCACTGCCTTCAGGCCTCCATGGTTTCTGGTGAAAAACTGCTGTTGATCTTATTGACGATCTCAAGTACAAGATGAATTGCCTCTCTCTTGCTGCTTTCAAATTTCTGTCTTTGGCTTTTGATGGTTTGATGATAATATGTCAGCATGGATCTCTTTGAATCAATTCTACTTGGAGTTAGTTGAGCTTCTTGGATATGTATATTCATGTCTTTCATCAAATTTGGGATAGTATTGGTCAGTATAACTCTATACATGATTTCGTCAGCTTCCTCCTGGAAAGCCAGTCTCGCCCAAAGGTGCTAAAACAGGGTTCCTCTTTGCACTGGTTTCTCAAGGAACCACCAGACAGCTCAAAACACACAGCCACAGTTTTTTGAAAACAAGATCCATACTGCCCCCTGGTACCACCACATCTCACCAGGAACTTAGGCCACCAATCCTGTAGCTGCTGTTGAACTGGGGAATGGGGAATAATAGGTGGGCAAGCAAAAACCACAGAATGTCTTTTAACCAAAATTTAGCATTCTCTTTCTCAATTTAGCACCCCCTGGTTACTGCTGATTTTTAAAATTAGACTACAGAATCCCAGAACAGTCACTTCTGTCCATTTTTGTCAGCTTACTTGTTACTTCAGTGGAGGGACAGATCCTTGGAGCCACCTGCTCTGTGATTTCCATGTCACTACTCGACCTGATGGAGTCTTTGGCCCACTTGGAAGAAGTACCCCTTTGACAGACCTTTTCGCATCCTGCCCACATCCCAGTTGCCCACCCTGTGCCTCCCTTCAGCTCTGCAGGGCAGCTCCCATCTATGCTGATGGCTCCAGCCTTAAGCACCTGCCTTGGTCTGTCTGAGCTAAGCAGCACACTAGCCCACACCCAGGGCAGGCCAGGGCTGCTCAGGAGTTCACCTCTTCAGAGAGCAAGGGATGGGAGTCAATGGATAGAGACCCCTGATTCTTTGACCCTCAGACGATTCAAGGCACATCCCACATGCCTCTCAGAGGGTCTCCGGCAGTGTCGGGCCCCGGCCGTCCACACTGGTGGTTTGTGCATGTACTTCATGGCTTCCGCCCTTCTCAGGCTTACTGTCCCGTTCTCTCACTTGGCTTCTGGGATCATCCTCCAAATAAATTACTTGTACCCACATCCTTACTGCAGGATGTGATTTTGTGGACAAAAGTAACCTCTGCCTTAATTCTTCAAAGTGTTGAATCCCACAGTGGTGACACCATCCCTGTGGCTGCTGGCCTAACTGATGTAAATGGCTCAGTCCACAGGGCCCTTACACAGATGGCCCAGGCAGCCGGTGGAGGATCATCCTGTTCCTGCAAGCTTACGTGCCCTCAGGAGCTGCTGTGGGCCTTCACATCTGGGCTGCATGCTGATAACAAAGCCTCTCACTTGTTTCCAGATGCATCAACATGGTGACATGCAGAGTCTTTATTTTGGGACAAAAATAGGCATCCATGAAATGGTGTGAACAAATAACTATTCTTGGCCTCAGTGATTTCATTCAGTGCATAAACAGTATTTTTCCTGCTGAATTTCCAGGATTGAGGAAACTCTTGTCTCTCAGGACCAGCTGGATTTTACTTTTTTTTTTTTAGTGTCTTCTCAAACGCAGAAAGAGCTACAAAACTCCCATGAGGCATGGGCCAGCTGAAGAGGCTTCAGACAGTTGCTTTGGTTGTTTCACAAGACTAGAAAAGTGTGGTTGCTTCTTGCCTCCAGACCGTATTATCCTGCCTCACCATCAGCTGTTTCTGCCACCTCAAGACAAGAGGCAAAGTGGGAAAGAGAAGTTTGAAACCAGGAGCTTCTAAGTTTGCCTGAGTCTTCAAGGGCCAGATTAGGAATCTTTAGCCACCAGGCTCACACTGTCGGAACTGAGAGGTGGGACAGCTGAACAGAAAGGCAGAATCTTCCAGAACCTGGACTGGGCCCAGCAAGCAGGGTAGGGATGTCCAGGAAGGGGGAAGGCACCCAGCTTGGCTCCTGAGAATGCCCCAGCTGTTGGTGACCCGTCGTCTGATGGGACAACTGAAGCCAGGAAGTGGTGTGGCTGGACTTGCTCTTTAGGAAGCAGACTTTGTGGAGGTGGGAAGGCGGCATTGTCCAAGCTGGAGGCGGCATTGTCCAAGCTGGAGGTGGCATTGTCCAAGCTGGAGGTGGCATCATCCAAGTTGGAGGTGACATCGTCCAAGCTGGAGGCGGCATCGTCCAAGCTGGAGGCGGCATCGTCTGACTTGGAGGCGGCATCGTCCAAGCTGGAGGCGCCATTGTCTGAGGTGGAGGCGACATTGTCCAAGTTGGAGGTGGCATTGTTCGAGTTGGAGGCGCCATTGTCCGAGTTGGAGACGGCTTTGTCTGAGTTGGGAACGGCAGGTTCAGGGGCCAGGTCACTGAGCGGGAGAAGAGTGAATGGGTTGGAGAAACATCCACGGGGAAAGATACATTGATTTGTCAGACGCCAGGATGGAGGAGCAGTAGGATGGAAGGGCCTTCAGAGGCAGGCGGGGGGTCTTCGGGACACACGGGGTCAGTGTGCCCATGGGGGTTGGCCGGGAGCAGCTAGCAGGCGGAGGCTGTGAGTCTGGAAGGAGAACCCAGTGCAGGTGGGGATGTGGCTGCTGCGAATGGGTGGGGTTGAAACCATGAGGGCTCATGAGGTCACTCTGGCAGGAGGTGCCTGGGGAGGGAGGAGTCAGCCCTGAACACCCAGCACTGGGGCCTCCGCATCCCTGCACGGATCCCTGCTCTGTCTCTGACCTCTCACCGTGTTCCTCCCACACTAAACACATCTCCATCTCACACAGGGGCTGGTCCGAGGCCTGACTCGGTGAGAGCAGGAAAATGGGTAGAGAGGCAGAGTGCTCCAGCTGGAGCAGATGAGCGATCATGGTGGGGTCACAGCACTGGGAGCTGCACAGGCTCCATTCGGCACGGTGTTTATTTCAGAGTCTCTGTTTACTGTATAAATACTAGGCAGGATTCAGGAGTTGTGGACTGTGGACTGTGTAGTCTGTGTTGTAGACAATGCCTGCCCCCCAAGAAGCATGCTGCTTCCCAGCTGATGAGCAAGGGCAGAGCTGGCCAGGTGCGGCTGCCTGTCCCAACAGCCCCTTGGCTTAGAGAAGAGAGGGGCACAGCTCTCATCCATGCACGTGGACCTGCTGGACAGTGGTCACTGGCCTGGTGACTAAAAACAACTCCCTTCTCAGGACTTTTGCCTCTATTTTGGTGTTCCAGCCTCTGTGGACATAGTTTGACCCTCTTAAGACTATTTCTAATCAACATGTCTAGGGATGCTTCTGATTTAAATGTTATGCTTTCAAACAATTATTATATTTGCAGCAGTGCGGATGCTTGCAGGAAGCTTTTTCCATGAAACTTTTTTAAAAAGAAGAATTTTCCAATAGATCCTTTTCTCACAAACTTAGGTTTCTCTCGATAAACACATATTTGTGCCACTTAACACATTAATTCAAATGAATTGCTCTACCCTGCATTGTATTGATTCCAAGGTTCAGTCAGTGGTGGGAGTGGTACCGCCCCCGCTTGGGTGGTGGGCTCCACTGACCGAGACTGCTGGGCCGTGTGTTGGTTAAGCTGGACATGACCGTGGGGGCAGGCTGGCGTTCGCGACGAACCATGCTCAATCTTTGTCAAATGCCGTTAGAATCCTTTTCTGTGGCAAGGAAAGAGAGTTCCGCCTTCCTTCCCTGTGAAGGTGTTTGCTGCATGAAGGCCGGGCATCTGGAGCCTGTCCTGGGCTCGGAGTGTCTGTAATTGAAGTGATAGCAGCTTTTGATACTTACTGGAAATGTCAAATGAAGCCCAGTGCTCCCTTAGAAACATTGGTTTAAAACCCTTACAACGTGGAGAAAAGTGGCAGAGGAAGAACAAGATTGTCTGAATGGATTTAGTTAAAAACACATAAAAAGATGAACTACCAGAAAAATAATAGGGAGTCAAAACAGATACAAAAACACTAAAAGGGGATGGTGTAGTGATCAACTTGACCCTTAGACACCTGCGGCCTCTGTGAACTTCCATCTTCCTGAAAGGAGACAGGAGCTTGACCCAGGGAGGCTGAGCCGGGCCTTCCATGGAATGGCACTTCCTCAGCAGAGGAGGCGGGGGCTTCGGTGTCCTAGAGGGGCCTTGGCGTCAGGGTAGGGAGCGCTTGGCCTCTGGGAGCTTTGGCATCTGGGGAGGACTTCAGTATCCTGGGGGTGGGGGGCTTCCTTGGCATCTTGGGAGGGGGTTTCAGCATTTGTGGAGGACTCAGTCTGGGGATCCTCCATGTTGAGGGAGTCTGGGCATCTGGGGTGGGTGTCTTGGTGTCCAGGGCCTCCTCGGAACCAACAGGTCCAGGAGCAGGGATGGGGCGGAGGTGGGGGCTGAAGCTGGTGCTGTGCTGAGCCAGCAGATGCTTCCTGTGGAGACATTGTTGGATTTCAAGGGCAGGAAGTGATTCTGTTGGCTGTCACTGAATTTAAAGGGTGTAGCCTTTGTCTAAGTCGGCCATTCAGAAAGGACCGTCTGGGGCATGGGAGGGGGCATGGGAAGTCCCTGAGACCCTCTGGGGGTCCGCAGAGTAAGACATTTTCCTAGCAAAGCCCCAAAGTTCTTTGCCTGTTTATCCTCTGGTGAGATTCTGCATCGCTTCCCCAGGCTGTGAGATGTGCGAGGATGCGGCTTCGAGGCTAGTGGAATGTGTGTTGTGTGTTCTTGGGTCTCGAGAACTCCTCCTTTGAATTTTGGAGCAGTGAATAGTGGTAGCTACAGTTATGAATGCAAAGGCTTCCTGGGGCCAAATTTTTAAGCCTGAAGATGCTGGGAGCACCAGGCCCGGCCCTCCTGCTGTGCACACCTGCTGCCCATCACAGAGCTCGGCTCTTGCAGATCCTCGTCAAGTGAGGGCATGGAAATGCCAGGGATGGGAGACGGTGTGTTTGACTTTGGGAGTGAAGCATGGAGACCCAGGGCCCAGTTAGGCCACAGTGATTCAGGCTACGCAGATGAAGGTGGCTGGGGTGGCACCAGTGGGAATGAAAAGGAAGGACAAGGTTGAGCCCCTGCCACTGCCTGTCATCAGAGATGGCAGGAGGATGACTGATAACCAAGCCCTCCTTCCTAGAAAAGGTGGGGGCAGTTCTCCGTGAGCACAGGGTTGTGGGGGTGTGATCTGGGGAAAGACAGTGAGGGACTGGGAGGGGATACACATCATTTTTAGACACTTGCGATGTACAGGTGAACGCGGAGAAGTTGGGGTCTGGAGCTGGTGGAGTCATATTCCACCAGCTCCCAGTCTCAATGAGAGGATTCTCTGATCATCGCTCCTGCTTGACATCTGAAAAAGAACTCATTTGCATACTTCCCAAGAGTATTACCCCAGCAGCATTTTGTGTCTGTAAAGATATAAACATTCTGTGGGAGCATTTTCAGGACATTCGCTGAGGCTGCCTGACTCCCCACACCAACACCTGCTGTGCAGTCAGAAGTCACAGTGAGGTGACACGCAGCCCTCAGATGCGGGAGCAAAACTAGGGTGAAGGCTGAGGACCCCACCGTGGGCTCTGAGCTGGGAGCGGCCAGGGGCCAGGTGCTGCTTTTGTGGTGCCTCAAGATCACCTCCTCTGGAAAGGCGTGCCGAGGACTCCCGTGTGTGGAGGGTGGGCCGAGGACCCCTGTGTGTGGAGGGTGGGCCGAGGACCCCTGTGTGTGGAGGGTGGGCCGAGGACCCCTGTGCGTGTGGAAGGCATGCTGAGGACCCTCGTGTGTGGAGGGTAGGCCAAGGACTCCCATGAGTGAAGGTGCACTGCAGACCCCCATGTGTGGAGGGTGGGCCGAGGACCCCCGTGTGCGAAGGTGTGCTAAGGACCCCCATATTTGAAGGTGTGCTGGGGACCCCCGTGTGTGGAGGGTGTGCCGTGGACCCCTGTGTGTTGCTGCAGGGGACCAACCACTTAGCAAAAGTCCTGCAGAGAGCGCTGTGTCCTGTGAGGAGATGGGCACTCAGCCTGGCCACACAGTGAGGCTTGAGCATGGAGATTAGGTGGTGAAGGTGGGCAGAGGCCTCTGGGAGGGCTATTGGGAGGGAGACCTTGGCAGCAGCTGGCCACATGCTGACCCCACTCCATGCAGAGCCCAGCATAGGGAGTGTGGCTGGCTCTGGGAGACCTGCACTTTCAGGATGGTCCTAGCCCTGATAAAAATTACAGAGATCTTTTATACACATGCATGGACGTATGTCCCTGCACAGATGGCCAGGAGCCCCTCTCTGCTAACTCTTACACAGTGGCTTGCTGTGGCTGCTCTGGTTTCAAGTACCCAGAGACCTGGGTCTACTGAAGAATCGCTTGCAGTGTCATGGGGGAGGGAGTTAGATTTGCAGTGTCACGGAGGGGGGAGGGGGTTATATTTGCAGTGTCATGGTGGGGAGGATGTTAGATTTGCAGTGTCATGGGGGAGGGTGTTAGATTTGCAGTGTCATGATTGAGAGGGTGTTAGATTTGCAGTGTCACAGGGGAGGGTGTCAGATTTGCAGTGTCGTGGTGGGGAGGGTGTTAGATTTGCAGTGTCACAGGGGAGAGTGTTAGATTTGCAGTGTCGTGGTGGGGAGGGTGTTAGATTTGCAGTGTCATGGTGGGGAGGGTGTTAGATTTGCAGTGTCATGGGGGAGAGTGTTAGATTTGCAGTGTCGTGGTGGGGAGGGTGTTAGATTTGCAGTGTCGTGGTGGGGAGGGTGTTAGATTTGCAGTGTCACGGGGGAGGGTGTTAGATTTGCAGTGTCACGGGGGAGGGTGTTAGATTTGCAGTGTCACGGGGGAGAGTGTTAGATTTGCAGTGTCGTGGTGGGGAGGGTGTTAGATTTGCAGTGTCACGGGGGAGAGTGTTAGATTTGCAGTGTCACGGGGGAGAGTGTTAGATTTGCAGTGTCGTGGTGGGGAGGGTGTTAGATTTGCAGTGTCACGGGGGGGTGTTAGATTTGCAGTGTCATGGGGGGGCGTTAGATTTGCAGTGTTGTGGGGGAGAGTGTTAGATTTGCAGTGTCACTGTGGGGAGGGCATTAGATTTGCAGTGTCATGGGGGAGGGTGTTTGATTTGCAGTGTCATGGTGGGGAGGGTGTCAGATTTGCAGTGTCATGGGGCAGGGCGTTAGATTTGCAGTGTCACGGGGGGGCGTTAGATTTGCAGTGTCTTCGGGGAGAGTGTTAGATTTGCAGTGTCACGGTGGGGAGGGTGTTAGATTTGCAGTGTCACAGGTGAGGGTGATAGATTTGCAGTGTCACTGGGGAGGGTGTTAGATTTGCAGTGTCACAGGGGAGGGCGTTAGATTTGCAGTGTCACAGGGGAGGGTATGAGATTTGCAGTGTCAAGGGGGAGGGTGTTAGATTTGCAGTGTCACAGGAGAGGGCATTAGATTTGCAGTGTCACAGGGGAGGGCATTAGATTTCTGTAACAGTGAGAATTTCTAGGCTTCTTCATTTCTTAATTTCAGTATTTCAATGTCACAGAGTCAACTGTTTATAACTTTGCCTCTTGATGGCACAAAAAAGAGTTTGCTTTGAAAGTAAGGAGCACAGACCTTATAAAATTTAATAATAACACTAGGAAGGGGAGAGAAAAGAATCTGCACTGAGGCTTCAGAAAGGAGCCGGGGCTGAGTTATAACCAAGTTCTGAACACCACCATCGCTGACAGACCACTAGATGGGAACTCTGAGGATGATGCCCAGAAGGAAATGTGCAGAGAACATGTCCCTCAGGACCTGGACTGGAACTCTTGACAGGGGCTCATGGTCATACCAACGGGGGCCTCTCTGCTCTCAACTGCCCATGCAGCGACGCCTTCCTCCACTCAGGTCCTCCCTGCTCTCTGCTGCCCATGCGGCGACACCTTCCAGGACCTGGGTACTCCCTGCTCTTCCCCGCCTGTGCAGTGATACCTTCCTGGACCTGCTTAGTTCATTCAGGAAGCATTGCCTCCACTCTGCTCTGTGCTGAGGTCTCACAGGCCAGAGACCTGTGGCATTTGTAGACACATACGTAGCAACCTTCTCCTTCTCGGGTGCCCAGTACCCAGCCAAATGCACCTATCCAAGGGCCTAGCAAAACCAACTGCTAGGCAAACACATCTTAAAAGCCCTGGTATTAACACAGGTTGTAAGATATGCCAGAGGGAAGCTGGACTGAGGAGTTCTGAGGCCAACTCTGTCTGTCTGGTGCTGAGTTTCAGTAGACACTGGACGATGGGGTTGAGGCCTCAGGGCCTCACCTTTGCTAACCCAACATTATGGGTTTTGGCAAATTAGGTTCATATGCAGATGATGGCCCCACTGGGGATGTGGCTGTGTCCACAGGGTGAATCCTGGCACTTGGTGAGCTCCACCCACAACACACAGCACTGAGAGTGACCTGGTCTGCAGATGGCTGTCCAGCTCTCCTCTCCTGCAGCCAGAGGCCTGGTCTCTAGAGCAGCTCTGTTCTAGCACTTTCTGTGGCAACAGAATGGCCCACATGTGTGCTGTCCTGCAGGACAGCCACCAGCCCCTGTGGCCGCTCAGTGATGGAAACCTTGCTAGTGAGACAGGAGACCTGCGTGCTTTATTTTATCTTATTGTAATTCAGAATTTGGATACTGGAAACCTCGCTATTGAGGTGGGGACCTGCGTGCTTTACTTAACTTTATCTGACTGTAATTCAGAATTTGCGTGCTGGAAACCTTGCTATTGAGGTGGGGACCTGCGTGCTTTGCTTTACTGTATCTGACTGTAATTCGGAATTTGGGTGCTGGAAACCTTGCTGTTGAGGTGGGGACCTGCATGCTTTACTTTACTTTATCTGACTGTAATTCGGAATTTGGGTGTGAGTTGATGTGGCTGCCACCATGCACAAGGCACTGCAGGGGCTCGTAGCCCGTGTGGATCATGGACAAGAAGTTTGCTCTGATGCTCCCAAAGAGCCCCACTCCTTACTTCAGCACTGATATGAGCATCTTGACACCGGCAGGTTGTTTTCTGTGGGCCACTCCGGTAGATTTAAAACCCTCCCTTTTACTGCCAGGGTTGGATCATCCTACATAAGCACCAACACCCCAAAGGGTGGTTCTTTTTACTCAAAAACAATCATGCTTAGTGTACTACAAGGACAATGTATCTTTGATATTAAAGAGAATTTTTGGAAAAGAGCTTCCTCAAATCTCATCAGTTTAATGCAACTTAAACACGTCACATTTAATTTGTCTATGTGGTAAGACTAATAGTAAAAATTGAGGTCTTCAGTGCAAAGCAGATCTGGGTTCACATCTTGCCTTTGGGTGTTGTTGTGTGACCCTGAGCAGACAGGCAGCCTCCCTGGGCCTCTCCTTCCCATCTGCAGAGGGTGGGCAGTGGTCTGCACGTGGCATGGCTGGGCCTGCAGGTCTGCTTATAGTGTCTACCCCTCACATCCGGCCCTCTCCTGTGTCCCTGCTGAGCAGCAGCTCAAGAACCTTTCAGCAGGATCCCCAGGGCAGAAGCAGGTGCCTCTGAGAGCTGGCAGGGATGACACTGCAGGCATGTGCAGCTGTCCCATGGCTGACGCTCCTGTGCGATGTCTCCCCTGCATCTCCACTGCAGTTCAGATGTAATTTCCAACCAGTGGGTGCTGCAGTTTTTCTGAGACAGCCAACTATTCAAAGCAAAGGAAACCTTTCATAAAGTGTAATCTGTGCGTGCATTTGGCAGCACCATGCGGGGGGCCCACTTCGAGGTGACCTCCTCTCACCAGAGCACTGTGCCCTGCAGTGGGTGGCTCTTAGCTTTGAACAGCCGGGGTTCACATTGTGCAGAAAAACATACTTAGATGGCCCCACCATGCACTCTGCTTCAGATCTGAGTGGCTCCGCATGCCACATTGCTTCTAATTTCCAGCTTGACATTGTCAAAGGAAAATAAAACAACAGAGAGAGAGATGGGGAACATGTCACATAGTCACGAAGATTCCCATCACAGGGGTTGCAAATGGTGCTACTGAACAGACTGTCCTGGGGCTCACGTCACTAGGCACAAGGGGATGGGTGACGAGCAGATTGCAGATACGCAGGACTGTTCAGACAGACTCTGTGGTGTCTTTGTAAATATGAATCCATTCATCCTTTTCTAGCTCTTTAGGCCAACAGGCAGTTGGCCTTTCCAGGCCCCGGCTCAAGCCAAAACTCAGAGAGGCCGCACCCGCTCTCAGCAGCTGGTGAGAGTCCGGGGCAGAACCTTTGCACTGAAGAGCCCCTGCCTGGCTTTTTAAGCGGCTTCTCCTGGGTGGGAAAGGTGGAGCGGCCGCACTCGGGAGCGCTATTGTGAGAGACATGAAGCCACACCGCACACGGCTTTATTCTCTCATCCGATGCTGAGTGTCTTCTCTGTGCCTGACAACAGCGGCTTAGTAGTAGCTGATGCGATCTGCTCCAGACATCAAGGGCTTGCCTATTCCCGCACCTTTCATTTCTTCAGTGAATTGCTCCAGTCCCCACGTGCTCAGTTAGACGGAAATTCTGTATCCACCTTCAAAACCTTCCTCTTCCTTTCCCCAGCACAGCTTACTTTGGGTAAATAAGCAAAAGCTGTTTTTCTAGGTGGTCCAGCCCCGTGTGGACCTTTACTCACCTATGTGTGCCAGCTGCAAGTTCACGTGGTCACTCGGGCTAAGGACCCACCACAGCCATGCTCACGGCAAGTTCCAGGTGCCCAGATGCAGAAGGAGCATAAAGATATTGTCAGACCCACGGTGTTCAGGGGTCCGGAGGGCTTCCCAGAGAAGGTGGCCCAGGCCAAGTCTGGGAGATGAAGAGAAATTGCCCCAGTGAAGGGGGTTGACATGCGGGTGAGAGGGGCAGGCAGAAAGACATTCTACAAGAGAAAAAATACTTTTTACAGAATATTGCAGAAAGAATACTTTTTACAGATGAGAAAGAGGCTATGTTTAGGAAAATTCCCATGACTGGCCATGGCGGAAAGACAGGGGAGAGGTGGGAAAATGGCATGAATGACCGAAAGGATGGCCTCATACACTCCCTGCGAACTTGAAAATTCTCCAGAGGGCATGAGGAGCCTCTGAAGAGCTTTGCACAGGGCTGCACATGTGTTCAGACCTGCACTGTAGAACCCCACCCTGGCTTCCGAGTGGAGGAGACACGGGAGGTGTCAGACCTGCACTGTAGACCCCCACCCTGGCTTCCGAGTGGAAGAGACACGGGAGGTGTCAGACCTGCACTGTAGAACCCCACCCTGGCTTCCGAGTGGAGGAGACACGGGAGGTGTCCGACCTGCACTGTAGACCCCCACCCTGGCTTCCGAGTGGAGGAGACACTAGAAGTGAGATTGAGTGGTGCTCGGGAGAACAGGGAGAGGTGGTGGGAATCCAGGAGACAGAGGTGCCTCCGTGGAAGAGAAACAGGTGGGGTGGCCAGAGAGCTACAGGGAGGATGCTCGCGGGGCCTGGTGGAGTGAGGGACACAGGCAGAGGGGAGGAATGAGCCCAGTAGAGTCTGGTTTGGGATGTCGTGTGAACGTGACAGGGGCACAGAGCCCATAATCGATAGCATCTCGTCACCTCAAGAAAGCAGAGAGCTTCGGCTCAGTCAGTCTCAGTCTTCTCTAACTAGTTGAGGCAAAATCAATTCAGACCTCCAGTGGCAGCAGTGAAGCTCAGTGAGAAAAAATTCAAGCATCTTGTACTAGAGAACCATGGCAGGGAGGGAAAGTGGGGAGAATGTGTCTGCATTTGCTGTAGTCATACACCTACGATCGGTTCACTTTCGGATTGCGAAGCACACAGGACAGAATGGCGTTGCTGCACCATGAGGATGGCTAGACCCCCCTGAGGGAGCGACACAGATGCTGAAGATGTCTAAACCCCCCCTGAGGGAGCGACACAGATGCTGAGGATGGCTAGACACCCCTGAGGGAGCGACACAGATGCTGAGGATGGCTAGACCCCCCTGAGGGAGCGACACAGATGCTGAGGATGGCTAGACCCCCCTGAGGGAGCGACACAGATGCTGAGGATGGCTAGACCCCCCTGAGGGAGTGACACAGATGCTGAGGATGGCTAGACCCCCCTGAGGGAGTGACACAGATGCCGATGCCTCCCAGGGAGCTCCAATTTTAAAAGCAAGGAGTGGACTGTCACCAGGTTCCTGTGATGTACCCGCCAATGTTCATCTTGCAGTCCAAAATTGCTAAACATGTTAAGAAACAGGACATTAGGACCCATAAAGAAGAGAAAAGAAAGTCCCAATGATACAGACACTGAAATCAACCAGACAAGGACTTAACAACAATTCCAGATCTGTTCAAGAACGTAAAGGGAAAGACGGAGAAGAGGGGACACGTGGGAACCTCAGCAGAAAGATGGAGGCCGTGCAGAAGAACCACGTGTAGATTTTAGAAAGGAGAGCTTGTAAGATGGGAAATTCACTGCATGGGCTTTACAGCGGATCAGAGACTGCAGAAGAATGAATTGGCAAACTTGGAACAGATGCACAGAAATGATCGCATCTGAAGGACAGAGAAAAATGCCAGAAACAAAAAAGAGCCCAGGTGGCCTCTAGGACAAAGTCAAGTGGTCTGACCCACGTGACAGTTCCAGAAGATGAGCCAAGAAAGGTGGGACACAAAAAAAGAAGAATTAATATTCAAAACCAGCAACCCTACCCACCCTCCACCTGGTGAAAAAGAAGAAGCTCAGAGAACCCCAAGCAAGTTAAGTGCAAAGAAAATTAACATAAGCACATTTGTAGTCAAATTGCTAAAATACCAAAGATAGAAAATCTTAACAGCTGGGAGGAGAGACGTTACATTCCCAGGAGCAATGATATGCATGAGGACTGACTTCATTCTTCACTAGAAACAGCAGAAACCAGGAGACAATTTGACAACTCTTTAAGGTTCTGCAAGGGAGAAAACAAAAGCCCAGAGTTCTATCTCCAGCAAAAACATGTTTCAGCATAAGGGTGAAAGAAACCTGCTTTCGTGCCAGCCCATCCCGAGAGAATCTGCCATGTTAGACCTGCACTGTACAAAATGCTGCGGACCTCTTCTGACTGATGGGAAATCACAGCAGTTGGAGACCCAGGTCCACAGGAAGGATGAAGAACCCAAGAAATGGCAGCAGACTGAGAGCTTCTGGAGGAAGTGAGACAGCCCTGCAGGCTCTGGGAAGCAGGAGGTCCAAGGCCGGATGCTTTGCTCATCATCGCCAAGTGAAGAGTCCCTGTGGCAGAGCAAAGATCAGGTCAGAGTGGAAATTAAACAAATGTGATTCTTTTAAACAAGTAAAAATTGAAGTGGAGTGTTCTATACTATAGTGGGAAAAAATTCTACAAGCCAGAGGCTTCCAGTCAAATGTGCAAATGCTATCGAGGTGAGCCGATGTGCCAGTTGACTCATACTGGTTCAGATTTTCTTTCCCTCTCTCTGCTCCCATGGCTTTGTTGAAGGCGCATAAAAGATAAGTTGCCCACACTTGGCATCTGTAGCCATGAATACTGAAATCTTCTCACATTGGAAATTCTTTATGTTAAAGTCAAATCAATTCTTAGTACTACTTGATTCAGATAAGAATCATTGATGCTAAAATGAGCGGCCGATATTCTGGAGAACCACAGAATAGCTCTCACCACAAGATAGGATCAGAAGAAAACAGCATTCACGGTGCAGAAACCAGGCAGGCAGCGCTTAACAAGTGATACCAGTGAACGTCACCAGCGGCAAGATGGATCCGCACACGTGCCCTTGAGCTGATGCACAAAGAACACAAAAGATGATGTCCCTGGTGTTCTCGACAAAGAGCAAAACCCAGTCTATTCCTGAGGCAGCCACGGTATACCAGCCAAGGAGCATGGTGCAAAGTGACTCACCCCTACTTTAAAAATGCAAATCAGTGACTCACCCCTGCTCTAAAAATGTCATTTAGAGTGACTCACCCCTCCTCTAAAACTGTCAATCAGGGTGACTCATCCCTCCACTAAAACTGTCAATCAGAGTGACTCATCCTTCCTCTAAAACTGTCAATCAGAGTGACTCACCCTTCCTCTAAAGCTGTCAATCAGAGTGACTCACCCCTCCTCTAAAACTGTCAATCAGAGTGACTCACCCCTCCTCTAAAACTGTCAATCAGGGTGACTCATCCCTCCACTAAAACTGTCAATCAGAGTGACTCACCCCTCCTCTAAAAGTGTCAATCAGAGTGACTCACCCCTCCTCTAAAACTGTCAATCAGGGTGACTCATCCCTCCACTAAAACTGTCAATCAGAGTGACTCACCCCTCCTCTAAAACTGTCAGTCAGAGTGACTCACCCTTCCTCTAAAACTGTCAGAGTGACTCACCCTTCCTCTAAAGCTGTCAATCAGAGTGACTCACCCCTCCTCTAAAACTGTCAATCAGAGTGACTCACCCCTCCTCTAAAACTGTCAATCAGAGTGACTCACCCTTCCTCTAAAACTGTCAGTCAGAGTGACTCACCCTTCCTCTAAAGCTGTCAATCAGAGTGACTCACCCCTCCTCTAAAACTGTCAATCAGAATGACTCACCCTTCCTCTAAAACTGTCAATCAGAGTGACTCACCCCTCCTCTAAAACTGTCAATGAGTGACTCACCCCTCCTCTAAAACTGTCAATCAGAGTGACTCACCCTTCCTCTAAAACTGTCAATCAGAGTGACTCACCCTTCCTCTAAAACTGTCAATCAGAGTGACTCACCCCTCCTCTAAAACTGTCAATGAGTGACTCACCCCTCCTCTAAAACTGTCAGTCAGAGTGACTCATCCCTCCTCTAAAAATGCCAGTCAGACTGACTCACCCCGCCACTAAAACTGTCAATCAGGATGACTCACCCCTCCTCTAAAACTGTCAGTCAGAGTGACTCACCCCTCCTCTAAAACTGTCAATGAGTGACTCACCCCTCCTCTAAAACTGTCAATCAGAGCGACTCACCCCTTCTCTAAAACTGTCAATCGGAGTGATTCACCCCTCCTCTAAAACTGTCAATCAGAATGACTCACCCTTACTCTATAAATGTCAGTCAAAGTGAGTCACTTCTCTAAAGCTGTCCATCGGAGTGACTCATCCCTCTTCTAAAACTGTGAGTGACTCACCCCTCCTCTAAAACTGTCCGAGTGACTCACCCCTCCTCTTAAACTGTCAATCAGAATGACACTCCTCCTCTAAAGATGTCAATCAGAGTGACTCACCCCACTCTCAAACTGTCAGAATGACCCAACCCTACTGTAAAACTGTCAGAGTGACTCACCCTACTCTAAAAATGTCCAAGTGACTCACCCCTACTCTAAAACTGTCAATCAGACTGACTCACCCCTCCTCTAAAACTGTCAATTCAAGTGAGTCACCCCTACTCTAAAAATGTCAAAGTAAGTCACCTCTAATCTGAAACTGTCAATCAAAGTGACTCACCCCATTCTAAAGTTGTCACTATCACAAAGACCAAGAAAGACTGAACTGAAGGATTTTCTAAATTGAAGGAGGCTAGAGAGACATGACGTCGGTATGCAGGGCCTCATGTGGGCATTTATTTTGTTCTAGAAATGTTCTTGGGAGAAGTAGACAAATCGTGTAAGTTCTGTTGATTAGATATTAGTACCATATCAGTGTGAATTTTTGGTTTTCATAACTGTACTCTCATTATGTAGGAGAATGCCTTTGTTTTTAGGAAATAAGCACTGAAGTATTTAGAACTAAGGGAAAATCATGTCCATAAGTTTCTCTCAAATAGTTCAGAATAATAAAGCACAAATATCAGTGTAAATATAAATATAGAGAGAGATTTTGCAGGTGAGAGTAAAGCCTAAAATGTTACCATTTGGAGAATCGGGTGACGAGTGTCTGAGATTCTTGTATGATAGTCTTACAACTTTTCTATAAATCTGACGTATGTTAAAATAACATATTTTTAAAGGGGGGAGGGGAAGCAACTTAGAGTAACAATAGAAAGCCATGACCAACCTAAAATAATTTCTCCTGGCGGTGGTAGAATCCCAATTTTGTGCACATGCTCATGCTCAGGAGAAGCTCTGCCATGTTGCCCCGCCCTGCACGGCAGCCGTAATTCCTACTGAAGCCCAGACCGCAGTCTATGCTAAGCTCTAGTCATTTATTCAATTTAGCTTACCAAAGCTACACCTCTAACTGTCTCGGTAACTCACTGAAAATGTCCCCTCGTCATGTAAGAGCCAGAGCTTACCTGCATTTTTCTGATGCATTTGTGACTCACTGAGATGCCTCTGAAGCCCCCAGAGGCTTGTGAAACAGTTTTAGAGTTAATGCTCTAGCCCCACACGAAGGCATGTGCCTCCTGAGAACAGGGTTAGATTAAGAATTGAGCTCACATTTCAGTCACTTTTCTTTCAGTGCCTACTCAGCGTGTGATCGGAAGTAGACTGGGTTCCGTGCCTCTGTTGTGCTGACGGCTCTGCTCAGGCCTGATTGGGCCTGCCCTTTCCCGGGCCAAACGCCTCCTCACTGGACCTGCCTGGAAGCAGCAGTGCCCACTGGGGCCCTCACCCCTACCCCAAGAATCCTGCATGAGTCACAATTAATTCTTATTAGCAAGCGACAGAAACCTGGCCTAGGCAGCAAATGTGCTTATGAAAATGTATTAGTTAACTCGTGGAATTGCTGGGACAGCCAGGGAACCAGCTCAGAGCAGCCTGGGAGATGCCAGCCACCCTATCCGTGCGTGGGTGCCCTTCTGCACAATGCCAGGCACCGCAGCTCATGCTGCAGTGCTGGAGCCATGGCTTCTAGAAACCTCGTCTGGCTGCAGCTCCTGCAGCGGCAGAAGGAGTTCTTGACTCAGAGTCTGTGGGAGCCTCTGATCCACAGGAGGCCTGTGCACTGGAGGTGAGACAGGGGAGAGGGCTGCCCTTCAGTGCAGCCTCTTAGCTGCTACAGCGGGAAGCTGGTTCTGCCTCTTGCGAAAAACAAAAAAAAACGAAAAAAAATTATCAAAATGTAGGGAAGGCAATATACATAATTTAGGCAGCCAAAAATAATTTTTAACATTTCCATAAAAATATACATTTCATCCCCAAGCAGCAGTGCCTGTGAGCAGCCTGGGAAGTGTGGCACGCCCACTCCCATGTTGGCTCACCTGTGGGGCTGGTGCCCCAGGAAGCTGCCCGCTTACCTGCCCCAGACCCAGCTTTGCCCAAGGAGGCTCTCAGGAACAGGGATGGTATTGGCAGGGATTTCAGGCACCACCTCAGGGCCAGGGGCAGCAGGAGAAGCAAAGAAAAGAAAGCCCCCCTTGGCACCCTCCGGTGCTCCAGGCAGGGCTGATGGTGCTCACGACGGTCACGTGTGTGTGCTTACAACCCCCTGAGCTTCACACAGGAAATGGAAAACACTTCAGCTGGTGCCAGTGCAGAAACCTGACTCCAGCATCCTGGGAAATGATTGCACCCCACAAAGGAGCTAAAAGCAGCAGCTGAGAGACCCTGAACAGAGACCCCCTCTCAGGAGGCTGCGAATCACGAGGGGCACCAGGAATGTTTTATTATGCAACGTTTGTGATAAAATAAGAGTGAACCAGACTTTCATTGCCATCACTTAACACGCTGTATGCTATTAATATTTTAGAATTGTGGTCAAGTGAACCTGGGGGAGGAGAAGCGTGGGACTTCTAGTTTATAGCTCCCACCCTGGAACCTGCCAGGTGCCCCAAGACACCCCTCTGTGGGCCTCGTGCTATCTCTGCAGGAAGGTTCCGGAAAACATCTTGAGGCAAACTATAAATTGCATTTGTGATGTGATTCAACAGGCTCCGAAAAACAGTGTGCACGATGGCATGATTATTACAGTCTGCGTCACCCAGGCTGAGCGACGGGTGATGGCCCAGAGCTGAGCGTCTGAGCTGGGACGGGTGTCTAGGTCCAGGCTTGGACCCGCTGATGTGGACTGAATTCGCTTCATGCCTGGCCCCAAGGCAGCCAGCGCGTTGGTGGGGGCTGCCTTCAGATTCATTACAATAAGCGTGCCGACCTCCAGTGCCTGGTGTCCCGGGAACACCACCAGTGGGCACTGGGAAAGGTTCTGCATTACAGGGCACTTGGAAAGACTCCCTTCTGGCACCATTCATCTCAACAGCAGCACAGAGCTCCTCACCCCTGTGAGGATGCCGCCCCCACCCGAGGGACAGGGAAGTCTTACAGTAGAGACAGAGGAGGCTGGTGAATGGAGATCAGAGGATTGGGAATAAATTTGATTTAATGAGGGGGAAGACTGCCTGGACCCTGAAAGGAAGATGGGACCAGAGGTGGCAAATGTGGTAAAAGGAGGGGAATTCCAGGGCAAAAACTATGACCAGCCTCTGTTGGGCTGCCAGGCTGCGGCGGAGGCTGTGCTGGGTGGGCGTCTGAGCTTAAGCATGGGAAACGATCCGGTGGCTTCCTCCTAAAAGGAACAAACCGAGGACTGAAGCCCTCAGGAGTCGCGCCAGGGTCTCCCGGTGCTGCAGGAACCCACAGAGGAGTTGACATTTGTGTCTCCTGAATGCCTGTCCAGCATCCCCACCGTAAGGCAGGGTTGCTGAAGGTAGTCAGAGGAGCAGAGAGCGGATGGCAGGCTGCCACGGCGTACTGGGGAAGAGGGGCTGTGGGTTATGGGGAGGGGGTCATGCCAGGGACGACCCTGCCTTCAGCATTTGCTAACGCAGCATGTGTTGACCAGCTGGCTGACACATATGCCAGGGAAACACAAGGGTGGAAGGAATGGTCTCACCGTTTCACTGATCCTTATTTCACAACCTTCAGCAAGACACCTGGCACCCCGGGACCCCACTCTCCTGCCTCTAAAGTGGGCATGTGAGGTTAAACCATCTCCATGTCCCCTCCTGCCCTGACGTTCTGGACGTGGGGTGGCTGCATTCTGAGCATCATCTGCAGCCTGTCCTGCCTTGTGTGCTGCCTTCTGTCCCAGCCCTCTGCCTGGCCTTCTGTGCTGCCCTCCCTCCTGCCCCCTGTCCCACCCCCCCATCCTATCCTCTGCACTGCCCTCTCTCCCACCCTCTGCCCTGCCCTTTCTCCTGCCCTCTATCCCTGTGCCCTGCCATCTGCCCCGCTCTCTCTCCCATCCCTATCTCCCACCCTCTCATCTTCCACCCTCTGCCCCCCTCCCCACCCCACCCCTATCCCGCCCTCTGTGCTGCCCTCTCTTCATAGTCGGAACTTGCACTCCCAGCCCTGGTGCTTCAAACTCAGGTGGTCTCAGATTGATCAGCTTGTGAGAGCCTGGTAGTGACGCTGAGACACGGGGAGTGTCCTGGGTGGCTTCGCAATCTCTTTTACCAAATGTGTTCAGGCAGCCAGTTCCTTTGGGTACAGTGGACCTGGGGGAGCCAGTTGAGGCTTTCCTGAATAGCAGGTCCATCCCACCATCACAAGAAGAGTGTTCAGGGCCTACCATTTTTCTCTTTGGCCCCAGCCCCCTAAACCCAGGGAAAGGAACCAGACCAGTTCTATCTTTCTCAGGGAGGCTGGGTGCATCCTGCTGGCTGTGGGATCTCCAGGCGACCAAGAGCAGAGAGGCCTGATGCCGCCCGCTCTACTAAGGACCACCCAAGCCAGGCAGTTAGTCCCGGGGGCAGCATGGCTGAGTGTGGGCTCTGGGTCGGGTCCTGTATCTGCCTATGGCCCTGCCCTGGTTTTACGGTCTTGGGTGGGCCTCAGAGTCCTCATCTGCACCTTCCTTCTGGATTGTGGTGAGAGTTAAACGTGTGAATTCACATAAAGTGCTGCAACAGTGCATGTTCCCAGTAAGTGCTCTATAAATGCCACCTGTCATGTTCCCAGTAAGTGCTCTATAAATGCCACCTGTCACGTGTCCATTGCCCACAGAGCTCCACAGTCCCTCTAAGCGTCGGGCAGCTCTCCTGACCCCAGCCCTAGTTTGCAAAATGGAGGTAGTGATGTGCACCTCTCTTCTTCATGAATTGCCCACAAGCGTGAATTGTAGACCCTCAGCTGTGAAGGGTGTGCGTAAGAACTCGTAAACATCCCAGTCTGCTCAGCCTGACCTGGTCACAAACCCCAGAGGGTTCACAGCAGAACTCCATGGAAAATGCTGACTCCTGCTTGGAGGTAAAGCACCTGTGCTTTAATAAAACCTCGCTTCCCTCCTGCTTCCCACACACCACACATGCCCGTGTGCACTGAGTGATCCCAGCAGACATGAGGCCTCTGCTCTCAGACGGGTCCCTGGGGCTTCCTGTCTTCGGGGTCCCAGCAGACATGAGGTCTCTGCTCTCAGACGGGTCCCTGGGGCTTCCTGTCTTGGGGTCCCAGAAGACGTGAGGCCTCTGCTGTCAGACGGGTCCCTGGGGCTTCCTGTCTTCGGGGTCCCAGCAGATGTGAGGTCTCTGTTCTCAGAAGGGTCCCTGGGGCTTCCTGTCTTGGGGTCCCAGAAGATGTGAGGCCTCTGCTCTCAGACGGGTCCCTGGGGCTTCCTGTCTTCAGGGTCCCAGCACACGTGAGGTCTCTGCTCTCAGACGGGTCCCTGGGGCTTCCTGTCTTGGGGTCCCAGAAGACATGAGGTCTCTGCTCTCAGACGGGTCCCTGGGGCTTCCTATCTTTGGGGTCCCAGAAGACGCGAGGCCTCTGCTCTCAGACGGGTCCCTGGGGCTTCCTGTCTTTGGGGTCCCAGAAGACGCGAGGCCTCTGCTCTCAGACGGGTCCCTGGGGCTTCCTGTCTTCGGGGTCCCAGAAGATGCGAGGCCTCTGTTCTCAGACGGGTCCCTGGGGCTTCCTGTCTTCGGGGTCCCAGAAGATGCGAGGCCTCTGCTCTCAGACGGGTCCCTGGGGCTTCCTGTCTTTGGGGTCCCAGAAGACGCGAGGCCTCTGCTCTCAGACGGGTCCCTGGGGCTTCCTGTGTTCAGGGCCCCAGCAGACGTGAGGTCTCTGCTCTCAGACGGGTCCCTGGGGCTTCCTGTCTTCAGGGCTTTGCTTGCAGACAGTGAGCCGGTGTCAGGATCCCTGCAGCCACACGTCCAGATGCAGGGGGAGGCGACTCTTACCCAACAGCAGTGGGGGCCATGGAGTGTCCAGCAAGATCAGGGTGAAGGATCTCCAGGGCTGCAGGGAGAGAGGCTACTTCTCAGGTCTAAGCAGGAAGCAAAGGAGCAGCATTTTACAGGGTCTGTGGGTGTTTGTGAGTGAATGCAGCTACAGAGTGTTTAGAGGAAGGGGCACTGGAGGGTGCGTAGGAGGCCTGGGATGCAGGGAGTCCCGCCCAGTTACTCAGGAACACACAGCTGTGGGCAAGGCCCTCCCTGCCTCCACTTCTCATTTAGGTAATATTAAAATAAATTAGATGATCTCCAGAATCCCTTCTTGCTCTTTAAATTGTTTTTAATTTGGCAATTATTATCTCACATGGACTCAGAATTTGATGAGATGCATTTGAAACTTCTAATACAGAACTGGCACATAGTAGATGCTCTGAGAAAGGGGATTTTCATCCTCAGCTTCCTGTGGCTGTGGTTTAGTGGTGGACAGACAGAGGGACGTGACGCATGGACCCTCAGTGTACTGTGGCTGTGGTTTAGTGGTGGATAGATGGAAGGATGTAATGCGTGGACCCTCAGCATACTGTGGCTCTGGTTTAGTGGTAGATAGATAGAGGGAGGTAATGCATGGACCCTCAGCTTCCTGTGGCTGTGGTTTATCAGTGGACAGATAGAGGGAGGTAACGCGTGGACCCTCAGCTTCCTGTGGCTGTGGTTTAGTGGTAGATAGACAGAGGGAGGTAATGCATGGATAAAAATTAAATTCATCCATTCGCCTCACATGTAGACTCAAAAGCTTAATAAAGTCTAAACTAATTTTCCATAATTACAGTGCAAATACTGAAAATGATAACAAAACCATAAAATATATTTTGCAGGGAACTAGTTTCCTTATCTCTGGGAGAAGGGTTTTAGAACGACACAGAAGAAGAGGTGTCTGTGGAAGTGTTTTCTGAGGCACCGCGCTTTGAAGAGTGGCCCGTGTTTTCCTCTGTTTACCATCACGTCACTGGTTCCTGATTGTCTCGGTGGCTGGTGATTCAGCGTCGTTTCTCTGTGACGCGTCTCTAGGACTGACCCTGACCCACAGCTCTGGGTTCACCTGCAAGCTGGCTTGAACAGCTGGACCTTCTGCATCAGGGTCTGCATTTTAACAGGGTCCCCAGCGGCTCCTGGGTGTGCTGCCCATCTGAGGCCCATCACTCTGTGGCCCCATGCGGTTTCCACGTGGCCTGACCGAGTCCACTGCTGACCACCTCAGAACAGGCAGTGTTTGCCTGCAGCCAAAGGAAGCTGGAGGGAGAGGGGCCAGGCCAGGTTGGGACCCGGGACCACGAGGAAGGTGAACCCATGAAGGGCTATTGTGACAGCCGTGATTTGGACGTAGCAAATGTGGGCATTTAGATTTTGGGGATTCTGGAAGATTCTGGAGGGGATTTAACCTACTAAAGCAACGTGCTAAATGCAGGTGCCTGCATCCTGACTACATATCAATAACTGCATTTGCCTGACGTGCTAAACGCAGGTGCCTGCATCCTGACTACATTTCAATAACTGCATTTGCCTGACGTGCTAAATGCAGGTGCCTGCATCCTGACTACATTTCAATAACTGCATTTGCCTGACGTGCTAAATGCAGGTGCCTGCATCCTGACTACATTTCAATAACTGCATTTGCCTGACGTGCTAAATGCAGGTGCATCCTGACTACACTTCAATAACTGCATTTGCTTGACGTGCTAAATGCAGGTGCCTGCATCCTGACTACATTTCAATAACTGCATTTGCCTGACGTGCTAAATGCAGGTGCCTGCATCCTGACTACATTTCAATAACTGCATTTGCCTGATGTGCTAAATGCAGGTGCCTGCATCCTGACTACATTTCAATAACTGCATTTGCCTGACGTGCTAAATGCAGGTGCCTGCATCCTGACTACATTTCAATAACTGCATTTGCCTGACGTGCTAAATGCAGGTGCCTGCATCCTGACTACATTTCAATAACTGCATTTGCCTGTTTGAGCTTCAGTGGAGGTGTTTTCATCACCTAAAGCTGGTGAGAACTGTGCATCTCAGTCATGGGAGTTGGGTGAGCAGAGGGTACCGTGCCAAGTGGCATAGGCAGTGGCCTCCTGGCTGACTCGGCAAGTCTTTAATCCACCTGCAGCGGACTTCTTACCCTGTGTACCTGAAATAAAGCGAGGTGTCCTCCCCGTGCATCCTGTAGATTCCACATGACCTGTTTTCCAGCTCAAGAATGGGAATTGCTATCCCTGGCAGAGGTCAGGAACCAGCTCTGACTCTGGGTGGCACCTGGGCCAGTGGTGAGCAGGGCCCTGTGGATGGGGCCTTTGGAGGCGTCCAGGGTAGGGAGATTCCATGACTCAGAACCAGTGTCGGGAGGAGCAGCTGAGCTCTGGCAACAGGGCTGGTGGCCTCGGTTCTCCTCCAGGGGCTGTGCACCTCGCCAGCTGCAGGTCAGAGGGGGCGTCCTCAGCTTTGAGCCCAGGGCCGCCCTTTCTGATGTTCCAATGGACAGTGTTTCCTTACAGGTGGAGGAGAAAAGGAGAACGAGTGTGGCTTCAATGGAGCCAGCCCCAGGAAGCCACATAGACCTCCTCTGCCACCCCTCTACCTGCCTGTGGCCGCGCCCCCTCATCCTGTCCAAGTGAAGAGGCCATGGATGTGATGGCCCCACCCTGCCTTCTGAAACACTCAGGACCGGGCCCCCTCCTCCAGCTCCCCAGCGTGACACACAACCTTGCCATCCCCCATTGTCCCATCCCTGCCGTCTGCTATGGGTGCCCATGGGGTCTCCCAAACAGCGGTATCCAGAATGGAACACAGTGCTGAGATACGGTCCAACCCAAACAGCACACCAAAGCCAGCCTCCTCTAATTCAGGACAGGTTGCTTTTTTAAATTCTGCTCAGGAACAGGTAGATATGTTAGCAACCATTTTGCAAATTCAACTAAAATCTCCCTGAGTTTAGCAAAAGAACCATCTCGGGTGTGACCGCTAACATCCTACACTAACACTGTCGATTCCTGAAAACACATTTCTTATCTAAAGGCAGAGATTTCTCTTTATCTCAGGAAAATTTCCTCTTGTTGGTTTCTGGGATCAGAGTTTCTTCCTGGACCATTTGCAGCAGTGACAGCCTCTCTGAGTTTCTGGGGTTTTATCCGTCAGTTGAGGGAATGGGATGGAAGCCATCAATGGTCTGACATTTGGACGTTTGCCCCCAAATAATTTGAGCAAAGTCTTCCAAAGGAGGTCTCGGGCCTGTCTTTGAAGGAACTGACACAGGTGGAAAGACGGGGATGATGTTCTTTGGATTTTTCCAACTCAATGTGATGTAGTGACATGTGCTCTGCCTCGCGAGGGGAAAGAGCTCCCCTCCACAGGCCAGCGCGCAGGTGGCGTTTCCCGAGGCTCAGGCAGGTGGAGCATGGTTGGATGGTCCCAGGGGGCTGGCTGCCTTCTTGCCCTGCCAGAACACACCCACCTGTTGTTTTCTCAGTCACAAGCATCATAACTTATGGCTAGCTGCTCCCACCTCACCTGCACTGACTGGCTCATAGGAAAAGCTTCTGGTGACTTAAGTGATTTTTATAGGTCAGGGTTAAGAATAAAAAGGCCCAGTGGAACGGCGTCTCTAAAAGCATGCAGTGTAGGGTGTTGGGATAAAGATAAAAAACCCAGAGTGATGTTTTATTTATAGACCTTTATTGACACACACAGCCTAGGCTAAATTTTACATTAAACACTGGTTACAAATAAATGTGTTCACCTGAGTAAACAGCCTCTGGGGTCTTTATTAAAATGGCTTTAAGGAGAAGGAGGGATGTTTTTAGCTGCCAGTGGTAGGAGACAGTGGAAGGATGGCTGGTCCCAGAGCAGGCTTGCCACTGGTGGCATCATTTGTAATATATATTTTCATTTTGCTCTGAAGCACAGCAAATAGGTTTTTGTAAGCGAGTGACCTCAGGATTAGCTGTGTTATTTGTGACTTAGAAAGCAGTCAGTTGAAATATTGAAAGTATTTTCCCAACTCAGGCTGGTTTCAGCGGTGCCGCAGCGTGCCGTGACATCGAGCTTGCTAATGAATAATAAAGACGATTGCCGCTGGTGATGTGGAAGGAAAAGAACCAACCTTACTGCAGATGCCCTTTTTCCTTCCCAGCAAAAGGAGCTTATATTGAGAAACCCATGGGAACAAAGTCATTCTTGCTAGTTTGTGTCCAACTAAAGAGAACATTTATCTTGTTTAAATCAGCACTTAGCAGTGGTAAGTTTGCTCTTGTTTTCCATCCATAATTTTCAATGCAATTCCAATTCTGCATAATTTTCAATTCAATTCCAATTTCAGTGCAATTCCAGCTTTGCCGCAGGTGTGGTCTCACCCACTGTAGGACTGCAGGACTGCAGGACTGAGACCCAGACCCCCATTTCCCTTTCCACGCACTCTGTTCCAAGTCAGGATGCAGTGCTGGCCCCATCGCCCAGGAAAGACTTCCTTCTGCAAGTCACCACTCCTTGGCCCCGTCACCCAGTATTTAAAAACCAAAAATCCCGTATGAAGATGTTGAACAGAATCCTGGTCAGTAGAGTCAGAAAATAATCATCTCTCTTCAAAATTCTCCTGAAAGTTTCACTGCAGTAATAATCTTTGTACACATGGAGAATGCCCTTTACCTACAGTTTTTAAGGTATTTGAACATCTAACCAGGGACATCTGCACTTCAAATAAAAACAAGCAACTTTTAACCTTTGTTTGTGACTTGTGTTTAGTAGATTTTATGTTTAGTGCAGTTTTACATTTACAGAAAAATAGAGCAGACAGTCCAGAGGGTTCCCACGTGCCCTGCCTTCCACTCCACGCCCCGTCTCTCCATTGCTCCCATCTGTATTAGGATGGTCTGTTTGTCACAGTTGATGAGCCCACATTCATTCCATGGTTTACATCAGGGTTCACTCCTGCTGTTCTCTTAGGTGGATTTTTGTTGCTATAATAAAATTCCTGAGACAGGGTAGTTTATAAGAAAAGAAGTTTATTTAGCTCACAGTTGTGGAGGCTGGGAAGTCCGAGGGCATGGCAGCAGCTCTGACAAGGGCTTTCTTACTGCGCCATGCCCTGGAAGAAGGGCCAATGAGCATGTATAATGAGACGACAAGCATGAGGGGCTGGGCTCGCCTTACAGCAGCCCTCCCTGCCTGCGGCAGCCCACTCCCACAAGAATTATCACACTCCTGCAAGAAACCATCAGTCCCTCTTAATGACCTAATCACCTCTTAAAGGCCCCACCTCCAACACTGCCACAATGGTAATCAAATTTCAGCATGAGTTTCAGATGGTATAAACCATATTTGAGCCACAGCAGGATGGTACATTCTGTGGGTTTGGGCAAGTGTATGATGACACGTATCCATCATCATAGCATCAAACAGAGTGGTTTCCCTGTCATGAAAGCCTCTGTGCTCTGCTGGTACCTCTCTCTTCCCCCAACTCCTCATTACCTCCACCACAACTTACACTGTCTCCATCCTTTGTTCTTTTCCAGAACGTCTTAGCGTTGGAATCATGCAGTGTGTAGCCTTTCCAGGATGGCTTCTTTCACTTAGCAAGAGGCATTTAAGGTTCCTGCAAGCCCTGTGTCATGGTTTGACGGCTCATTCCGTTTTAGCCCTGAATGATATCCTATTATATGGATACACCACGGTTGATCCATTCATCTACTGAAGGACATCATGGTTGCTTCCAAGTTTGGGCAATTATGAACTAAGCTGCAATAAACATCCATGTGCATATTTTTGTATGGACATAAGTTTTCAACTCTATTTAGCAAATACCAAAGGGCATGACTGCTGGGTCATATACTAATAATATATTCAGTTTTTAATTTTCATGAAGTCCTGCCTATCAGTTGTTTTTTTCATGAACTGTGCTTTTGGTGTTGTATCTCTAAAAAGTCATCACCAAACCCAAGGTCACCTAGATTTTCTTTGTATCTTCTAGAAGTTGTATAGTTTGGCATTTTACATCTAACTTTGCATTAATTTCTGTGGAGGGTATAGGGTTGATGTCTGGATTCACTTTTTGCATGTGAGTATCCCATTGGTCCAGCACCATCTGCTGAAAAGCTGGTCCCTTCCCCATTGAGTTCCCTTGCTGCTTTGCCAAGGATTGGGCAGCTCTGTTTGTGCGGCTGACTCTTAACTTTTGGCTTATAAAATGTATTGATAAAACACAAGTGGTTTGGGAAGTCTCAAACATCTCAGCATTTGTCCTCGCTGGCTAGAACTTCATGTTCAAAAGAAGAAGCAGGCAGGACGTTCAGACAACATGGGGGGCCTTGGTGTAGGCTCAGAGCCTTTGCTGTATCCTCAGACCCACCAATGGATTGCCAAGCGTGTCCTTGTAAACTGTGAACTGCGCTTGGTGCTGGCGCTCCTGGGAGGTGCTGACTTGAGAATCTTTTATTCCTCAAAGTTTTGAGAGAACTTTCCAGTCACACTTAGGGCCTTGTGCTTTTCTGGAAGGAAGTTTCTTTGAAAAACGTTTTGTATTTTCATATTCATCTATTAATATTTCTTTCTTCATTCTTAGCCAGGTTAGTAATTTTTATTTTCTTTGTTCATAGTTCAATTTCTTGGAGTTCCAAATTCTTAGACAGCGATGCGTTGCTTAATGACGAGGCTGCCTTCAGATAAATGTTTCATCTGGCAATTTCGTCGTTGTGCGAGCATCACAGGGTGCACTTACAAAACCTGTAGATGCTACAGCCTCCTACACACCCAGGTTGTATGGGACAGCGCTGCTAGGCTACAAACCTGCACAACATGTTACTATACTAATACTGTAGGCAGGTGTAACACAGCGGTAGGCATTTGTGTATCATTTGCACATAGAAAAGGTAATGCTTTGCACTGTGGCTTTACGATGGCTGTGACGTCGCAAGGTGACAGGAATTTGTCAGCTCCGTCATACTCTTATGGGACCACCACTTGTGGGTGTATGTGGTTCATCACTGACCAAAACGTTAGTACGTGGTGCATGACTATAAATAGATATATAAATGGTCTTAAGGGCTTATAAGTCTTAAATTTCCACTGCATCTGTGATTATGTGTCCTCCTAATTATTAATTTTTGATAATTTTAGAATTTGAGGTGTTTTACTTTTCTTGATTACCTCTAAGAGTTTATGATTTTTTCCCCTAAAATCAAGCTCTTGGGTTTATTCACCAATCCTGTATTCCCTTTTATAGTTTAATTTATATTTTTATTACTTAATTTCTTCCCTCAAGTTTTTTGTTACCTATTTACTTTGACGTCATAAATGGAGTGCCTACTTTGTTTACTGTCCTTCTCTCTTATCATCATGGAAGCTCTCAGTATTCGAAACCCACCTCCGGGGAATCATTTCGGTATCTCCCACAGCCTTTATTATTCTCTAACTATTTTGTAATTTAGTTTCCATTTCCTTCTTAACCTAAGAATTATTGAAAATAATATTTTTAATACCCAAATGATGAGAGAGTTTTGTTTTCTGTGTTTATTAATTTCTAATTTATTAGATTTTGCTTAGAGAATGCAACATTTATGATTTTTATGATTTAAAAAACATGAAGTCCTTTTTTGAGGCTTAATATCTGATCGGTTCCATTCTGGTTTCTAGACCATAGAGCTTGATCAGTCGCTATTGAATTCTCTTTGTCATGTTCTCGGGCCCGCTGTAGGACCCTTGTGGGAGCTAGGGAGACTTGTTTCTAATAAGGCTCTGTGTTTTACTAGCCCTGTGACTTTAGGTAAGTTGCTTAACCCCCTGGAAAACTCAGTCCTCTTTATCAATAAGATGGGGGCATTTAAAGTCCGCACCTCAGGTGGCTGTTGTGGGGGTTAGTGCCGGGTGCAGTTAAAGTGCCAAGCGCAGCCCCGGAACGTGGCTGGTGGAGGATGGCCGCCGTCAGGCCCTTCCGTCCCTCAGGCTGCGAGTGGCATCTCTTTGTACTGTGATCACTTCTTCCTTATTAATTTCGATGTTTATTTCTTGGCACACACCAGTTCATTAACCCTATATCGTTGTCTGGAATTTTATAATCTAATCTAACATTAGTCTATTTATTCCACTTTAATCAATAACTTTTAAACAAATTGCACATTTTCTTGGTGTCGACGCCATGACGCCTTCTCTCCTTCCATTCGTATGTCTGATAGATTTTCCCGGCCGCGTCAGTTTGTAATCTTTCTGGACGGCGTTGTTTTCGATATGTTGCTTGTAGATAATGAGTAGTTTGATGCGAGTGAAGGCACCTGTCCTAGGAAGATGACTTCCCCTGCTCCCACGCGTCGTCCTCACTGTGTGTGTTTCTCGTTAATCACACCGGCCCACGCCTTCCAGCTCCTCAGCTTCCCTCCTGTTCCTTCGATGGTTTACCTGTTGCCATGTGGATGATGTTATAGTTTGGTTTTATGTTGTTCCCAGGTAATTTGTTTTAAGTTCTTCACACTTTTCAAAAGCAGTAAGGATCTTCAGATTTCTCATTATCAACTTCAAGAACAATACTAATTTCCTTGTCTTAGAAGAACACTTCAGGATACCTCATTTCTCCCACATTTTATAAACGGGGAGGTGAAGGCCTGGTTCAGCTTTACATTTACCATTTCAGAAGGCACGTCTTTACCAGCATCCGTGCTAATGTCTGAAGAAAAGGACAAACTAAGAAAACGCAGAACCTAAGGCTATTTGTGGCAGTGCGTCCAGGAAGAATCTTTTAGGGGTAGGTTTGAGGGCTGTGACTGAAAATTCTCAGAAAATGTGTAGATGGGGGAATGTGGCCATTTATTCAGATGCCTTTTAATACAAAAAAATCTTAGTCAAATTTCACTGAAATTTGCGTTGGGAAAGCCAATTACATCGTGAAATGGGTGGAAAATCTTATTATCCCAGCCCCAGCCCCAGCTCGGCCTGCTGACTCTGATGTCTAGAGATGAACAATAAGGAGACAATTTCCATTTTTCCTCGTCGCCACGCAGGACCTGGGGCCGTCCCTTCCTTGTCACTTTTATTGAACATAGCAGTTTGTCCAGGACCACGCGTTGAAAATTGCTGAAGATAAACATTGTATTTTAAATTACTCCAGGCAACCAGGCAGACTGAAAAAAAATCATTTGAACAATTGAAAACTGAAATGTTGATATCAGATATTAAATTAATGTAAGTGAGATTGAAACAATATCTAATTAAAATAATTTGAAAAATGACTTGGAAATTGGAGCTGACATTAGCTTTTCCCAGCCTGCCGCTATTATTACTGCGCAGCCATGCTCCCTTTCCACCGAAGCCCCGCCCCCCGGCAGAATCCACAGGAGACCCGCAGATGAGAGTCTCATTTATTTACCCTGTTATGGCTGGAAAACAAGGGCTGAAGAACCTTTCTTGGAACCCTGAGGAGTGGAGTTTGACAAATTGACCTTTCAGTTTCCAAGGAGAAAATGCCTTTCAAATGCTCCACGCCAATGTGCACTTCTGCGTTGCAGGCTGGAGTGTGTTCAGTGCCTTCGCTTCATACAGGACATTTTAAAATGAGAGAGAGCGGTTTGCAACAGCAAAGAAGGGGAACCAGAAGCTCCCCAGCTGCGGCAGCCTGTCCTGGAGTGGCCGGGGTGCGTGGCCAGCCCCTGCCGTGGTGGGGACCTTCAGCCAGGGAGGAGGACGTGTGTTGGACGTGTCCTGGAGTGGCCGGGGTGCATGGCCAGCCCCTGCCATGGTGGGGACCTTCAGCTGGGGAGGGGGACGTGTATTGGACGTGTCCCGGAGTGGCCGGGGTGCGTGGCCAGCCCCTGCCATGGTGGGGACCTTCAGCTGGGGAGGGGGACGTGTGTTGGACGTGTCCCGGAGTGGCCGGGGTGCGTGGCCAGCCCCTGCCATGGTGGGGACCTTCAGCTGGGGAGGGAGATGTGTGTTGGACGTGTCCTGGAGTGGCCGGGGTGCGTGGCCAGCCCCTGCCATGGTGGGGACCTTCAGCTGGGGAGGGGGACGTGTGTTGGACGTGTCCCGGAGTGGCCGGGGTGCGTGGCCAGCCCCTGCCATGGTGGGGACCTTCAGCCGGGGAGGGGACGTGCACTGGCCTGGGGGCTCCTAAGCATCTCCTCGAGGCCACGCTTATGACATCAGAAGCAGTGCTTGTGGTGCAGGTGGCTGGAGCAAGGAGCTGCGTGCTCTGCAGTGAAGCACCAGGCACCTCTTAGACCACACACAGGACAGGCAAATGATGCGTCTTGGTGCTTCTCGAACTCACCTGCTCCCAGAACTGTCCTCACACTGTCTTATGGATTACAGGTAATTAGAGGAGAGCAGTTTGTTGTGTTAAAACATGCACCCCTTCACAGTCCATGAGGAGCCACCTCAAGCTCGAGAGACCTGGCTCTCCTTCCCAGAGCCCCCATTTTGAACTGAGTAGCCCTGGGCCAACACCTCCCAGAGGCTCCAGCCGCCCATCTGGGACCATAACCACCAGGCCCTGCACAGGAGCCTGGGACCATTTGGGGTGAGACCCTCTGACCCAGCACTGCTGCCAGGAGGGTTAGAGATGAAGAACCTGGGGAAAGCGTGGACTGGGGCCGAGGAGAGACCAGCGTCCACACGCAGCACCACACAAAGAAAAGGTGTCGTTGCCATTTCTAGTTCACAGTCCCAGCAAGAGTCACGGCAGATTCCATAAAACACTGAATAATTAGCAATTTTATATACACATCTGTGTTTAGTTATATTTAGCATAATATAAAATCATTAGATTATTTCATATTTAGCCTCCCCTGAGGTTTTGCCCAAACCTGAATTAAAATGAGTTTTACTTCATAAGCACAAAGCAGCTGGGGCGGGGCAGAGATTTCTTAGGAGATGTGGGAGTTCCCATTTCTGCTGGTACGCTGGAAGAAACAAATATTGGGACTCACCCTCATTCCAAAAACAAAACTACGAGAATATGAGGACATAGAGATAATTTTAACACATCAGACATCTGGCAATAATTAAATTATTGGAGATCCCAAGCCAAGTGAGAGCAGGAACCCGGGGACATCAGTGGATGACTGATGTTGGCCTTTATTCTGAGAATCTTCTCCACACCGGGTAAACCTGAACTTCAGCATTCATGATCTTGTGGTCTATAGAGGGCAGGAGGCACTAGGAAATCCTGATATGGTAAGGCTAATAGAAGACATGCCACATGGAGCTGGGACCCCCAAGAACCATGACTGCAGGGTAATGGTGACCGATGATAGAGTGTCTTCTCAGCTCTCCATTGGGCTGGAGGATGGTAAACTGCTTGCGTTCAGCGCTGTTCCTGGATGTGTGTGTGTGTGGCGGGGAAGGCGGGGGTGGGGGGGTGGCATTTTCCCTTAGGACATTAACCACAGCCAAGCTTCACAGGGATGTACAATCCCACTGCATGCTGCCTGGACAGCCACAACATCTCAAGCAGGGAATTCAGCTTCAAACGCTCCCAGGTGCACGGGCCTCCAGATGCCTGGCAGAGGGAAAGGCAGATCCTCTCTGGAGGAATCCTTTCTTTCCCCTTCTACTCATAAAGAATACCTGCAAGTAAAATTCCAAGAAATTTGAGTCCACAATAAAAAATTTTAAAACATACCAGGTAACAGGACAAAAGTTAATTGAAAGAATGGACAACAAAAGAAAGCCTCAGATATTGTAACTATTGGACATAGATCATAAATTTAAATATTTTAATATGATTAAAGGAACATAGGAGGAAGCTAAATATAACCTACAGATCAATAGTCTTAAAAGAGACCACAATTTTTGAAGAAATATATTTTAATGAAAGATATAATAATAGAAATTCTAAACTAAGGGTATGAGTTTAATAGCAGATTAGATATAGTTGAAGAGAGAATTAGAGAAGTAAAGTATAGAACTAAGAAATTTTCTAAAACGCAGCCCACAGAGACAAATAAATTGAAAATATGAAAGTAAGGGTAGGAGCCATAGAGGGCAGAGTAGGAGAATCTTACCTACAATGCATAAGTCTTGCAGTAGAGTAGGAGGATCTTAAATGCAGTTCATAAGCATTTTAGCAGATTAGGCAACTCTTACACACGATTCATAAGTGTTCCAGCAGAGTAGAAGACTCTTACACACGGTTCATAAGCATTCCAGAAGCCTATGGAGTTCCTAAGGAAATACTAATTTAAAAAAAAAAAAGGTAGCTACATTGAGAGCCAACTTTATTGGGAAAGCCATTGCCGGGGAAGAGGCACACTCTATCACCATCGAGGATCATCTTACACATCTTACACATGATCCATGAGTGTTCCAGCAGAGTTAGAATATTACCTACGATTCATAAGTATTCTGGCAGAGTTGGAATCTTACATATGGTTCATAAGCATTCCAGCAGAGCACTCCAGAAGTAATATTTGAAGATACAGTGGCAGAAAAATTTCCACCACTGATGTAAGACACCAGTACTCAGATTCCAGAAGCCTATGGAGTGAAAAAGGCTCTACACCTCGATTCCTGACAGTGAAGTTGGAGAATCTCAAAGACAGAGAATCTCTCTGTTTGTTTAAAAAGCAAAATTTTTTGTCTTTTTAAAAAAAGCTTACAAAATTGAGAAACCTCCTTTGTCATAAGTGATTTTAAAAAAGAGAGGAGGGAATCATAAACAATATTGAGAATTAAAATTGGAATGCTAATATAGATGCTTTGGCATATAAAAGAATAACAAGGGGTCATCATGAACAATTTATGGCCATATATTTGAAATGTTAGATAACATGACCAAAATACCAGAATGAAAAACTCCAATAGCCCTGTAGCCAAGGAAGAACTTGAGTTAATAGTTAAAAGTCTTCCCACAAAGAAAATATCAGGCCCACATATTTTATAAGCAAGTTATTCCATACATCCAAACACATGCACTCATACACAAAACATCCCAGACTACACAGCTCATGAGGTTAGCATAAACTTGATACCAAAACTCAGTAATTACAGTACAGGGAATGACAATTAGAGAGAAATTTCCTCAAAAACATAGGTGTAAAAGCCAAATAATAGCAAATTAAAATCCAGCAATTTATTTTTAAAAAATGTCATGAGCAATTAAAGCTGTAATTAATGTAGTCTATCACATTAATGAAAAGAGAAAAAAATTATTATCTCAATAGATACAGGTAAAAACATTTGCTAAATATTAACATTCATTCATAATAAAAATGTTGAATAAAGTAAGACTAGTTTGTTCTTATTTTGATTTTTTAAAGACCCTACAGAAACATCATGCTTCCCAGCAAAACACTGGAAATATTCTCTTGAACACCAGAAATAAGACAGGGATGTGGGCTCTCACCCTTACAAGCATTTGTAGGAGGATCCGTTCAGCAGGCAGTGAAGCAGGAAGGAGAGATAAAGGGTGCACTTAGGAGAGAAGGAGCAAGCCTGTCATTATTCACAGACGGCCTCATTATTTACTCAGAAGAGACAGAAGAAGATCCAGGTAAACTAATGGAATTAGATAGTTTAGGAAGGGTGCTGTATATGAAATCATGCAAAAGTCAGCTGTATTTGTATATTTAGGAAAAAAAGTTAGAAAATGCTGTTTAAAAATGATACTCATTTAAAATAGCATCAAAATTTAAAGTCCCGGGAATATATACATATGTTAAATATATAAGACTTTTATGGGGAAAAATATAAAACTTAAAAGATGTTGAAGACAATAAATGGAGAGATTTACATGTTCACAGATTGGGAATAATGATGCTATTAATAACAATCAAACTTCTAGATTCAATAAAATTTTAACAAAAATCCAAAAACTATTCATTTACAAACGTGACAAGCTGATTCCAAAATGTATAAGTACAAAGAGCCAACACCTGCCTTCGTGTGTAGACAGCATAAACTACTTACACTAAAGTAAGAAAGATCACATGGATCTGTGCACGGAGAGACACCTGGGCCAGGAACAGAGGGAACCCAGGAGTAGACCCTTAAATAGAACTGATTGATAACAGGGTTGACATTACAGATCAGTGGGAAGGATGGCCTTTACAAGAAACTTTGATGGGGAAATGGGGTATTCAATGAGAAAAAAATGAAATGACCTCTACCTTGAATCACATACAAAAATCAGTTCTTCAATATCAGACTTACATGTGAAGGACAAAAATCTTTTAGGAAAAAAACAGAGTTGTATCTTTATATAGATATCTTTATATAGATATCTTTAGATCTTGAGCTAAAGGAGAATTTTTTAAACAAGATGCCAGAAATGCAAACCTTAAAGAAAATGATAAATTAGACTGTATTAAAACCAGGAACTTTAAGAAGCCAAGCCACAAACTGAGATATGATAGTTGCAGCCCACATAACTGACAAAGTTTTGGTATCCAGAATGTTTGAAGAACTTCTACAAAGCAGTAAGAAAAAGACAAATAACCCAGTAGAAAAATGGGCAAAACAAAAATTTCATGTAAGAGGAAGCATGAATGATGAATAAACATACACGAAGATGCACAAACTGATGAATTATCAAAGACATGCACATTGGAAGCCCAAGGAGATACAACGTAAATCTACCAAATCGGCAAAGTGTTTAAAGCTTAAACCAATGAGCACACGGAGCACTAGGAACTCTGTGTGTTGGTGACAGGAGTGTAAATTGATAGAATCCCTTTGGGACATCTATGTCTTAGTGATTGTACTGGAGAAAATTCTCTACATGGGCCTGGAGACACGTGTGAGAAGGTTCATGGCTATACTGTTTCAGATATGGAGGGAAAAATAAGAACCCAGTTTCCCACCGGACTGGGTAAGTGATTGGAAAAATAAAGCGTGATGCTCCATGTGTATAGAATGCAGTCACACAGCAATGAAAATGCATGAGCCACCATGACATGCAAAACCGAATCTGAGTCTCAGAACACAGGGTTAGCAGAAGACGGAAGGCACATCACAGAACGTGTATGTTATTATGTCATCTTATGCAGTATTTTGTTTAGGGATACACACATAGGTGAAAAAAAAAGTCTACATACAGAAACTATGCACCCAGAATTCATGAAAGTTATTAGCTTTGATAGGACCGAGAAGAGCTCACAGAGAGTATCAAAGATAATTTTAATGTTTTATCTCTTTTCAGAGTGTCAGGTATCCTGGATGTTTGCTGTCTTATTATTCTTTGGAACCAACACATATTTTATAATATTCTTTGGTATCTTCCTAATATTTAATGGAATATAAATATAAAATATTAATATTTTTGAATTACAAATTAACCCCAAAACTTCTAACTTTCAAGAGAAAGTCATCTGAGTTGGTGAGAGGAATCATTTCCAGGAGCCCGTGATATATACATGTTTAATAAAACACTGAACGTTATACACATGTCAGTAGGTGCACATCTAGTTTATCTCCCTAAACGTCTTTGCTATTTCTATACTAAGCAGGATGGGACCCTGGCTGTTCAGGTAGAAATGAGCGTCTTTGCATCGTGGTAAATCTCTAAGGGGGCATCTTTTCATCCTGGAGATCACCGCATTGCAAGCCCAGTCACCATGCAGACGTTTCTCCATGGGGTGGGTCTTGTGGGCACAGCATCTTGCCTCCTCTCTTCCTTCGGGTGGTCAGGCATCAGCCCCCGTTCACGATAGCACGGAGACCGATCTTCATGGATAGCCTCTTCTTGGCTTGCTGTGCCACAGTGCCTTTGGCCTCACCGCCAAAGAAGAAAAGAGAGATGATGAACAGCCCACTTCCAGCACAGGCACAGGCAAGGGCACCCCCCTTCTCTTCTCCCTCTCTGGGAATTAAGCTTTAAATGGCATCTCTGGTTTTAGTAAATAATTGTCAGGAAAGCAGTTATGTTCCAGGGTTATTTTAATTCCTTCTGACAGTTAGCAAAATTAAACATCCAAACATTGGGGCAACATGCTACTTTCAGATGACTTGATGTAAAATGATTAACATCAAAACATTTTCTTGTGTTTTGTGTTGTTGCCGCGCAGTGGATCACAACACGTTACAGGAACGTGCTCTGTCTGCTGGGCTGATCGCAGGGGCGCACGCGCGCTCGCACACACACACACACACACGTGCCCTGCCGCATGGCATCTTTCTGGCTGTGTTTTGACACAGTCAGCTGTGCATGGGTTTGCTTTGCATACAAACGATCAGGTTACACCACACCATGTGGGAAAGAGGAAGCGTCCGCCAGCTGTGCAGAACGGTGTACGTGTGTGATTCTGCGCCCGTTCCTACGGCGTACGTGCGTGATCCTGGACCCGTTCCCACGGCGTACATGCGTGATCCTGGACCCGTCCCCACGGCGTACGTGCGTGATCCGGCGTACGTGCCTGATCCTGGACCCGTTCCCACGGCGTACGTGCGTGATCCTGGACCCGTCCCCACGGCGTACGTGCGTGATCCGGCGTACGTGCCTGATCCTGGACCCGTTCCCACGGCGTACGTGCGTGATCCTGGACCCGTCCCCACGGCGTACGTGCGTGATCCGGCGTACGTGCGTGGTCCTGCACCCGTTCCCACGGTGTACGTGCGTGATCCTGCGCCCGTTCCCACGGTGTACGTGCGTGATCCTGCACGCATTCCCACGGCGTACATGCGTGATCCTGCACCCGTGCTCATGGCTGGCAGCCGGTATTGGAAGAGAATCATGAGACTGCAAATCAGGAATCCTCAGATATCCTTTTATCGTTGGCTCTTTAGTTCAAAACTAGAACTGTGGGTGTGGAAGGTATAGGAAACTCCCTCCCTGCACCACTAGTGAGTGCCACCACTGGTCTTAGTAATAGAGGTAACAGTGGTGGCATGATCATCCTAGAGATAGTAATGCTTTAACGCTGCCACTAGGGAGTTAATTTGCTCATGCTTCCTATAAGTCACTTATTCATTCCCTCAACAGATAATCGTTGAGGTCCTCTAATGTGCTGGACAGTGTTCTAAGCACTAGGGCAAATCCTCGCTTTGTGGAACTGATATTCTAGAGAAAAAATAGATAATAACCAAGCATGCATCATGTCAGAGGGTGATAAATGTTTTGGGAAAGAATGAAGCTGGATGAGGGCACAGACAGGTGATGGGATGAGGGCCCGATGTTGGGTGAGAACAGGAGGACCATGCAGATGGCTGCAGGCAGGCATTTGAGGGTCAGGAACAAACAGCAGGTACAAAGGCCCTGAGGCAGGAGCTGGCCGGGGCGTCCCGCGCTGAAGGGGCTGAGCAGGGGCGAGGGGGCTGTTGGAGGTGATGTCAGGGCAGCAGCCAAGGGCCAGGTTCTGAAGGGCCTTGTGTCTGTGGCCTGGACTGTAGACCTCACTGTGGGTGAGATGCGCCAGCGCAGGGCTTTGAGGAGAGGCTTGAGTGTGTGTTGAGTGGCCAGCATCCTCCCCCCCCCAGTGTATAGAGTCAGCCCCTGTCCAGCTGTCGAGGGGCCCAAGGCCAGAGGGCAAGTGGCATTCCATGCTGGGCTTCTGGACATTTAAAAGTCTATGTGAAGCTCATTAGCCGCTAAAAAAATGCTTCATACTTTGAAAAATATATGTTCATAGTGAAAAAAATTATTCAAATGTGCATAAAGCTATTGTTTTTATTTCTGAAAATTAATCCAATGAAAAAGACAGTGGATTGGATTATAATCCTGTGAGTAGTGATGTTCTCTCGATGGGCTGGTAAGGTTTGGCTGAGTAATAAATTAATGACATACATAATTTTGTAAATTATTGTATATTTATTTGTAAATGCATTTTATTCCCCTTGTTTCATGAAGTCACTAATTAGATTGTTTAATGACGATCTTCATAAAGTTGGGGTGTTTTAGACAGAAATGATTCAACTGTAATTGCACACAGGGTACAAGATGTAGAAGTATTTTCATTAAAAATAAAAATGCACTTAAAATTGTAAACTAAAACTATGCTTCAAAAGCTATTTTTCTTCAAAAAGATTTAATGTGAATTATTAAAATTCTAAAGCCAAATATAATTCACAAAATATCAAAATTTTCAATCAAAAGTATTTAAATAGAGCTGTATTTTAAATTGTATTTTGTGACAATTTAATCAAATTGTAGTCCATATTTTTGTAAGAATAAGACATTTGCAATTCTGGCTCTGAGATCCCTGCAGTTGCTGATGTCATGAGCTGGTTGCGTGAGTCATGCATGTCCTGTCTCGACAGACGTGGAAAAGTGAAAGGGATTGTGGGGTGCTGCGGGGCGCCTCCACATTTGTCCGTGAGTACTTCTAGAGCTGTGAGCCGACGTGCAAAGAAACGCAAGAGTGGGCACCTGGCACTGCCAGGAACGGATACTTCTTTATGCAGAAATCATTGGCTTTTCTGTAACCTGAACAGCAGGATTTGACACGTTCATTAATTTGTCTTTTCTCCTGCCTAAGTGCTTCTGCTCTTCAAACCTCCCTCTCCCAGGCATGAAAGGCCTCACGCAACACGTGGCTTCCACAGAATGCAGGCTGCAGGGGTGGAGGCCCTTTCAAGGCTCGCATGGCAGAAGTGCTGGGCGCAGGGGACATCATGCTGCGGCTCGGCCTGTGCAGCCCCTCCCAGGCCGGGCCCGGCACCATGGATGGAAGAGCCAGGCAGCGCAGTTGGGGTCTCTGCAAGATCCAGAGCAGAGAATGAGATGCTGGACGCACCTGGCCACGCGGAGACGCCGGCCGGTCCCATGTGCACCCTGAGGCCAGAACCTGCAGCCTCACCAGGCGCGCTGTGCTGTGTCCGAGGAGAATAAAGGCGGCTCTGCGGCTGTGGGCCTGAGCTCCTGGCAGGCTGGGGTCACGGGGGACAGACAGGCTTGGGGAAGTCGGTGAGGTCAGGAATTTGGGTGGAGACACCATTGGACGTCCTAGTGGAAGTGGCAAGAAGACAGGTGGGATATCAGATCCACAGAAAGGATGGGGCTGGAGGAAAGAAAATGGCTCTGATCAGTGAACAGATGCCAGTCAGGGCCTGAGGACTGAACACAGCACATGGGGGCAGAAGAGGGTGGAAAAGAGAAGCCTGAGGCCCAGCCCGGGACACCCCACACGCAGCGGACAGGGAGATACTGCCACCCAGGACACCCCACACGCAAGGGACAGGGAGATACTGCCACCCCCAGGACACCCCACACGCAGGGGACAGGGAGATACTGCCACCCCCAGGACACCCCACATGCAGGGGACAGGGAGATACTGCCACCCGGGACACCTCACACACAGGAGACAGGGAGATACTGCCACCCAGGACACCCCACACGCAAGGGACAGGGAGATACTGCCACCCAGGACACCCCACACGCAGGGGACAGGGAGATACTGCCACCCGGGACACCCCACACGCAGAGGACAAGGAGATACTGCCACCCGGGACACCCCACATGCAGGGGACAGGGAGATACTGCCACCCGGGACACCCCACACGCAGGGGACAGGGAGACACCACCGCCCGGGACACCCCACACACGGGACAAGGAGATACTGCCACGCAGGACACACCACACACAGGGGTAAATGTTCCCGTGGTGCCCAGCTGGCCAGTGGCCGCACAGAGCTGTGGCCTGGTCCTCTCCGAGCCCACGTTCTCACCCTCGGGCCACACTGCTCGGTCACGGGGTACCCCAGATGCCACCACACCCACCTTGAAGGTGGTTTTATGCTTCATCTTCCCGCCCCCTTGGCTGTCCAAAGTGTGACATCAGCACAGATCTGAGCATAAAACACTGGTGACAGCTTCCATGGCTGCTTCCAAACCTTTCCAACAGGTGTCAGGGTGTCAGGATCTCGGGATCTCAGGATTTGCTGAGTGAGAGTCTTTGGTTCTGAAATGAAGACTGAAGTGTCACTGCACGTGTTTGATGTTAAGACATGTTAGAGGTCCCAGAACCAAAGAAGCTTAGAGCAGGGCCTTCTCCAGGAAGCTTCAGACCCTGGCGAGCCCCCAGTCTAGAGGGGCTCAGGACACGTGGGTCCTTCCTACCCTGCCCCTCCCTAAGGTCTCCCTCAGCCCCTAGCCCATCCTCCACACCGCCCGTGGTCCTGGGAGAACAGCGTGTGCCCCAGCGCCCAGAGGGTGAGTGAAAGGCTCACAGTGCACAGTAGTGAGTGAGAAGCTTTAAGAAGGTTTGCAATGTTTAAACCTTTTTTTTTTTAGGAGTTTTAGGTTTGGCCTGAGTGACTGGCAGGCTATTTCTTAACCTTGTATGAATAAAGACCCCATTTTTTCATAGAATACCTATTACCACTGGGAGAGCCCAGTCCGGGATTGTCCACTCCGAGGGAAGGTGGGGCCCCTCATGGGCCTCACGTATGGCCCTGCTAGAGTTCTTTTCAGAAAACGACATGGGGAAAGAGAATGGGCTGAAATAGGAAAGTATGGACATTGCTAATTTTTAAAAGATTCCTTTACAGGAATTGTGATCAGCCCTGCGACCAGGTGGGCCTCATGTTAGTCGGCGACACGGCAGCTCGCCTGGGCCCAGGAGGCCTCTGCACTCCCAGTGGCTCTGTGGCCACCCTGGGATGCCCAAAAAGGAAAGGAGGTGCCGGTTGGGACCAGAGCTCCAATCACTGAATCAACTTCCTTCAAAGCTCTTTCCCCTTCCTCTTCCCAGGAATGACTTCCGCTTTAAGGAAAGCCCTCGGCTGGGCACCTTGCTGACATGCACGGGGAATCCTGACCAGTGGCTTCCAGTTTCAGGAAGGCTGACCTCAGGGCAGGGGCAGAGTCCACAGAGGTCCCCAAATTACCCGGAGATGCTGACCCCCTGCACGGGGGCCCTGGGTGGAAAGTGGCAGCGTTGAGGCAGCTTGTTTACGGTGGCTGTGAGGCACAGGATGCAGGTCTTACCCTAGGGGACGTCGTTTCAGCTCGGCCAGAAACCAGGCTCCACCCCATAAGGGAGGAGGATCCTTCCTAAGGAAGCCAGTGGTGCCGTCCAGAAAGCTGGCCAGGCTCCAGGTGACAGCTTCACCCCGGGCCTGGGTGCTCTCCCTCCCCTCCCACCTTCTAATGGAGCAAAGCCATTAAGTGATCCCCATTGTAATTTAGATTACAGAAGAGACTTCTGCACATTCTTTCAGGTTAAAATAACGAGGATAAAGAGAGTAGGCAAAATTATTCCACTGTAGCTGCCTGCTTAATTATATGGAATGCTGCATAAATTGTCAAGTGCAAAGAATTAGTCTGATAAATTAAAATACTAATTAAATAGGCTATTGCAGAATTTTGAGAACATTATAGGGTTCCGCTTCTTCAGGTAATTTGCATATCCTTCATCTAGTGAATTTAATTTTAAAGGACTTCTTTTTTGTGTTTGGAAACCCTTTTTGTCTCCCATGAAGATAAAAACGGGCTTTCTCTGTTATTCTGTGCCTTTATTAAGGCAGCTTCTCCAACTGTCTCCACGCCCTGGCCTGACAGACTTGGGAGGCCCAGAGCTTGGCTCAAAACATAACTCAGACCTGGCATTTGATGGACATCTGGCTGAAGCAGGCTTTTTCTTCTTTTCCTCCTTCAACATGTTCAGCAGAGACTTAAAAATTGGCAGTATTGTCATGGAGTTCATAAAAAGGAACAAAAGGACACTGAGAATCAGCAGGTATTTACTTTAGACTTAAAAGGAGTAGGTGTGAGTCCTCAGTTACACAGGTGTGGGCAAAAGTCCCGCGAGAGGACGGCGGGCTCCCCAGTGCAGACGTGTCAGGATCAGAGCTCAGCACCTGTCACAATTCCACCAACAGTGTGGAAAAGGGAATCCACGCGGCCATTTAGAGAAATCCGGCGGAGCATCAAGGGTGCAGGAATAATGTCGGGAGGTGTCGGGGGTGCCCTGAGACCCACAGGATGCCGGGGACCACGAGGCATTGTTTTTCCTTTTAGGCATATTTGAGGTTAAAAAAAAATCTGAAGCAACAAACCGCAGGGCTGTGCTGCGGAGGCTGCCCTTGTGCCCTGGAGGCTGCCCTTGTGCAGCGTTCGCGATGCAGGAGGAGGGAGGTGCGGGCCTCTCTGTGTTTCGATTCTCTCTGCCAGTGAGAAATCTCAAAGCCAGAAAGTGAACTAGCAAGGACAGGCATCGCTGAAAGCGGCCGGAACACAGGGCCGCGTGAAGTCAGCTGACGCCCCACAGACACTGGCTCGTTCCACAGCGCCAAGGGAACGCGTAGACGCCCCCGAAAAGCACTCAGCAATCTCCAAAGAGATTTCCCTGGCAAGAAGCTGGACTCTGGGGACTCCGGGACCCGGATTCTGTGCTTTGTGAGACTCCCCGGCACCTGCTCAGGGCACTGTCGGGCTTTCCAGAGGATGGTGGAGTTTCTTGACGTGAGCTGGCAGGTTGGATGTCAGTGCCCAGCACAGTGCTGGAGGGCATCACTCAGCAGACCCTGTGCAGGGCCACGGGAGGGGAGCAGTGACACCGGGAGCATATGGGCTCTGAGAAGCGGCCTGCGGAGCCCCTGACTCCTCCTGTGAAGGAACCGGCCTGTGGGGGAAGGAAGAGACCCTATCTTGGGAAACAAGAAATCAGGAGAATCCTGGTGACCTTTATCCTATTGCTGTGGGTGCTGTTAGTGGGGCACACAGCAATTCCACTGTGGGAGGAAGACCTTGATAGCTGAGTCACCCAGAGCAAAGTCGTTGAGCGATGCTTCAGCTGATGTTTGATGTTCAAAACACAAGCAGAAGCACTGATCGGCGAGTTAATAGCATAAGAGACCAGAGCACACTGGAGTCTCAGACACGCAGCAGATACAGCACTTTCTCCTTAGGAAGTGACAGTGGCCCGGCCATGAGACATGCAGCAAAACAGCCGCTGTCACGAGGGCACATGGATTAGTCGCTTGCTGTGTGCTGAGACCTGGGCCATGCTGGCTCAGAGGCTCCCACGTGGTCCTCACAGCTGCTTGTGAAGCGTGCATGGAAATCCACAGCCTGGATGGGGAGACGGATTGAAGTGTGGGAAGCGCTTGCGCCGGCACTTGGTGTGTGGCAGGAATGTAGCCACTGCCAGCTTCATTACTTTTCAATTATTTTACTCTGTGACTTCGATTTTGACTTACACTGCAGTCTCAGATTAGCTCGAGAATGAAACTGTCCCTTGTACTCTCTTAAAACCTTTTAGTATAAAAAAAAAAAAGGAAAAAGAAAAAACCAAACACTAATTCAGGTTGTTTGCTTCAATCGCTGATTTAAACCGACTGAACTACATTTTAAAAGGTCCAGTCAGTTTCGAGAGGCAGCACCGTGGGGCATGTGGGAGGGTTGTCGGTGGCACATCTGTTCACTTATCCGTATTTTTAATTTTCAGCTTTTATTTTAGAATCTGGGAGTACATGTGCAGGCTTGTGACCTGGGTATACTGGTGGTGCTGAGGTTTGGGGTACACTTGTGACCTGGGCATACTGGTGATGCTGAGGTTTGGGGTACCGTCTTGCTTGCTCCCGTCTTGCAGGTAGTGAGCACGTCCCCCAGAGGGAGTTTCAGCCCTTTTCTCCCACCTCCCTCTCACATTCCCTCTCACATTCCCTCTTACGTGTCTGTTGTTCCCATCTCTATGGCTGTAAGTACCCGATGTCTGGTCCCCACTTCCATGTGAGCGCATGTGGTTCTCTGATGAGTGTAGTTCCCACTTCCGTGCGAGAGTGTGTGGCAGCGTGTGGCTCTCTGATGATGTCTGGTTCCTGCTTCCGTGTGAGAGTGTGTGGCAGCGTGTGGCTTTCTGCTTTTGCGTTAATTTGCTTAGGATGGTGGCCCCAAATTGTGTCCTTTGCAGCAACGTGGATGTATTTGTTGAAGAAAGAACACAGGCCCCTAAGCATCAAAGTGCAGTCATAGACCCTGAAGAACCTTGCCTGTCCTGGAGAGGCTCACAATCAGCTTGGGAGGCAGCTCTGCTAGGAGCTCACCACGATGCCTGTTTCACTGACTTGGAAGCCATTTCTCAGCTCAGGTCCACTGAAGAGCAGAGACGGTGCCGTTGAACCACAGCACGTGCTTTGGAATCACCTCAGATGATCTTGTATTTATTGAACAAACTCTCTCAGACTCGTTTATCAGCCTCACTCTCGCATCGGCATCTAAAAGGAGTTTTAGTGATCAATGGGTTAAAGAATCCTGACGCGCGTCACACTCGGAACCCCTCCACTGAGTGCCTCCACAGCACAATGCTGGTCCCCACGTGCTCTTGAGGCCACGGTGAGGTTGATTTCCACGTACTCTCCAGACCACCGCGGGGCTGGTCCCCACGTGCTCTCCAGGCCACCACGGGGCTGGTCCCCACGTGCTCTTGAGGCCACGGTGAGGTTGATTTCCACGTACTCTCCAGGCCACCGCGGGGCTGGTCCCCACGTGCTCTCCAGGCCACCGCGGGGCTGGTCCCCACGTGCTCTTGAGGCCACGGTGAGGTTGATTTCCACGTACTCTCCAGGCCACCGCGGGGCTGGTCCCCACGTGCTCTCCAGGCCACTGCAGGGTTGGCGGCACCACACTTCTCATGAGTGTTCCACTGCAGCCAACAAGATCATCCTCTGAGTCACTATTGGCCGCAGCTGACGCCCTTTCCGGAAGTTCTGCTGCAGCGCGTTCCTGGCCTCACAGGAGGCCCAGTGGAAAGTGCTTAAGTACAAACAAGGACTCATTCCCTCCCCAAGGCCTCCAAGGATGCACCTTGCTGCACTGCCAATTCAGGGTGGCGGGAGTTGCCTAGTCACTACCGTGCTGGCCCGTGCTGCGACCCCACTTCAGCTGGGGGAAGTGTGCACTCCAGAACCAAGGAAACACGGACAGGAAGGTCCCACTTCAGAACCAAGGAAACACGGACGGGAAGGCCCCGCCTCAGGACCCAGGAAACACGGACGGGAAGGCCCCGCCTCAGGACCCAGGAAACACGGACGGGAAGGCCCCGCCTCAGGACCCAGGAAACACGGACGGGAAGGTCCCACTTCAGAACCAAGGAAACACGGACGGGGAGGCCCCGCCTCAGGACCCAGGAAACACGGACGGGAAGGCCCCGCCTCAGGACCCAGGAAACACGGACGGGAAGGCCCCACCTCAGGACCCAGGAAACACGGACGGGAAGGCCCCACTTCGGGTGTAAACAAAGCACTGTGCCAGCACAGGGGACAGTTTGCATCCACTCAGTAGAACTAATTTTACTTTCTCAGGAATTTTGTGAGCCCATTATTCAGTACAGCCATTGTGAAACATTGAATGATAAAAACATGCACTTAAATAAACTATGTTAAGAGCAGAGGCGATCCATACTAAAGCTCACCATTTTATAACTGGTTTTCTACATTTTACTGTCATCGGCACCCTTGAGATTATTTCTGTCCTCCACGTCTGCATGGTGGGAACTCTTCCCCGCACGCCTGCAACTCTGTATCTGGTTGGTTCGGCCCCGCCATGCCTCATGTTGAAATTCGGTCCCCATGTGTGACTCTGCATCTGGTTGGTTCGGCCCCGCCATGCCTCATGTTGAAATTTGGTCCCCATGTTGGAGGTGCAGCCTGGTGGGAGGGCTTTGGATGTGGGGGAGGGACAGATGGGGCGGGGCAGATCCCTCGTGAATGGATTCATGCCCTCCCAGGGTGGAGGTGAGCGACTTCTCGCTCTCTTAACTCCTGTGAGAGCTGATTGTTAACAAGAGCCTGGCCCTCCCTCCGCCCTCTCCTGCTTCCTCTCTCCCCATGTGAGCTCTGCACACTGCATGGCTCCCTTCACCTTCCACTGCAAGTGGAAGCAGCCTGGGGCATCCTCAGATGCAGACACCTGTGCCATGCTTCTTGTGCAGCCTGCAGGACTGTGAGCCAAATAAACCTCTTTTCCTTGTAAATTGCCCAGCTTTGGGTGTTCCTTTACAGCAACACAAATGGACTAAGACAGTATCTCTCCCCATTCCCTTTAGTAGTGTCACATGAGCACTAAAGTCAACTGTGATGGGAGCATTTACACAGAGCAGAAATTACCCAGTGCCATAATTTACAATTCTGTTATGCAGGGGACAGGCAGCCTGCACACCATGAACTGTGAGACACAGAGGGCCGTGCTGAGGATGTTGAGGGAGGGGGTGCCCCTGAGCACATGTAGGGCCTGAGCTTCCTGGGAGGAGGACTGCGTTTTCGTCAGACTGAGGAGCTCAGAGCATCCTGGCAGGGGACGGAGAATGCCTGAAATGTGCTGAAAAGCCCAATATCTGGGCAAGGAGTGCCACCTGGACCTCAGGGCCAGCAAGGCAAGTTCTCCATGCCTGCAGGGGACACCATTGAAAGGCTTTGAAGGGCCACCGAAGTGTCTGGATTTGGAGCCAGAGGTCTGGATGTTGAGGTCAAGGATGGACAGACACCCTTAGACTCACTGCTCGTGACACCCTGGGCACAGTGTGGAGAATGGACTAGAGCCAGACAACCTCTTGGCAACCACAGTCTGCAGGTCAAGTCAGGCCCACTGTCTGCTGTTGTAAATAAAGGTTTGTTGGAACACAGCCATGACCATCCACTTAGGCGTGGTCTGCAGCTACCTCCACGCTGCAAGGCAGGGCTGAGTAGCTGCGACAGAGCCGTGGGCCTGCCGAGCCTGACCCAGTTGTTACCTGCCCTTCACAGGAAAAGGGCGCTCCCCGGCAGATTGGATTTTTCTCATTACTATGGGCTGGGGCTGCCGTTTTCATTCCTGACCCTGACGTCGGTGACCGTTCTGCAGCAGTGACCAGGGTGGTTCTAAGGTTGCATTTGTACTCACTTTCTGTTCCTCAGCCTGCTTAAAAGAGTCCACTATTACCCTCCTGAGAGAAGCTTGCCAATCTGTCAGATGTCTCCTCTGTTTGCGGGAGGACAGCAGCACCGATGGCCTTATAGCTCTCTTGCCACCCAAGGCTTACATTTGTGTCCTCCCCTCCCCTGGGGCTCTACCCCATCATAAAGTATTAAAGGAGTTTTGCTTTAGCCCAGACTGTTTTCTGTCTGTCTTGTTCTTTCAGCGCAGTAGGTAATTAGTTATATGTAGAAAATAGTATGCATTTGCTCAAAGGGAAAAACTTTCCATAAGACAATGGAGAGGCCCCAACAGCAGGGAGGGCAGGCTGTAACAAGATCTCATCGCGTCCCTCTCCGAAAGGAATAATTTCATTACCCCAGATTAACACAGGGGCGTTACAATAAGGGGTGAGAGTAATTGATATTTTCCTGCTATCTCATCCTGTATTAATCACAATTGCAAGGCACTCTTCATTCATAGGGTTTGCAGTGAAATTCCATTTTTTTCTGGTTTTCATCTCCAAAGTGACAAGGGCTTTATGCAAACGCATATTTCCACAGAGTCGTAAGCCAAGGTCAATTGCCTTGTGACACCCGTCCTCTCTGTGAAGTGGGGCAGGTGGGTTTGCTGTGTTGGTGCTAGGATTACTGGGGTTTCATTTCCATCTGCTAATTGTTTCCAGAGCTCATTTCCCTTGGTTTGCCATCGAGTGCAATTCATTCTCTGAAAGTCTTCCTCATTCTACATCAGGAGAAAACCAGGGTGAGGCTTTTATTGGAGCGAAATTATTATAGGATGTTCCTGTCAGGGCATGAACAAGAGGCTGCAAAATAGCTGGCGGTGCTGATGGCAGAAATACACACATTCAGCTTTGCCTTCTACGGAGTCTTTTATCAACACCTAATGCTGGTTAATGAAACATATTTCCCAGTAATTATACAGCTAGAAACGATTACGTAATTTTAAAATAAGACGTTGCAGTTTGCAGAATGTCTCTACATATTTCTCATCAGTGATTCATAGCAGTCCTGGGGACCCGGGTGGGACACCCCTTTCTAGATGAAACCAAAAGCGCACAGTTGTGCCGGCCCGAGGTGGACGCACACTGGGTCAGTGGGAAAATGGGGCCTCGTGCAGGTTCTAATTCTGTGCCTGTTCATGACCCTTCCATTAAGGTAGGCGGGTCAAGCAGTCATGTAATTGAAATTTTCAATGGAGGAAAATACTCAGAGGTGCCCGGAGACTGAGGACCTCTCCAACCTGACTCTTGTGCTTTCTGATTTTTCCTAACAGTTGACAACAAAGACAAACTGGAGGAAACCTCTGGACTGAAAATTCTTCAAACCGGAGTCGGGTCGGTGAGTAACAGAAGGGGTGCCGTCTGCTCTGCGATCTGCAGTGCTGTCTGGGTGCTGGCGAACACCGTGAGAACAGAGGCTGGACCTGCAGGTTAATTCAGCCAAGGTCCTGTTTTCCTGGGAGGACCAGTGGGCTGCAGCAGGAGCATCCTCTGCGGGTGGGAAACGGTGGCGAAACGTGCCTGGCGAGTTCAATGATGTCTTAGGGCCTTTGAAGTCCTGATTTAGTATCCCCACAAGAAAAAGCATTCATGGCTAAGAAGAACGGAGAAGCCTTCAGAAAATAGGTGCTTCCTTCCTTCTTCAGCTGTTTTGTAGTTGCCAAGTGTGTGAAAATGAATATGGGCTAGAGGGATTACTCTTTCCTCCTGGGACTCAGTGGGACATACTTGTATCTTCAATATCGAAGGACGCACATTTGGGAGAGGCAATATAAAACAGGAAATGCTTCCATAATATCACTGAAAATCTATCAAGCCCCTGTGTGTGCAAACCTTACCATGCTGGTATCAGAGAGGCAATGCTTCCATAATATCGCTGAAAATCTGTCAAGCCCCTGTGTGTCCAAACCTTACCATGCTGGTATCAGAGAGGCGCTCGGCCAGCCTCCTCCAGCAGCTGGAGCCGCAGGCGCCTCCCCGCACCGCGCCGATGGCCGCTGTCCCCTGACATGACAACTTAATGAACTGCACACAGAGCGCGGACGCGCCTCCTCTGAGGAATGGCGTGTGGCCACTCGTCAGTCAGTGTGGACCGAAGCCAATCTGCGCTCCCGCGTTCGAGATTTCGGGTTTCACAGCGCTCGCCATTAGAGATAATTAACTGTGAAGGAGCGCTTATTTATGAGTGTGCTCGCTGCACAGCAGAGCCGCCCTCTGCGGAGCCACTTAAAGACAAGCTGCTTCTGTGGGGAAATCTCGTCCTCACCAGGCCCCAGACTCGGGCTCTTGAAATAAGAAGCTGCTTAATTGGCCGCTCTTCCCAAACAGAGGTTCTTGCGCTTCCCATGCAGAGCCTGCTTAAGAATAGCCTGAAGGGCTTTGAAAATGGCTGCGTCTGGGTTAAATGACGGGCAGGGTGTGGGAGAGGAGAGCAGCCGGCGACTGATGGAAACTGGCGTGCACGTCCCGGACAGGTGCTCCTGTTCTTGGTGTTTCTCGATGCCTTCCTGGCTCGTGCCGGATGAATGAGGTGTTGGGCAGCTGGTGATGCCCTGGTCTTTCCCGGGAGCTTGCTGTCTCTTTAGCACCCAGTGAAGGGTGAGAAAGAAGCCAAGAGTCTTGGGGGCTGCCGAGAGCCACCTGCATCCCACGGAAGGTGCAGTGACCGATGCGGAGGGGCCAAGTAGTTGCAAGGTGGAGTCAGCCGGGGGTGGCTGTGACCGGGCCGTGAGTCTCCTGCATGTGGAAGATGTGATGTCGGAGGTGCGTCTCCTGCGTGTACAAGGAGCTGTGGTGTCCTCCTGTCTTTCCTCTCCCTTCCGAGCTCATCACGTGGGGTGGTGGTTGGTGCTAAGTCATTCCTAGAGGGATAATGGTGTCCAGGAATTTGGGACAAATCTAGATGGACTCAGGTTAGAGCCATCTCTGTAACCTGGTCAGAGAACGCGTCGAGGCTGGGACCCTCTGCTGTACTGTGGAATATTTAGGCCCCGTGAGAAGCGGCTGTGGTGGGTGGGGAGGTGGGTCCTGTGGACATGAGGGAGGCTCTGCCCTGAGAGGGCTGGAGGGGCAAGGGTGGGGGACGGGGAATGGGAGACTCTGGGGTTCATCTGGGAGGTGACAAGTGTGGTGCCTGGTGTCCAGACACACCTTCCTCATTGAAACCTGGACTCCGGCCACTCCAGAAAAGAGGCAGGACATGGTGACAGGTGGAGCCACTGACTGGGCAGCTCCAGCCCAAGTGGCTTCTGCCATGTGCCTTGCCACAGGTTGCCTCTTAAGCATGGAAGGTCAGATGCTGTTGTCTACGCACACGTGAGCCTGGGGGACAGCACCTCCCCGGCTGCCCACTCACAACGGAGCTCCTTCCCACGCACACGTGAGCCTGGGGGACAGCACCTCCCCGGCTGCCCACTCACAACGGAGCTCCTTCCCACGCACACGTGAGCATGGGGGACAGCACCTCCCCGGCTGCCCACTCACAACGGAGCTCCTTCCCACGCGCACCTGAGCCTGGAGGACAGCACCTCCCTGGCTCCCCACTCACAACGGAGCTCCTTCCCACACGCACCTGAGCCTGGAGGACAGCACCTCCATGGCCACCCTTTCAGGACAGAGCTGCTCTTCCCACGCTGGAGGAGCCACAGGGCCTGGTCGCTGTGGCTTCAGCCTCCCAGCTCCTCCTGTCCTCTGCTGGGCACTTGTAATGTCCAGGCACTCCCTGCTTGGATCAGGGGATCTGGGTTTCATCTTCCCAGCTCCTCCTGTCCTCTGCTGGGCACCTGTGATGTCCAGGCACTCCCTGCTTGGATTGGGGGATCTGGGTTTCATCTTCCCAGCTCCTCCTGTCCTCCGCTGGGCACCTGTGATGTCCAGGCACTCCCTGCTTGGATTGGGGGATCTGGGTTTCATCTTCCCAGCTCCTCCCGTCCTCCCCTGGGCACCTGTGATGTCCAGGCACTCCCTGCTTGGATCGGGGGGTCTGGGTTTTGTGCTATACTTGGTGCTCCCTTTCACTCAGGCCCCTTCTTGACTCTGCAGAGCTACCCCTCGCCATCTCTTTCACGCGGGCCTCCTGCAGTCTCTGTGCTCACCCTGTGACTCTGCTTCCTGTGTTGTCAAATGGGGGTCATCCCAGGACCCGCACCACTGGGTCGTGTGCAGGTTTCTGGGGTGGCAGAGTGCGGATGAGTGGGCACGCGTAAACATTCACTCTCATTCCCATCACGGTCCTGACGCCTCCACAGCATTTGATTAGGCAGGGTTGGACCTTCTTGTTCCATCCACCCTGTCTCAGCACCCTCTGTCGCGCCTTCACCTCTCCCTCCCTCGATGCTACACGACAGATTATTTCCTGAAATTGTCTCCCACGTTCCTTCCTCCTCTGTCTAATCTGCTGTAAAACTCAAATGCTGGGTACTTTTCTCTTGGTTACTGTATTTTTCACTTAGAAAAAAATTTTTATTTAGTAATTTATCAAATCTGTTATTTTGCCTTCTACTTTGATTATGTGTTTGATATCTTCTTTTATCTTTTCAATCATTTTAAACCTACTTATTTTATGGTCTCGTCCAGATCCTCTGGCTTATTTTATGGTCTCGTCCAGATCCTCTGGCTTATTTTATGGTCTCGTTCAGACCCTCTGGCTTATTTTATTGACTCGTTCAGACCCTCTGGCTTATTTTATGGTCTCGTCCAGATCCTCTGGCTTATTTTATGGTCTCGTCCAGATCCTCTGGCTTATTTTATGGTCTCGTCCAGACCCTCTGGCTTATTTTATGGTTTCGTCCAGATCCTCTGGCTTATTTTATGGTCTCGTCCAGATCCTCTGGCTTATTTTATGGTCTTGTTCAGACCCTCTGGCTTATTTTATGGTCTCGTTCAGACCCTCTGGCCGTTTCCTAGTCTTCGCTTTCTACAGCTCCTGCTCATCACATCTGCTGACCCCCTCCTGTGGGGGAGGGGTCCTCTTTTGTGGTTGATGAAGTCTTTTTTTAGAATTGTGAGCTTACCCTCAGCAGGGATTGGTGATACTGAAGTGTGAATTTCTATGTGAGAGTTTCTGGATAAGAAGTTCTGCCCTCAGTGTCCCAGCCGATCCACTTTCCTGTCAATTGCCCACCTGGGAGTTTCTGCTTCATTCAATAAAGTGTGGACCGTGCTCTGGCACATGCACAGATCTGGGGTTCAGCCCCCTCCCCACTTCCCCAGCTGGTAGGTGGTCTGTTCCTGGGCTTCAATCTTGAGGGAGGCAGGTCCTCAAGGTCCTGGGCTTCATGTGGAGTCCCCATCTCCATCCACCCCAAGGCCACATGGGCTGTCCTCGTGTGACTATAGGAACTCACACCCCAGCTCTCAGCTTCCACAGGAACTCACACCCCAGCTCTCAGCTTCCACAGGAACTCACACCCCAGCTCTCAGCTTCCACAGGAACTCACACCCCAGCTCTCAGCTTCCACAGGAACTCACACCCCAGCTCTCAGCTTCCACAGGAACTCACACCCCAGCTCTCAGCGTCCACAGGAACTCACACCCCAGCTCTCAGCGTCCACAGGAACTCACACCCCAGCTCTCAGCTTCCACAGGAACTCACACCCCAGCTCTCAGCTTCCACAGGAACTCACACCCCAGCTCTCAGCTTCCACAGGAACTCACACCCCAGCTCTCAGCTTCCACACACTTGGATCCACAGAAAGATGCCAAACGTCCAGGAGCCACTTCAGCAGCAGCTCCCAGTCACGCCCGGTTTTGATTGCTCCTCTCAGTTTTGGAGTCTGGAGATCCACTTTCTTCCTGTGCTCTCGGCTTTGTGCCCCTCAGAGTTGATGCCATGCGTCATGCGGGATTTCGATGTGCGTGTGCGAGGGTCCCTGCTCAGCCTCAGTTTAGTGAGCTGTTCGTTCATTCATTCCTAGGTATTTATATGCGTCAGGCAGGTTTTAAGAACTGAAACTACAGCAGTGACTAAAACAGACAAACCCTTCCATCACGAGCTCCCATTCCAGGTGAAGCTGGAGGTGTATCGAGGAATAAGGCCCATTGTTTCCTCTGAAGGCAGAACCCAGCCGTCCCCTGCATTGCTTTCTGCTCTCACTGGGCGCGACGGCCATCTCTGTTCCCTTCAAGTCGACCAGCTCCTCCTCCGTGAGTTCTACAGATTGGACTCTCCAGGGCCTGGCTCCCTCCTCCTTTCTGCCGGTGCTGTCTCCTGTGGGGAACTCACCTGGGCCCTGGCTTTTTATGTTATCTGTTCGATGATGATCCCAAGCCTACGTCTCCAGCCCTGACCCATTCACCGAGCAACAGGTGTGTATGGCCACAGGTGTCCTCCTTTTCTCTCCTGGGAGATCTGTAGAGGAGCCTCACACTTAAAGTGGGCCACGCAGGGCTCTTGATCTTCCTGCCGCAGCCTGTTTCTCCCGTCAGGTTTTCTTATCTCTTAATGGAAATGGCATCACTGCTCCTTGTGAAGCTCTGTCTAGGAAGTAGATTGATTCAATGCATGGAAATCTGAATTGCTGCTCAGATTATCTGTGAAGTGGACTATTTAACTCTGGAAAGAATTGGCCTCTGCCCACTCCTGATGCCCACCCATCTCATATGTGGGAAGGAAGGTTCTCCCTAGACTGCGGGGGACCGTGGGGGCTGAGGGCAGAGGCAGGAGCTCACCTGCACAGCACCACACCTCTGCTTCCATCCACATCCAACCTGTGTCCTCTCTGGCCCCTGAGCGAGCAGAGGATGGACCTTGCCATTCCCAGGGGCAGAGGCTCCGTCATCCCTGGGACAGAAAATTACCAAACGCTAGAGTGTTTATTTCACCCACTGGTTACGATCTGGCCACAAGGAGCTCATTCACCCTGACCTGCCTGTCTTCCTGGCCTTCTCCAGACATTTCTTTGTTCTCGTTCCACCAAATGCTGGAGACCAGCTCCTGGAGCATTATCCTTCTCCACGTGGCCATTTTACATTTCAAAAGATGGTTCTTCTCGAGCTCTTGACCCCACGGACATCGTGCCCAGAGGGCCCTCAAGCCCAGCATCTGTGTCTCCTGTTGCCCCAAGTGAGTGCAGAAAGCAATGCAGGTGACGGCTGGGTTCTGCCTTCAGAGGAAACAATGGGCCTTATTCCTGGATGCATCTCCAGCTTCACCTGGAATGGGAGCTCTGTGATGGAAGGGTTTGTCTGTTTTATTCACTGCTGTAGTTTCGGGAGGTTTATATATTTGGAGTAGATTTGCAGTGGTGAAAATGGGAGAAAGGGGTACAAGTTGATAAATTATTTAACAGCTAATGATTTTTTTTTCTAATTTTAATTGCCTTATTCAGTATTAAGCCTGAATTTGACGATTCTGATTTTTAATGTATTTAAAATTCTTCTAATCCCTGACTCTGGAATATAAAGCAGAGTTTGATTACAGAAATCTAATAGCATTTACTAAATCTCTCCCCTGCGCTTGCGTTTAATGCAAGTGATGACAGATAGTGGAATTAAAACCTTTTAAGCCAAATGGAAATATCTCAAAACAAAATTTAAAGGAAATGAACAGATTACAGTGCAGATACACACCCCTCATAGATGGGTGGCATTTTGATGTATTTCAAAATCTAATTTCTGATATCTTGAAAAGTATTTGCATTTTATTCAAATTAATAAAGCCATGTTTTTTTCCAAAGGAAAGTGATAATCACCAAAAAGCAAAACTCAAAAGTTTGGAAGAAAAATAATTTGGATAAAGGCAGATCCATGGCTCCAACCTTCTCAGTTGTGTCCAGAGTTAGGGGTGCGTTCTAGCTTCTTAGCATCATGATAGAGCAGAGAGGTCCCCTGCCCAGCGTTCTAGCTTCTAAGCATCGTGATAGACACAGAGGTCCCCTGCCCAGCGTTCTAGCTTCTAAGCGTCGTGATAGACACAGAGGTCCCCTGCCCAGCGTTCTAGCTTCTAAGCGTCGTGATAGACACAGAGGTGCCCTGCCCAGCATGTCAGTGAGAAGTGGCCGACCCTGAGTCTCAGCAGAGCCCCTGCAGGCTCAGGAGCGTGAACAAGAGGAATCTGAGAAGAAGCTGAGGGGAAGAGCTGCTCAGACTGGGGGCTGTCTGGGTGGCAAAGAGCCCCCCATCTCTGCTGAGGGAGCCTTCTCTCTGTCCAGTGTGGGATGAGGTCAGAGGTCTTCAGATGGTTATTCAAGGAGCCCTGGGGGCTCCAAGGCAGTTGGGTGTGAATCCCTGCTCAGCTCACGCTACCCTCACACTCCGGCTCAGCAAGGTCCAGGCTTCTGTTGCCTGCTGCTCACTGGGCTTCTGGGTGAGACTTTGTTCCAAGAAAGGATTCTGTAGCCAAGAATATGTGGATCCCAAAAGTCCCTTAAAAGTCTATGAACCTATGGTCATGCATCCACCCCATGAAAAATGTGAATTTGCCATGATATGTGTTACCTGGGATGGGGGGTGGGGGTGTGAGAATCCACCCCATGAATAATGTGAATTTGCCGTGTGATGTGTGTGTTACCTGGGATGGGGGGTGGGGGGCTGTGGGAATCCGCCCCATGAATAATGTGAATTTGCTGTGTGATGTTTGTTACCTGGGGTGGGGGGCGGGGGGTGTGGGGATGCTCAGCACTTGTCACAGGGAGCAAGCAGTGGGCAGAACTGAGATGGGTGACGGATGTGTTCGAAACCAGCTTCATTTCCCCCTGACTTCCACCCTGTCATTTCCTGTCTGTGCAAAGAGGTTTGCTACTGTACACAGCTCCTACCCGGTTGCTTGGGGATTACCAAGAGGAGCCTGGACATTGAATGCAGACTTTGGCCAAATCAATAGCAGGAACATATCAGCTGTGATGGCTCGACATGGCCATGCACCTTCTCCCTGGGGTCTTGTCAAGATGCAGATTTCCTGCCCGCCTCACCAGATGCCTGGTTCTGCACACCCAGGTGTGACCCAGGAGAGGACGGGACAGAGGGGGGCCTTTGCCCACAGGTGAAGAGAGCCGGAGTAAGGAGGTGGGGAGGTGGGGAGGTGGGGAGGAGCTGCCCCTGCTTGTCAGGGTGACAGCTGTTGTTGCTCTGCGGTGCCCAGCAGCAGGACCGTGCCTTTGTCAGGCACATTAAATGTTTCAGGTGGATCCAGGTGGATGGATGAGGCTCTTGGCTGGAAGAAATGCTATTTGGGAAATGCCAACAGGTGAGGTGGAGAGCTGGCAAGCAGACCACTTGCAAAGGGCTCTCCAGCCAAAATGATTTGTGTGAGACCGGAGGCCCTGTGGTGCTGGGGGCAGGTGAAATGTCAGAGCTACAGTGGGGTGAGAAATCCGTAGATGTTCCAATCACATCCTAAGTCTAAAGTCCTATTATTTTGTTGTTGTTGTTTGAGACACAGTCTCGCTCTGTCGCCCAGGCTGGAGTGCAGTGGCGCAATCTCAGCTCACTGCAAGCTCTGCCTCCCAGGTTCACGCCATTCTCCTGCCTCAGCCTCCCGAGTAGCTGGGACTACAGGCCTCTGCCACCATGTTCAGCTAATTTTTCTGTATTTTTAGTAGAGACGGGGTTTCACCGTGTTAGCCAGGATGGTTTTGATGTCCTGACCTCATGATCCGCCTGCCTTGGCCTCCCAAAGTGCTGGGATTACAAGCCTGAGCCACCGTGCCCAGCCTGAAGTCTTATTTTTAAGATTAGTACTGAAGGTTGCTTGAGAACAACAGTTTTGGTTTTATAAATAAAGACCAAATGTGATAAAACTCATATACGTACACTCCATGGTAGGCAGGGTGAATGAGTCTAACTCTTTAGAAGGCAGGACAGCAGTGGTCATCTGCAAACCAACAAACAAAAACTCTTCCCCTTTGGCTCAGTAATCAAACTCCGAGAAATGTATCCTAAGAAGACACTCCATCGAGCAAGGAAATCAGAAAAACAAAACCTTCACCAAAAAAAAAAAACTGACTTAAAATATAAAACTATAGCAAGGTAACTCATCATTAACAATCAAATAAATCAAATTCTGTGATTTCATTTAAAATTTTGAGAACTCTAAACTTAAAGGCAGCTGTGTAAACATGTGTGTGCACAGAGATGTTAGAAGCCCATGTACGTAACAGGTGAATAAGAGAGCAGCTCTTATGGGGTTGATGGTGGCAGCAGAAGAATGACGAGGCTCGTAATTGGGAAAGGAGAGCTTTATTCCTTATAAAGAGCTGCATCCTGCAGGACAGCCAACCTGACCAGCTGGGAAGCGTAGCCTCCGGCCAGAAGCCAGAAACAGGCACTTCTAGTGAGAGGCAAAGGGAACAGGAATTTATGCTGAGTGGGTGGCTAAGTATACATATTCAGCAGGTTATGGGAGGAGCCGTGAATATTTGTGAAGGGGAGACACGGGCATGCATGGTCAGCTAATGTTTGCAAAATGCATCCCATGTTCACTGGGGCATGGAGACTTAACATGTAAACAGATTACAGTTAGGCATTCTGCATCAAAAGGTGAAGCTGAGGACATGAAGGCCCTCCCTGTGCAGCCTCCACAGACTAGCCAGAGGCACTCCGTGAATGGGGTCTCTTATGAGGAGGGAATGCTGATTGGTTGTTGGGTCGAAACCATAAAAGGAAGAGCAGTTTCAGGCACTTGGTGGATATCAGGAATGGAGTCTTTTAAAAGGGCTGGTTTCTGTTCAGCCCTCAGAGAAGGAAGCCTGGTGGTGATTAGTTGAGAGGGGGGCGGTAACCAGGCGGGTCTGAACCCAGGGAAGGAAGCCTGGTGATGATTAATGATGGGGGCGGGTAACCAGGCGGGTCTGACCTTCATCCTGTCACGGTCCCAACTCAGTTTTAAGGTTTCTCTGGGGTCCTCTTGGTCAAGAGTAGGTCATTCCGTCAGTTGGGGCTTTGGACTTTATTTTTCTCAGTGGAATTGCAAGTGAGTTTTTTCCTTTGTCCAAAAGTTTTTATATTATTTCTGACTTCTTATTTTGAAACCATTATAGATTCACAGGGAATTGCAAAGTTATAACAAAGAAGTCTCATGTATCCCTTACCCAGTGAGGTTTTCCCCTGGTGGTTACGTCTGGGTAATTATAAAAGCCAATTATGGCAAAACCAGGAGATTGATATTGGAACAATGTGTGTGTCTAGTTCTATCTCATTTTACCTTTAGTACCATTTTTTACAACCTAAATAAAGAGAAAATATGTAACCAAAGGAAAGGCGTTTACACACACATTAGCAAATGTGGGGACCTGAGGGGAGCAGCCACCATCTGGGACATGGCGGCCCCCGTCACCCATTGACCGTGGTTGCTGTGGGAAACGCTCACAGTAACGAAAGTCATCAGACATCCGTGAAGATTCTGCGTGGCATGGTGCTGCGCGTAGGCCAGTACATGACAAAGGTTTAAAATCACTGCTGGCCTTTAGATGAGGGCCTGTGTTTGGGGATTCAAGAGAAGGGGCATTGGATGTTGGGGGGTGGGGGGGCGCAGGATGGGCTGGTGGGGCAGAGAGCACGGCCACACGTTCCTGACGGGGCCCCTGGAGCAGGAGCTTGGAGGAGCAGCTCCCAGGAGGAAGAGAAGCTCACGTGGTCAGAGGTAGGTTTGTCAGAATGGAGCGAAAGCGGTGGGTTCAGCAGTATCTGAAGGAAGAGATCACAGCTCCTGAGGCTCTGGACAGTGGATCTAAAAAGCCTGAGGTGTCAGAGTTCACGGGGTTCCTTGGGTAAGGTGACTGAGCTGAGCTTGCGAAGGTAACAGTGCGTTTGATGGTAATGCTGGGTCACACCAAGGATAGAAGCCTGGGGGGACCACTGAACCCTACATCTCATGCTACGGCTTGTCCCTAGTGCCGGCTCAGCCTAAAGAACCAGGCTGCAGTGACTGGGGTGTAACACTCCAGCAATCTCAGACCGTCCGTGAGCCCAAGAAAAACCAGGGTCTGTCTCTCCAGAAACATTCACTCACACCCCCCAAGACAGCGTGCGTTTCAGGGAGCCTGTGGCATCTCACCCCAGAAGCCCAAGAGCACATGGGAAGCTCTGCCAAGGGTGGGAGGCAGGGGGCGGTGGTGCCTGTGTGGGCTCTTGCCCACTCAGTGCATGTGGTGGGCTCTGGCAGTACTGGGGGGAGTGGGTATGGTGGAGAGCAGGTACTGGGGGGAGCAAATACTGGGTGGAGCAGGTATTGGGGAAGCGGGTACTGGGTGAAGCGGGTACTGGGGGAGTGGGTACTTGGGGAAGCGAGTACTGGGGGAGCAGGTACTGGGGGAGCAGGCACTGGGGGAGTGGGTATGGTGGGGAGTGGGTACTGGGGGGAGTAGGTAATGGAGCAGTTACTGGGGGAGCGGGTACTGGGGGAAGTGGGTACTGGGGGAGTGGGTACTGGGGAGTGGGTATGGGGGTTGGGTACTGGGGGAAGCATGTACTGGGAGAGTGGGTAATGGAGTGGGCACTGGGGGACCATGTACTGGGAGCAGGTACTGGGGGAGCGGGTACTGGGGGAAGCGGGTACTGGGGGGAGTGGGTACTGACGAGTGGGTACTGGCAGCAGCAGGTAATGGGGGGAGCGGGTACTGGAGGAAGTGGGTACTGGGGGAGTGGGTACTGGGGGAAGTGGGTACTGGGGGGAGTGGGCATCTTTTGTCATTTCCTGCACTGTCACTCTATTTTATTCTAATATGCATTAGTTGACAGATGGTTTTCTCCTAAATGCAAAAGTGCCTCAGTCCTAAGAAAAGCCTGTTTACTGGTAAATATTCCTAATTTGCGTCTGAAAGGGAAATCTGCATGAAATTGCATTAAAATATTTGCATCAGCCCAGCCCAGGCAGCTCTGCATTCAGCCCATCTGAGGACCCCAGATAAGCCTTTGGTTGGTGGGAGGTCAGAGGTCAGGAGCAGCCCCTTCTCTGGTTTGGCTCTGTGGTGAGGACCTCAAATGCCCCAGGACAGGCCTGTCATGGGTGGGCTCAGCTGATGAGGACTTCGATGGCCCCAGGACAGGCCCGCTGTGGGCTTGGCTGTGTGACAAGGACCTCGAAGGCCCCAGGACAGGCCCGTCATGGGTGGGCTCAGCTGACGAGGACCTCGATGGCCCCAGGACTGGCCCACTGTGGGTTTGGATCTGTGACAAGGACCTCGATGGCCCAGACAGCCCCACCGTGGTGGGCTTGGCTCTGTGACGAAGACCTCGATGGCCCCAGGATAGACCCGCTGTGGGTTTGTCTCTGTGACAAGGACTTCAGTGGCCCTGGGGCAGCCCCACTGTGGTGGGCTCAGCTGCACCCCATCAGCCTGCTTGCTGCTTACTGCTCTTCTCACTCTTTTTCTATTTCTCAAAAGTGAAGAAAAACACAAAAATGTATTTTCGATATAATTAACTGCACTTGACGTATTGACAAATAGGAGTTCATCATGAAACAACATCTTTTCCTCCTGGAATTGTGAATGGCACACAGGTTTCCACGTTGCGCTGGCTCACGGATGCCTTCTCAATACTTTCCTGTGACTTAAAGGCAGGAGAGGTGCTGTGTGATGTGGCTGTTGCTATAGCAACACATTCAATTTTTATTCAATATCAGAGTAAATAGTCACATAAGATGAAATAAGTCATGTCTGCCTGTGGCAACGGCAGTCCCTGCTTCTCGACATGCTTCCCTCCCTCCCTGTGCCCTTTTCTAACATTTTCAGCTGCATTTTTATAAAAATATGCATAATATAGATTTCAGTCGCAGGGACACGGCTTATTGTCTGAGGTGGGGACTTGGTGATGTCTCCCGCTGAAGAAACGGAGGCCCGCCTTGTGCCTGGGTCTTAGTGGAAGGCAAGATTGTCCCTGCAGGTTCCCTAGGGAGCCTGGCTCACGTGGCACCAAAGTTCATTTTTATTTAAACAACTGAACTCTAGGGATGTTCATAAGGTCCCTCAGTGTGTAATAATCCAGAAACCCCTTTCAGTGGGTCAACCCATCAGACTTGGAGTTGCTTAAAGAGATGAAGAAAATTAACAGGATCCTGCACCCTGAAAGCTCCTGCTGCAGCTTTTTCAGAACGGCAGCAGCACAGTGGCAGCAACAGTTGTGATGCTCGCCCCCTCCCGGGGTGTGTTCCACACTTCACATGCATGTCATCTCCCTTGTCCCCAGGAGGCAACATTTCACAGAGGGGAGACTGAGGCAGGAGAAGTGACATGGCAGAACCGGCAGCCGGTGCCAGCACCAGGCAGCCTGACTCAGGCCAGGTCGCACTCCCTACACTGAGCCCCACATCAAATTAAGTTCCTTTTCTCATGGAGATTCCTGAAAGCTGAAATGTCCTTAGCTACATCTATAGCACATTCGCACCTGGTATACTCCATGAATATGAAACTTTTACCTGGCAGAGTTCATGAGATACAGGTGGGAAACCCTAATTTTCAACCCTGGAATTGTCCAGCTAGGGACATGGACGCTGATGAGCAGAGCCCAGAGGTGTGTCTGTCAGGGGAAACTCTCCTGTTGGGGCCAGCAGGAGGAACTTGGCTTGTTTCCAGCGTCAGGCGGGTGCATCTGCATCCCCTTCAGGGACCCTCCTTCTGAAAGCCCCATGCCCTTCTGCTCAGGTGCCTTTCTCTGCCCAGGTGGGCATCAGGTGCCCTGGAGAGGCTAGGCCTGGGTGGCTGCCAGGATGCATTGTGTCCAATGCCCCCAGCCCAGGCCCACCTGGGCACTGTGGAGTGGAGGAACGTGCTGCAGGTGTAAGGGCAGCCTTGCTCCCGAGACAGTGAACATGGAGCCAAGCCCACCCTGGTGGGGGCTGTCGTTCCAGCCTTGAGACCGCCCTGGCATCACATTTTCCATAATCACTTATCAGGGCAGCCACTGAGCATCCAGGCCAACTCAGGTACCCCTTTTGCTTGAGCCAGTGGCCTCAAGCTACTACTCTGTGTGGGGAAGAAAAAGTAGTGTCTCTGTTCTTCTGAGTTCCTACGAGGGGTGGACTCCTGTAACAAAAAACCGATTCACAAGAGATAAACAAGCCGAAGTGGATTCACATGTGCACCTCCTGCATCCATGAGCCATACCCAGAGAAACGGGTCAATCACAAAGAGGTGTGTAGACTCAGGCTTCAGCACCATCATCTGCTGAGACAGAGCAGGAGGAGCAATGAGGAGGTGATAGGGTTTGGCTGTGTCCCCACCCAAATCTCATCTTGAATTGTCACTCCCACAATTGCCACATGTCGTGAGAGGGAACTGGTGGGAGGTCATTGAATCATGGGGGCTGGTCTTTCCCATGCTGTTCTCGTGACAGTCAATGAGTCTCATGAGATCTGATGGTTTATAAAGGGCAGTTTCCCTGCACATGCTCTCTCTTGTCTGCCACCCTGTGAGATGTGCCTCTGACCTTGTGAGGCCTTGTGATTGTGAGGCCTCCCCAAAACCACGTGGAACTGTGAGTCCATTAAACCTCTTTCTTTCATAAATTGCCCAGTCTCCCGTATGTATTTATCAGCAGCATGAGAACAGATTAACACAGGAGGGGACCAGAGAAGCCGGTCAGCAAGGGCAAGGCCTGTCATGCACCCTCAGTCGAGCCCTCTGCATTGATGGGGTTTCCAGTGACGAGAGCCGTCCTCTTCCAGGTGCAGAGAGGAGCCACCCTTACAAATGGAGGACTCCTTTATAAACATAGATCTCTCTTATAGAAGAGAATCAACTTGTTTTCAGAGCTTCTCCTATATCTTCAGTTTCTCAAAATAATCCTTATGCCAAAAAGGCATACATTTATTAGGATGGTGTGTTCTGGTCTCTGACAGTCATTTTGGGGTGCTATGTTCTGGTCTCTGACAGTCATTTTTGGATGGTATGTTCTGGTCTCTGACAGTCATTTTGGGGTGGTATGTTCTGTTCTCTGACAGTCATTTTGGGGTGGCATGTTCTGGTCTCTGACAGGCATTTTGGGGTGGTATGTTCTGGTCTCTGACAGGCATTTTGGGGTGGTATGTTCTGGTTTTCGACAGTCATTTTGGGGTAGTGTGTTCTGATCTCCAACAGTCATTTTTGGGGTGATGTGTTCTGGTTTCTGACAGTCATTTTGGGGTGGCGTGTTCTGGTCTCCAACAGTCACTTTGGGGTGGTGTTTTCTGATCTCCAACAGTCATTTTGGGGTGGTGTGTTCTAGTTTCTGACAGTCGTTTTTGGGGTGATGTGTTCTGATCTCTGACAGTCATTTTTGGGGTGGTGTGTTCTAGTCTCTGACAGTCATTTTTTGGGTGGTGCGTTCCGATCTCTGACAGTCATTTTTGGGGTGGTGTGTTCCAATCTCCGACAGTCTTTTCTGGGGTGGTGTGTTCTGGTCTCTGACAGTCATTTTTGGGGTGTTGTGTTCTGGTTTCTGACAGTCATTTTGGGGTGGCATGTTCTGGTCTCCAACAGTCATTTTGGGGTGGTGTGTTCTGGTCTCCAACAGTCATTTTGGGGTGGTGTGTTCTGTTCTCTGACAGTCGGTTTTAGGGTGACGTGTTCTGATCTCCAACAGTCATTTTTGGGGTGGTGTGTTCTGGTCTCTGACAGTCATTTTTGGGGTGGTGCATTCCGATCTCCAACAGTCATTTTTGGGGTGGTGTGTTCTGATCTCCGACAATCATTTTTTGGGTGGTGTGTTCTCTTCTCCAACAGTCATTTTTGGGGTGTTGTGTTCTGGTTTCCAACAGTCATTTTGGGGTGGTGTGTTCTGATCTCCAACAATCATTTTGGGGTGGTGTGTTCTGTTCTCTGACAGTCATTTTCGGGTGGTGTGTTCTGGTCTCTGACAGTCATTTTTGGGGTGATGTGTTCTGATCTCCAACAGTCATTTTTGGGGTGATGTGTTTTGATCTCCGACAGTCATTTTTGGGGTGGTGTGTTCTGATCCCTGACAGTCATTTTGGGGTGGTGTCCTGACAGTCATTTTGGGGTGGTGTGTTCTGGTCTCCAACAACAGTCATTTTGAGGTGGTGTGTTTTGATCTCCAACAGTCATTTTTGTGGTGTCATGTTCTGTTCTCTGACAGTCATTTTTGGGGTGGCATGTTCTGTTCTCCAACAGTCGTTTTGGGGTGGTGTGTTCTGTTCTCCAACAGTCAATTTTGGGGTGGTATGTTCTGATCTCCAACAATCATTTTTGGGGTGGTGTGTTCTGATCTCCAACAGCCATTTTGGGGGTGGCATGTTTTTATCTCCGACAGTCATTTTGGGGGGTGGTGTGTTCTGGTCTCTGATAGTCATTTTTGGGGTGGTGTGTTCTGTTCTCCGACAGTCATTTTGGGGTGGTGTGTTCTGTTCTTCAACAGTTTTTTGGGGTGGTGTATTCTGTTCTCCGACAGTCATTTTTGGGGTGGTGTGTTCTTTTCTCTGACAGTCTTTTTGGGGTGGTGTGTTCTGGTCTCTGACAGTCATTTTGCGGTGGTGTGTTCTGGTCTTCGACAGTCATTTTTGGGGTGAGGTGTTCTGTTCTCCAACAGTCATTTTTGGGGTGGCATGTTCTGGTCTTTGACAGTCATTTTTAGGGTGGTATGTTCTGATCTCCGACAGTCATTTTGGGGGTGGTGTGTTCTGTTCTCCGACAGTCATTTTTGGGGTGATGTGTTCTGTTCTCTGACAGTCATTTCAGGGTGGTGTATTCTGGTCTCTGATAGTCAAGTTTGGGATGGCATGTTCTGTTCTCCAACAGTCATTTTTGGGGTGGTGTGTTCTGATCTCTGATAGTCATTTTTGGGGTGGTGTGTTCTGATCTCTGACAGTCATTTTTGGGGTGGCGTGTTCTGTTCTCCAACAGTCATTTTGGGGTGGTGTATCTGGTCTCTGATAGTCATTTTTGGAGTGGTGTTTTCTAGCCTTTGACAGTCATTTTTGGGGTGGCATGTTCTGTTCTTCGACAGTCATTTTTGGGGTGGCATGTGCTGATGTATGACAGTCATTTTTGGGGTGGTGTGTTCTGTTCTTCAACAGTAGTTTGTGGGGTGGCATGTGCTGATGTATGACAGTCATTTTTGGGGCAGCATGTTCTGTTCTTCGACAGTTGTTTTTGGGGTGGCATGTTCTGATGTATGACAGTCATTTTTGGGGTGATGTGTTCTCATCTCCTACATTAGAAACTGATGGATGGTGGAGGGCCCTAGACACTGGGCCCTAGTAGCTCTTTAGTAGTTTACAGGCACAAACTTTACCTTCACTTTCATTCCTGTGAAACAAAGGATCTATTAAAAGTCTAATTAGGGTTGTGTGTGTGCAAACCCTTTTACTGAAGTGCCAATCTATTTTTTTTTTTTTAATGAGATCATAAAGCAAAAAGAACATTCTTAAGAAGTAACTTTCTTCTGTTGACAAGCACTTGGACTTAACGTTCCACGAAAACAGGAAATCCTCTCCTTTCTCGTAGGCAGAGACGCATCCCTGCAGTCACAGGGGCTTGGCCTCAGATGTCTAGGGTGTACTGAGGGGGTGTTGCCATGTTGACCATGTGCGTCCTCTCTGGCTGCCACAACAGAATACTGCAGAGTGGGGGGCTTCAGTCACAAACCTTTATTGCTCACAATCCTGGTGGCTGAAGTCCAAGATCAAGGTGTGGGCAGGGCTGGTCTCTCCCAAGGCCTCTCTCCTGGGCTTCAGATGCCGTCTCTGCATCCTCAAGTCCTCACCCCTCTGTGTGCACCTGTGTCTGCATCTCCTTCCTACAAGGATGCCAGTCACATGGGATCAGGCTCACCCTGATGACCACATTTTACTGTAATGACTCCTGTAAACACCCCCATCTCCACATACCATCATGACCTCATTTTACCATAATGACTACTGTAAACACCCCCATCTCCACATACCCTCATGACCTCATTTTACCGTAATGATTCCTGTAAACACCTCCATCTCCACATACCCTCATGACTTCATTTTATCATAATGACTACTGTAAACACCCCCATCTCCACATATCCTCATGACCTCATTTTACCGTAATGACTCCTATAGACAACTCCATCTCCACATACAGTCACATTCGGAAGTTCTGGGATTAGAGCTTCCCATAGGCACTTTGGAGAGACTCAATTCAGCTCTAAACTCTGACCCTGTTAGTGTCTCATTTAACTCAGAGTGCCTTTTTATCATTTGTTCCAAAAGATAGCATTGGGTCAAGCTAGCTTCAGAGGAATACATCTATGCCATTTTCCTGCACCATATCAAACAATAAATTAAAAAGTGAAAAATTCTACCAAGGCAATCAGGGAGAGTGAATTAATGAATAAATACATGAATAAAATTTAGCGCGATTTTTAGAAGGATAATAGGATAGTTTTGTCCAAAAACCCTTCAGATCCACGGTTCAGTCTGAGCCATCCAGCCATAGCAATAAAGTAAAAATTACCACATGGTACAAATGTGTCACCGTCAACGATGCTCAGCGTGGAGATGGCCTGCCTGCCCTCAGAGCTGGAGAAGGACGTGGCTGCATCTGCCTATGGGCCGGGTCCCTTGGGTGATTTTGCAGGGAGGATGTACAGGGTCCTCCTTCTGCCAACGCCACATGATGACCAAGACTCACACCTCCCAGGAGCTGCCGGTGCCCCCTCTAGCACGGGGACCCTAAAAAATTCTTGATGTTGAAGCAATATAACTTGTGTTGCAATTTTACTTCTTTGGCAGTGTTGTCTTTTCCTTTGCGATGTATTTCCTGATAGAAGCCTTTTCATTTTGGTGTGCGGCGGGTAGAGTAATGAATTTATTTTAGAAATGTCAGTGGCATTTTATGATGCTACCTTCAGCAGCAACATCACAGGGCCTGATTGTGAAGCTGCTAATTTACAGATCGTCTCTAAGTGAACGCAAACAAATTCTGGTCCTCAGAGCCCTGCTAATATACAATGTTCAATTTTTAATTTCCAGTCCGTCTTAGATTACGGGGATGAAAAACAATATTTAATCCCTCGTTAACACATGAATAAGCGGAAGCTGTCATTTTCAACCAGACAATAACGGGATTATCTCAAGGACTGTCAGTTTATGTGAAAACATTATGTTGCCCAAATTTTCATAAAAATTAGCAGTGGATAATACTCAAGATCAGAGCAATGGAAAGAGAAAAATATGCATTCATGGTAATAAATATTCATATTTGTCTGCTCAGGAGATGAAAATCTAATCAAGGGGCTATTGAAGCTCTGGCTTTTTTTTTTTTTTTTTTTAACAAAGACGTTTCATCTAAATTGGGTTTGATATGGAAATTAGTCTCACTCAAAGTCCTCCAGGCCACGAGTAAGCCGGGCTCACGTGGGGTGAGGTGGCCACTCTATCAGATGTCGCTTCTGGCATGGGCCTCTTAGACAACAGCCACCAATGCTGGGGTTCACACTGTCTCTCTTGGTTCAGCATCCTCAGAGTTTAATGCAAGGGAGTGCTTGGAGCCCCCTCCCTTTTTAAAGGAAAAAAAAAATATGATTTCATGCCGGTTAACTCCCAGCTACTGCAGGGTTAAAATTGTCTGTGTTTTTGCTTTTGTTGACAATTACCATAAATCAGAAGACACTCTGCATGGAGCTTAATGAAATATGTATGATTTTAAAAAGAAAAGATGGGAGCTGCAGGACGTTGCTCTGTGTGTGTGTGCGTGCACGTGTGCGTGCACGAGTGTGTGTGTGTGCACATGCACGTGCATGCGTGTGTGTTTGGGTGTGCGTGTTGGGGGGTGTGTTCCTGCTGTTCTCATGGAGGCTGTGCTTTTCCTACACATGGGCAGGCTTGAAAACACAGAATCCAAGAGCTCCTCGGTGAGTAAGTGTGGGTGCACGGTATCACACTGACCCTTCCAGCCCCACGGAATCCGAGAGCTCCTCGGTGAGTAAGTGTGGGTGCACGGTATCACACTGACCCGTCCAGCCCCACGGAATCCGAGAGCTCCTCGGTGAGTAAGTGTGGGTGCACGGTATCACACTGACCCTTCCAGCCCCATGGAATCTGAGAGAGCTCCTCGGTGAGTAATTGTGGGTGCACGGTATCACACTGACCCTTCCAGCCCCATGGAATCTGAGAGAGCTCCTCAGTGAGTAAGCGTGGGTGCATGGTATCACACTGACCCGTCAAGCCCCACGGAATCCGAGAGCTCCTCGGTGAGTAAGTGTGGGTGCATGGTATCACACTGACCCTTCCAGCCCCACGGAATCCGAGAGCTCCTCGGTGAGTAAGTGTGGGTGCACGGTATCACACTGACCCTTCCAGCCCCACGGAATCCGAGAGCTCCTCGGTGAGTAAGTGTGGGTGCACGGTATCACACTGACCCGTCCAGCCCCATGGAATCCGAGAGCTCCTCAGTGAGTAAGTGTGGGTGCATGGTATCACACTGACCCTTCCAGCCCCATGGAATCTGAGAGAGCTCCTCAGTGAGTAAGCGTGGGTGCATGGTATCACACTGACCCTTCCAGCCCCATGGAATCTGAGAGAGCTCCTCAGTGAGTAAGTGTGGGTGCACGGTATCACACTGACCCGTCAAGCCCCACGGAATCCGAGAGCTCCTCGGTGAGTAAGCGTGGGTGCACGGTATCACACTGACCCTTCCAGCCCCACGGAATCCGAGAGCTCCTCGGTGAGTAAGCGTGGGTGCACGGTATCACACTGACCCTTCCAGCCCCACGGAATCCGAGAGCTTCTCGGTGAGTAAGTGTGGGTGCATGGTATCACACTGACCCTTCCAGCCCCACGGAATCCGAGAGCTCCTCGGTGAGTAAGTGTGGGTGCACGGTATCACACTGACCCTTCCAGCCCCTTTAAGGAGCCTCAGGGTCCGTGCTCTTGAGCACTGGCCGGCCCAGCACGGGGATCCCTGGTGCATGAGGTCTCCCGTGGACCACAGGCCACCAAGAGGGTATCTTTTGGGGAACTGAATCTTTGCTCTCTTACACTTATAAATTCCTAGACAGCAAAGCTGAGATGGGCTTGTCTGAGCCTCAGGAAGGAACACGGGCAGGCCCTTCAGAGTCAGAGAGCCGGAACACCGCCAAGTAGCCTTCGCTCCGCATCAAGAACGCTTCCTACTGACATACGCGGGATTTTCCTTGGGGCGCTGTTAATTATGTTACAGAGCTGAATGTTTATATTCACACACATTTTAAAATCTCACCCCTGACATATTTCCTGTTCCTCTTCTCCCCGGTCAAGCAGAGCTGATCGTGGGATGTTTTGATGATTTTGGCGAAGGGCTTGGGGAATGTGGTTTCTGAAGAAGACGTCTCTGAGCAGACTCCCTCCTCTCCTGTCCCTGCTGCTCCCAGCTGTGCAGTGCCTGTTCCTGAGACCTGGCTCTGAGGCCCACAGGGAGGGTTGGCTGTTCCCCAGCCCACTGTTAGGAACACCTTCTGCACCACCCACCAAGACCCGGGCTTTGATGCTGGGTCCAGAGACATCACCTTCCTCTTTGTGACGTGGGCGGGGTGCACGGAGGGGAGGAGAGAGGACCCCGAGGAAACCCTGGGTAGGGCACTCGGACCTGGGATCCCCGAGGAAACCCTGACCATGGCACTTGGACCCGGGGCCCCGAGGAAACCCTGGCGCTGCACTCAGATCTGGGGTCCCCAAGGAAACCCTGACCATGGCACTTGGACCCAAGGTCCCTGAGGAAACCCTGGCGCTGCACTCAGATCTCGGGTCCCCGAGAAAACTCTAGTGTGGCACTCGGACCCGGGGTCCCCGAGAAAACCCTGGTGCTGCACTCGGACCCGGGGTCCCCAAGGAAACCCTGGTGCTGCACTCAGATCTGGGGTCCCCGAGGAAACTCTAGTGTGGCACTCGGACCCGGGGTCCCCGAGAAAACCCTGGTGCTGCACTCGGACCCGGGGTCCCCGAGGAAACCCTGGTGCTGCACTCAGATCTGGGGTCCCTGAGGAAACCCTGACCATGGCACTCGGAGCCGGGGTCCCCGAGGAAACCCTGACCATGGCACTTGCACCCGGGGTCCCCGAGGAAACCCTGGTGCTGCACTCAGATATGGGGTCCCCGAGGAAACCCTGGTGCCACACTCAGGCCTGGGGTTCCTCCAGGGACTGCCACATCCTGCACCTTCCCCTGTGGGTAAAGGCTAGCGAGGCCGTCCAGGGCATCAAGGCCCATTTCAGAACGTCGTCCTCCTGGAGGGCCGGCGAGCTGCGTGTCCCTAGTGCCTCCTGCGGCTCCCAGAGGCTCCCCCGGCATGCCCCCGTGCTGGCACTGTCCCCAGGTGGCTGCTGGCACCCACACAGCAGCTGCCCCGACCTTCCCTCTTAGAAAGTTCTCCGCCCTGGGGTGCAGGGGCCATGTGAAGCCCCATAGAGCACCATTCCCGCTGCCCCCGACCCATCCTCACTCTTGGGGTGCAGTGCGGCCTCTCCCAGCCCCACGTGGGGGCGCTGGTCTTCCCAAGGCCACCCTGGTGGACGTGGAAGCTGCTGATTGCCGCCGTCTGCCTGCCTTGGCCGTCTGTGCATCTTCCTGGGAGAAACGTCTTCTAGGGCCGTTTACTCATGAGAGGACCTGCCAAGGAACTAGATTATTTGTGGTGGTGTCAGCATCCAACAGTACTTTTTTCTAAGGAAAGGGATAACTTGCCACAGGAAAAGAAAATGCTGTGGCTTTAGACACAGCCACCCATCCTGTCTCCAGGCTCTGGTGACAGACTCTGTCCTGGGGCCGCTGCTGGTTAATTCAGGCTTCTCCATGCTGGGAATTCGCTTCCAGAAGAGTGGCCCCCAGGATGCTTTGCCTTCAGGGTCAGCCCTGTCCGCCTTACCTCAGGCCCAGCAGAAATAGCAGGGGATGGGTCACAACAGGAGACCAACACAAAAACAGGGCTTGGATGAGCCCACTCGGGCACCCAGTCCATGGTCCAGGGCACTGAGGTCTCGTGGAGAGGAGGGAGGGTGAGCGTGGACTGCATTGTTTGCAAGGAGTCGTGAATTCTGACACTGTCCAAGGAGCTGCAGGTGCTGCCCCAGATGGAGACAGCCAGGAACACCTCTAGGCCACTGCAGTGGTGATGGCCAAGGCATACCTGCCCTGCTGACCCTCTGCAGCCCCGTGCCTGCCCTGGGGATGCCTGGCCTGGGGGCTCGGCCCCTCCTGACCCTCTGCAGCCCGGTGCCCACCCTGGGGATGCCTGGCCTTGGGGCTCGGCCCCTCCTGACCCTCTGCAGCCCCGTGCCTGCCCTGGGGACGCCTGGCCTGGGGGCTCGGCCCCTCCTGACCCTCTGCAGCCCGGTGCCCACCCTGGGGATGCCTGGCCTGGGGGCTCGGCCCCTCCTGACCCTCTGCAGCCCCGTGCCCCCCTGGGGATGCCTGACCTGGGGACTCAGCCCCTCCTGACCCCCGAGGCCCAAGGTGCTGCTGCTGCTGCAGCCACCAGGGGTCACACTTGCTCGCCTCCTGCACAGGCCATGGCCCCACAATCAGGGCTGCAAGAAGAGATGGAGAAAGAGACACCTTGGAAGTGGCTGGAACGATCTCCCTTTGGAGTCACCCTGTCTGCTGGAATTAAGACTTCTGGGACTGCACAGTGAAGTTCCCGGCAATGACTCATTTTCTGATATTGGTGCCTGAATTGCAGCTTCCGTGGCTGCCACTTCAGGAAGATAACGTGTGACCCGGAGCAAGGTTATCAGAAACTGCCGATAGAGGTTTGCCACCTCCCACCATGAATACGGACGCTGATAGGAGGAAGCCCTCACGCGCTCCCTCGGCTCTCACGGAACGCCTGGAAACTCCCCAGCTTTCTCTTGTTTGAAGAAGGAGCCCCCAGGAGACTTCCAGGACAGCACGGTCTGGACCGTTTCCAAGCCCTTTAGGAAAACTTTGCAGCAAAATTCAGCATTTCGAAAATAGTGAAGTCAAGGTGACCCCGACACAGCCTGGGCTCCTCCTGGGACATACTTCCTGTACGGCTGTCAGACCACAAGTCTACCCAAGGGCATCTGTTTGCCTGTGAGTGAGCGTGTGTGTGTGTGTGTCTGTGTGTGCGCGTGTGTGTGTCTGCGTGTGTCTGTGTGTCTGTGTGCATGCACGTTTGCGTCTGCCTGTGTGTGCCTGTGTCTCTGTGTATGTGCACAAGTGTGTCTCCGTGCACAAGTGTTTCTCTGTGTATGTGCATGAGTGTGTGTGTATGTGCACGAGTGTGTCTCCGTGTGTGTATGTGCACGAGTGTGTCTCCGTGTGTATATGTGCATGAGTGTGTCTCTGTGTGTGTCCATGAGTGTGTCTCTGTGTGTATATGTGTATGAGTGTGTTCGTGTGTGTGTGCATGAGTGTGTGTCTGTGTATGTGCATGAGTGTGTCTCTGTGTGTGTGTGCATGAGTGTGTGTCTGCTTGGGTTACTTTGCTACCTGCAAGCAAACCCCTGCCTTGTGCTGCTGGGTGGCACGGCCTTCTCTGCCCCCCTCCGCTTCTCCCCGGACCCCGGGAGCTGTCTGTGGAGCGAGTAGGAAATCCCCCTACTCACGAGAGGCCGTGCAGGTGACCCCGAAGCTTCACTGAAATAAAAGCTCGAGTTAAGGGGGACATGAACTTCCTTGTGAACATGGTTGGCTGGCAGGAAGGCACTGTGGCTGGGGCCATGTGGACAGAAGCAGAGGCAGGATCGGGGCAGGGCAGGAGAGAGGGGACAGGAGGGGGCAGAAAGCAGGAGCTGGGTCAGGTCCACTTCACCTGCGTGTGTCACGTTGAAAATGGGCTGAGAGGTGGGCGAGGCCAAGTGGAGCACTGCAGTCCAGGCTTAGGGGCTGTGATCTGATTTGCAGGCCATGGGGAGCCATGGAGTGTTGGGGTGAAGGGAGCAGCCTGCCCAGTTGTGGAGGGGGAAACAGAGGGAGGCCAGAGGCAGACTGAGGGCCGCTTCAGCACCTTCCGCAGGACAAGGCTGGAGCTAGGCAGAGCAGCAGAGAGGCCAGAGAATCGTTGCAGAAGGCCTGGTCTGAAGATGTGTGATGTGACGTGCCACCACTGAGCTGTGCCAGGCCTGGGCCACCTCACTCCCCCGAGGTCCCGAGAGCTCTTCCCGAGGCTGCTCAGGGTCCTGGGACTTTGCCGGAGTTGTGGCAGACCTAGAGCCGTCAAAGTCAGTGGGACAGGAAACAACTTTCCCCGGACGGCCCTCCTGCCGTGCCCTGAAGCCCCTCTTGTGCCCAGCTGGTCGTCCATCCCTCCTCCTCCGCTTTCCACCTCCTCTTCTCTCCCAGGTGCCCCCTGCTGACCTGTGCCCCCAGTGTGATGCCGAGTGCTGCGCTCTCCTCAGTACCTGAAAGCAGGGCCCTCTGCCCATCCCAGAGACCAGCGCAGGAAATTCTGCTTGAGGACAGTACGTTCTCCTCCCGGCCCCCACGACGAGACAGACCTTGAGGACAGTACGTTCTCCTCCCGGCCCCCACGACGAGACAGACCTTGAGGACAGTACGTTCTCCTCCCGGCCCCCACGACGAGACAGACCTTGAGGACAGTACGTTCTCCTCCCGGCCCCCACGACGAGACAGACCTTGAGGACAGTACGTTCTCCTCCCGGCCCCCACGGCGAGACGGACCTTGAGGACGGTACGTTCTCCTCCCGGCCCCCACGGCGAGACGGACCTTGCAGACGCTCCCAGCACATGTCCTTGGCACACGTCGGAGCAAAGCCTCGGGGCGCGGCCCTCCGGGGGTTTCTCCAGGGAAGCGAGCAAACTGGGAAGCGTATCCCATCCAGAGCCTCAGACGAGGTCAGGCCAGGCGGCTGCTTTCTTTCCTGGTGCACATTCATTTATTCAACAGATACTTGCTCAGCACTCGCTGGTGGCGGAAACATTGGTGGATAAAGGAGAGACAGTCGGAGCCTCCCCCTCCCACAAGCAGCGAGGAAGCAGGACTTCAGGGCAGGCAAGAGGCCCGGTCAGAGGGAATGAGGCAGAGGTCTCAGTGCAAAATGGAAGCGAGAGCCTAGGAGACAGGGCTCGGGTGAGGGACATACACGGCCAGGGGCAGTTCCCCTGTTCCGTGGCCAGTTCCCACTTTCCATGGCCAGGAAGCTTTGTGGCTTCCTCTGTCAAGTTCTAGTGCAGACAGAAAAGTGTCCCAGGAAGAGGACAAGCACCACCTGGGAAATGAGTGCTCCCAGCAAGGGGAGGTGGCCTGCGGACATGGGTGGCCCTTGAAGGGGAGCTGTGGAGAGGCAGCAGCAGACAGGGCCCACACAGAAAGCACCCGTCACCCCTCTACCCCGCCAGGAAGCTGAGGAAACTCTCAGGAGCCCTGACAGGGCGGGGAGGGGACACTCCAAGGAGGGGCATGTGGACTGAGGGCCTCAGGGACTCTGCACCCTCCTTCTACCTCCTGCAAGATGGAGCCTGCCCCAGTTGGACAGGCGGCCTGGGCGCAAGAGCGCCTCTCAGTGCTTAGTTATACCGGGAAACCAAGGAGGCCACCAAGTGTCAGGACACAGTTACATGGGCATTGGGTAGGGGAAACAGCTGTGAGGACATAGCGTGGGAAGGCACTGGGTATCCATGTGTGCGGAGGCACTGGATATGCGTGTGTGGGGAGGACACTGGATATGCGTGTGTGGGGAGGACACTGGATATGCGTGTGTGGGGAGGACACTGGGTATGTGTGTGTGGGAAAGACACTGGGTATGTGTGTGGGGGGAGGACACTGGGTATGTGTGTGGGGGGAGGACACTGGGTATGTGTGTGGGGGGAGGACACTGGGTATGGGTGTGTGGGGAGGACACTGGGTATGCGTGTGTGGGGAGGACACTGGGTATGTGTGTGTGGGGAGGACACTGGATATGTGTGTGTGGGGAGGACACTGGGTATGTGTGTATGCGGAGGACACTGGGTATGGGTGTGTGGGGAGGCGCTGGGTATGTGTGTGTGGGGAGGCGCTGTGTATGTGTGTGTGGGGAGGACACTGGGTGTGTGTGGGGAGGCGCTGGGTATGTGTGTGTGGAGAAGCGCTGTGTATGTGTGTGTGGGGAGGACACTGGGTGTGTGTGGGGAGGCGCTGGGTATGTGTGTGTGGGGAGGACACTGGGTATGTGTGTGTGGGGAGGACACTGGGTATGTGTGTGTGGGGAAGCGCTGGGTATGTGTGTGGGAAAGTGCTGGGTATGCAGGTATGGGAAGGACGCTGGGTATTTGTGTGTGGGGAGGTGCTGGGTATGCGTGGCCACATCCTGTGTTCTGGAGCTGAGTGCACATGTGTAGACATGGGTGTGTGTGCATTTTTGTGGGTGTGTGGGTGTGTAGGTATTTAGGGGTCTGTGTGTGTGTGTGTATGTGTGCATATGTGTGGGAAGGCATATGTGTATGTATGTGTATATGTGTGTTAGGGAAATGTTAACCCTAAGACATTACTAGTTTATAATAGGAAAAAATCCCTCCAAAAATAATACTGTACCTCAAGCCTTTGTATTACAAAAAAAAATAAAAGGAGGAGGGTGAAGTTGTGCCAGTGAGTCCCGGTTGCTCTTCAGGGGCCCTGGGGTGGTGTCGGCCAATAGAGACAAATGCCATTGGCAAACACCTAGGGTGCCTCCTACATCACAGCTGCCGATGAACGCGACCTTGAGTCCAATTTAGAGGAAGCTTTTGGACTCTCACATCTTACAAGTTCTCTCAGAGGTCACGCCTGCCCTTTCCCATAAGCAGAACAACCCAAATCCCCCAGGCCCACAGTTCTCATATGTCAGCCTGCATCAGAATCACCTGCAGGGCTTGTAAACACACAGGTTGCTGGTTCACCCCAGAACCTCTGACTCAGGGGGTCCGAGGCAGGGCCCAAGGATCTGTGTTTCTAACAAGCTCCCTGGGTGCTGCCAGTCTGGGGACCCCACTTTGAGAACCACAGCTTTGAGCAACTGGGCCTCCCCAGCTGAGAAAAGAGGAAAGATTGGTGCCTAGTTCAGAACCGTCAACTTTGGAAGCTCTGGGAGCCAGCTTCTTCGTAAGGAAGTCCAGGCAGCCCTGAGGCCCCTACCCCAGCTGTGCAGCTCATGGCCTAGCGCCCCCAGCACCAGCACTGCAAGAGCCTTCAGGTCGGGGACATTTCAACATCTCTGAGCCAGGCCATCCAATCCCCAACATCGAACGCCCAATAAACCCAAAGCTATCTCCACTTCCAGAGTCTCACAGAAAGATCAACATCAAAGTACTTTAAGAAACAGATGACTGTGGTGTGCAGCCCCTTACGCAACCCAGGTGCTCTGGGGGATCAAGGTGGGGGTGCAGGTGCGGGAGGCTGGCACGAGGCCATGCAGCTCCTGGCCCCAGAGCAGGATTCCTGGCGGCTCACAGGCATTACTCTGAGTTCAGCCAGCACCCCAAGCAGCCATCAGGCTTGTTATGGAAGAGATTCTGAAGAAGGTCCATGGAAAATGTGGATCATGGAAAACTATGCATGGATTTCAAAAATCTTTCTGCACCAAAATAAACTCATACTAACTTGTTGTAACATGTCTGAACAGGATCTAGTTTAAGGCTAGGAAGAGAATATATCAGTTTGAAAAGAGCCCCTATCAGAGCAACATGAATTCTGCTAAAATTGAAGGAAGAACAAACATCAAAATTGTGGTGAAACATGGGTGGAACAATGATGAAGTCATTGATGCTTTATGAAAAGTTTATAGGGACAACACCCCAAAGAAATCAGCAGCTTTCAAATGGAGAACTCATTTTAAGAAAGAATGAGATGATATTGAAGATGAATCCTATAGTGGCAGACCCCCTCATCAATTTGCAAGGAAAAAATTAACCTTGTTTATATCCTAATTGGAGAGAACCAACAATTAACAGCAGAAACAGCAGCCAACACCATAGACATCTCGGCTGGTTCAGCTTACATAATTCTGGCTGGAAAATTAAAGTTGAGCAAACTTTCCACTCCATGGGTTCCAAAACCATTGCACCCAGATGAGCTGCAGCCAAGGGCAGAGCTTTCAATGGAAATTTTTAACAGCGGAATCAAGATCCTGAAGCATTTCCTTGAAGAATTGCAACAGGAGAGGAAACATGGCTTTACCAGTACCATCCTGATGACCAAGCACAACCACAGCAGTGGCTACCGAGAGGCGGAAGGGGTCCCATCGAAGCAACAGCAGACTGATCAAGAGCAAAGGTCATGGCAGTAGATGTTGGGATGCTCAAGGCATTTTGCATGTTGACTTTCTGGAGGGCCAGAGAAAAATAACATCTGCTTATTATGTGGGTGTTTTGAGAAAGTTATAAAAACTTTAGCAGAAAAATGCCTGGGAAAGCTTCACCAGAGAGCCCTTCTCCACCAGGACAAGGCTTCAGCTCACTCCTCTCATCAAACACGGGCAATTTAGCAAGAGTTCCGATGAGAACTCATGAGGCATCCCCCTACAGTCCTGGTTTGGCTCCTTCTCACTTCTTTTTGTTTTCCATTCTTAAAATATATCCAGAGGGTACCCATTTTTCCTTAGATAGTAATGGGAAAAAGACTGCATTGATGTGGCTAAATTCCCAAGGTCCTCAGTGCCTTGGGAATGGACTAAATGGTGGGTTTGATCCCTTGCAAAAGTGTCTTGGCCCTGGTGGAGATTATGTTGAGAAATAAAGTTTATATTTTTATTTTTACCTTTTAATCCAATTTTTCTGTGAACTTTTTGAAGTCCCCTTATATTTGTCTGCTAACTCAGGAAAAATGTAAACTTTTTCTTTACTTTGGCATTAAGTGTAACTCTGTCATCAAATGAAATTATCCCTAGGAATTTTATATGCATGGGGATAAGTGAGCGGCCTGGAGTCCACAGACCTCCCAGCAGGCCTCCAAGGCCCTACCCAGACCTCCCATGCTGGGAGGCTCTGCAAGTACCTAAGCACACGCTTAGGACCCTGGCAAAGTTGAGGTATCAGGAAAGATTTGTAGAAAGACCTTGATATTTTAATAAAGAAAACATCTTGTCATCCAGGGAAACATCAGAAATTTGACTTGCTCACACGCATTTTAAAACTTAGTACTTACAGATTTGGAATTACACGTGTCAGGGTGTTTCGGGACATTGGGAAGTCTTTATCCCACTGGCCTTTATGAATCTTCATCTGGTTCTACATGGAACTGAGTCCCCAAACGACTGTGGTGGCAGAAAGATGGAGGGCGCGGGAGGCCTGGCCTCACCACTGGTGCTAGGCAATGCTAAATGGGTTGTGTGACCCTCCTGGCCTTGAGTTCCCCAAGACTGAGGTGGCATCTCAGATGATCAAGCAGAATTTTCCATGTCGAGCATTTCCCAGTTACCAGCCACGCATGGCCCGGAGTGCACAGCCCAGAGGGAGCTCACAATACAATGAAGAACGACCGCTGTTGAGTGGATGGGCGAGTGGGCAGGTGGGTGAGGGAGGGAGTGAGCAAGGGAAGGCATAGCCCCTCATCTCGAGGGCTCAGAGTTATTTCCCCGGCCAGTCCTCAGGCTGGGAAATGGGCTGCACCTTTTTCTCCATGTGTCATACTTTCTTCCCTTTAAAAAATTTAACCAGTTCTTGGCATTGGTAGTTTTGCTAAATTAAACCAGGGAGGACCTGGAAGACAGCAGCGCAGCCCTGACACTCACAAGGCCAGTTTCCTCCAGGCATGGTTTTAATCCAGAGGCTGGGTCTGCTTTCCTACAGCTGGGCCATGAGCTGCTGCCCCGCAGAGATCCAATGTCCTGGTGTCCTACGTTCATCGTGGAGATGATGGAAACAAGCTCAGACAGGAAAACTCATCACTTGGCAAACTCCAGGCCTGGGGCTGCCTGCAGAGAGCCCTGTTCAGATGGGCTTGCCGAGTCCCAGCCCACCACCTCGATGGGAAGCAGTTGTAGGTGCACCACTGGGCTGTCGGAGCCATCGGGAAAGGAACCCTTCCTGTGCCTGGCCTTAGGATAACTGTGTCTGGACCCACAGCCCACACCCCACTCGTGAACTGTTTCGGGCCCTTTCTAAGGTGCATGTGGGCCTCTTGCCCAGGATGCGGGCTGGGTTCCTAGAGGACTCAGGTGATCCTACCTGCGGCAGTGAGTTAATCTCCAGGGCTCAGGAGGCCTGCTGTCCAGAGGAAGTCTGGGCAGCTTGGGCTGGCGCAGGCACGGTGCCCCCAGTCCTGCTCTTGTGGACTCTGGGGGCATGCTGGGCCTGGGCACACCTCCACCACGCCTGCGGCCCTTTGCTCACGGACTGTGGATTGGATCTGAGCAGTCTAGGGACCAGCTCCTCGGGCCCATGCAGAAAGGAAGAGAAGGAGTCTCCCTGGACTGGATTCTGGGAGGGACCCTCACTCTTTCTGCCTGAATGAACATTAGTGCGTGGACTTTTCCAGTCTTTCCATCTGTTCTGTTTTGAAGTTTATTCATGTTGATTTACGTGAATCTAGTTCACTCTTTTTGCCTCTGGTGTCACCCTTCAGTCTGGGCGGGGTGGTGGCCGTGTATCCAGGGCGTCAGGGACAGGGTGGTGGCCGTGTATCCAGGGCGTCAGGGACAGGGTGGTGGCCGTGTATCCAGAGCGTCAGGGGCGGGGTGGTGGCCGTGTATCCAGGTGGCCGTGTATCCAGGGCGTCAGGGACAGGGTGGTGGCCCTGTATCCAGAGCGTCAGGGGCGGGGTGGTGGCCGTGTATCCAGGTGGCCGTGTATCCAGGGCGTCAGGGACAGGGTGGTGGCCGTGTATCCAGGGCGTCAGGGGCGGGGTGGTGGCCGTGTATCCAGGGTGTCAGGGACAGGGTGGTGGCCGTGTATCCAGGGCGTCAGGGACGGGGTGGTGGCCGTGTATCCAGGGCGTCAGGGACGGGGTGGTGGCCGTGTATCCAGGGCGTCAGGGACGGGGTGGTGGCCGTGTATCCAGGGCGTCAGGGGCGGGGTGGTGGCCGTGTATCCAGGGCGTCAGGGGCGGGGTGGTGGCCGTGTATCCAGGGCGTCAGGGACGGGGTGGTGGCCGTGTATCCAGGGCGTCAGGGGCGGGGTGGTGGCCGTGTATCCAGGGCGTCAGGGGCGGGGTGGTGGCCGTGTATCCAGGTGGCCGTGTATCCAGGGCGTCAGGGACGGGGTGGTGGCCGTGTATCCAGGGCGTCGGGGACGGGGTGGTGGCCGTGTATCCAGGGCGTCGGGGGCGGGGTGGTGGCCGTGTATCCAGGGCGTCGGGGGCGGGGTGGTGGCCGTGTATCCAGGGCGTCGGGGGCGGGGTGGTGGCCGTGTATCCAGGGCGTCGGGGGGGGGCGGTGGTGGCCATGTATCCAGGGCGTCGGGGGCGGGGTAGTGGCCGTGTATCCAGGGCCTCAGGGGCGGGGTGGTGGCCGTGCATCTCGGGGCACAGGCACTGCTTCTGAGGAGACCCCAGGGTGTGTGTGGCAAGCACTGGGGCGAGCCTGGGACTCGGGCCAGACAGCCTCGGTGCAGACCCTGAGCTGGGCACTCATGCTGGGTGCCTGGGAGAATGCACACCAGCCTCAGCTCCACCTCTATGGACGTGTTTCCTGCAGACCTCATGGTTGTCATGGCAAGGGCTGAGAGGCACATGCGCTGTTTAGTAGGTCATGAGCACTGTGTGTATGTGTGTGTGTGTGTACACGAGGGATATGGGTGTGATCGTGCATGTTCGTGTGTGTACATATGGTCGTGTGTGTGCTCATGCATATGTATGTATGTGTGTACATGTGGACGTGTGTGTGCTCATGTGTATGTGTGTGCTTATATATGTATATAACTCTGCATATGCATGTGTGTGTATGTGTATTTGGATATGCACGTGTGTTTGTGTGAATATGCAATGTTGTTTCCTGCTCACTGACTCTTAATTGATGAAACAAATGCCCAGCAGGCCAGGATGGGATTTGAGCCCCGGCTCATGGTGGGGCCTAGAAAGTGACGACTACTTTCCCTTTGCAGAACCCGGGCCTCACTCAAGTGGTGTTTGTGTAGAAGGAAAAGAAACCACAAAGGTGCATTTGACTCCCATTTTCTCGCATCTGCTGAGAGCGTATTCATGCACAAAAGGGAAAGGTCCTTGTTCTAAAGCAGGAGAGTACACGTGGCTGTCAGAGGTTGCGCGGCAGCGGGGAAGGAGGCCGGGGAGCATCTGTCAGTTGCCGCAATGCAGGGGCGAGGTCACAGAACAGAGGGTGTGCTGGCTGCTGGGGAGGGTGTGGGGCTCTGGGGCCTTGACCCTGTTAACCGTCCACCCTGCCCTCCCGTCTGCTCCTCTGACAGCAGCTTCTGGAGGCCGGGCACTGTGGCCAGGCTGGCACAAGTAACATCAGGACCTGGGGCTGCAGCCCCAGGAGGGCCCATTCACCTGGCTGTGACCCACAGGCAAATACCGCACAAAACCCGTGGCCCGTCTTGCACACAGAGGCCACTGGAAACACAGATAAGGCTGTGTGAACTCATCTCTCCACTGTGAAGACAACACTGGGAAGACAGCAGATCCTCCTGGCACTCGCTGAGGGTCTCCACTGCCCTCCAGATGCCGAGCTCCCGCCTTCCTTCCCCCAACCCCCGACAGGCTCGGCACAGTCAGACCAGCTTTGCAGGGTCCGTCGTGGCCCCACGGTGAGGGTCCTGCTTGCGAGCTGAAGCTGAGATGGACGTGTGCATGCATGAGGATGAGCATCTCTGTGGTTTAGGTGAGGTGGGGTCACCCACCTCCAGGACCCCTGACTAATAATAGCGCTGAGATTCAAACTCAGGTAGCAGATCAGTTAGGATCACCCAAACAAGTGGACATGAACCAGTGGGATGTTCAGCAGAGCAGAAGCCGATTCCTCGTTCATCCCCTGGTGCAGGACTGCGGAATGCGTCAGCTGGGCAGTGCCAACCTGCAGCCCCTCAGGGGCCACCCCCACAGTGCCCGGCTCCCGTCTCACCTAGGGACCTCCATTTCCCGGCAGCAGCACTTGGGAAGGAGCCTGCGTGGGCCAGACCCAGGGAGTGCACCGCTCCTCTCCATTTCGGTGGCCAGAGTCAACCCCCCTGCCCACCCAGCCACACATGCACACACAGCCACGTGCCCAGGAGGGGAGTGCTTGGATTTGGGCCTATGTGGCACAGCCTTGGGCTGGACCTCAGAGACACAGGTCCTACCACGACCCCACACAGGTGCCTGCCAGCTGTGAGCCCTTGTGCAGGTTGGGGGTCAGGGAGGGCCTGAGATGGCGGCATTTTATGCGGGGGCAGAAACTGCAGGTTCAGGCACAGAGGAGGGGCTGTCACCTGCCAGAACATGCCTCCCTCGATGGTACCACCTTGGGGCCCAAACCTGGGTCTCAGACAAGCACTTTGTCCTGAGATACTGACGTCTATGAGCGTTTGAGGGAATACGTGCTCAAACCTGACCTCCTGCAGAGAGGATGGGGCAGCTGGTTCCTGGCCGCCAGGCTGCGTTTCAGCAGCTCACAGGTGCATACCACACACAGCCCCGCCGTGGCCAGTCACCGTGGGCCAGCCCCACATGGCAGCTTCCAGAGGCACCACAGGGTGGCGGCCCCAGACCTTGGAGAAAGTGGCACAGGCAATGTAAACCTTTGCGACCCCACCATCCTCTCAATCTCATCCCCAATGCCTCCCCTGGCCCCAACAGGACTTCCTCCTGTCGGCCTGGAAAACTAGAGCCCGGGAGGAACATCTGCCTAATACAGCCCATCCCCAGGTGTCAGCATCCGGGGCCCGTCCCCAGGTGGAGCCCGGGAGGAAACATCTGCCTGATACAGCCCGTCCCCAGGTGTCGGCATCTGGGGCCTCTGGATGGTGCCCAGTGAACCTCGGGTGGGCTGGACCCTGGATGGGGGGACCCAGTCACAGATCTGGATGGTGCCCAGTGAGCCTTAGGCCAGGCTGGACCCTGGATGGGGGGACGCACTCACACCCTGTGTGTGAACAGTCGCTTGGAAGGAGCAGCGATGCCGGGACTCAGCTTTTCTGCATCTTCAGAGCAGCTTTCAAATGCTTTTGGATCAAAACCACGTGGCCGGCAGAAATCGCACAATTAGCTTCGACATAGCCGTGGCTTCGGGCAGGGTGGTCCTGGCCAGAATCACACATGCAGAGAGCGTTTTTGGAGCCTGTACTGTCTGCTCAGGCTGCCGAGGCAAAGTCCCACAGACAGGGCAGCTTAAATGATGGAAGTTTCTTTTCACACGGCTCTGGAGGCTGGAAGTCCGAGGTCGAGGCGTGGGCAGAGCCCGTTTCTCCTGAGGCCACTCCCCCGCCTGGTAGATGCCATCTTCATCTTCAGGTGTCTCCACACGTGCACGTCTGTCTCTGTGTCCAGATATCCCTTTCTGATAAGGATACCGGTCCTGCTGGGTCAGGGTCGCCATAAGAGCTTGTTTTACCTTCATCGCCTCTGTAAAGCCCCTGTCTCCAAGACGCCACACGCTGAGGTCCTGGGGGTCAAGGCTGCCACATGAACTTGGGGGCGCATTCAGCCCATCACAGGGCCAGTGAACCACGCTGCAGTTTTTAAAGAATTATATTTATATCTCAAAGTTTTGAATTACTTTTAATTTTTTTCTTTTGAAAACCAGTTGGTGGTATAAGGTTTCTTGGGCACAAGTCTGGCCCAGCCAGGTGTTCAGCATCAACTGTGACTTCACACCCCGAGCTAGTAGCATGGGCCAGGATTGACCCTGGCAGAGGTCTCTGAGACGCGTCGCCGCCCAGGCAAGCTGGGAAGGAGGGGAAGACCTCGTCTCCACTCTGCACTGGGGCATTGGGCAGCCCACTGGCTCCGTGAGACCTGTAAAAGCAAAGGTTTTGTGGCACAGCAGGCCGAGAGGGTGCCGTGTGCTACCCTCCTGCAGACGTACATCAGCCACGTAAGGCAGAAAAATCCTGTCCAAAAGTCTGACAGATTACAGCGGAACCTTCTCAAGGCTCCCAGACCACACAGCCTACTTCTCCTGTAAGACTGATCAGAGCGCTTGGAGAATGCTGGTCCATGCAAAACTGAATCCCCAGGTGTGTCCAGGGCCCCAGAGCCGGAGCACAGGAGGCACTGGCTTGGCTGCCGTCCTTTCTTGTAACTGCCCACCAAGTGCCGCCTGACGTGAATCCCAGCCTCCTCGCGGTGCCGTCCGAGCTCTGGGCTTTGTGTGTGTCATGTCCAAGTTGACAAGTGGCTGTGCTGTGAGCGTCACTGTCCTCCTCCCCCTCATCTTTCAGGAAACTGCTGTGACTTTAAAGCCGGTCCTCGCCGCTTCCCGCACACCTCGCCGCTTCCCGCGCACCTCGCCGCTTCCCGCACACCACCAGGCTTGTGCTTCCCGGAGCTGGGTCTGTGCACGTGGCATCCGTGCCTCTAAAGGCGTTGCAGGCCGGTAAGAGGCCCTGCTATTTTCCATTCATCCCATAAGCGTTTTTAAATCTCAGGGACTGTGCTCAGCACTGGAAATAATTTCTAGAACATGATTCTTGACCAGCCAAGCCTGCACCGGTGGTTCCACTCTCAAGGCATTTTAAAGCAAGGTAACAAATGTATGTTGACCAGCTGGGCACCCATTTCTGTTCTAAAAAGAGAGATGAATATCAATGTTAAAAAGTCATGGATCCTGACCCCAGTTAGTAAATAATCTAGTGGAGAAATACAATAAATGCACAACAATTAAATAAGCCGGTGGTGTACAGCAAATTAGCACACGTGTGAAATAAGCAAGACATTCTGTGTTCAGAAGGGAATCCCCTAGCCGTGGGCTCAAGTCTGTCAGGGAACTTCCTAACAGAGGGCACATGAGCTAATGCTATAGGCTGAACTGTCTCCGCAGAAAGATATGTTGAAGTCCTGGACCTCGGCAGCTCAGAATGGGACCTTCCGTGGACATAGGACTGTTGCAGACACAGTTCGCTTGGTGAAGGAGGCACCGTGCTGCAGTAGGTCCTTGATGCGGCCATGTCCCTGCGACAGGAAGGACAAACTCCAGCACACAGAGTCCTCGAAGCAGCAGTGTCCCTGTGATGGGGAGGACAGACTCCGGCACACAGAGTCCTCGAAGCAGCAGTGTCCCTGTGATGGGGAGGACAGACTCCGGCACACAGAGTCCTCGAAGCAGCAGTGTCCCTGTGATGGGGAGGACAGACTCCGGCACACAGAGTCCTCGAAGCAGCAGTGTCCCTGTGATGGGGAGGACAGACTCCGGCACACAGAGTCCTCGAAGCAGCAGTGTCCCTGTGATGGGGAGGACAGACTCCGGCACACAGAGTCCTCGAAGCATCCGTGTCCCTGCGACGGAGAGGACAGACTCCGGCATGCAGAGGGAAGCCGTCTGCGTGGCTCGGAGGCAGGAGGGAAGCGCTGTGTCTGTGGGCCGAGGGCTGCTGGCAACGCAGAGGCTGGGAGTCAGGAAGGGTCGGTGTCCCCTTCAAGGCCCTGCAGACACCTCCAAGCAAGGTCTCCAAACCCAGCCTGTGAGACTGCAGGCATCCACTGTTTCAAGCCCATCCGTCTGGAGTCCTTTGTTCTGGCAGCCCCAAAAGCCTCACACAGCTCGGCTTTGAGTACAGGGAGCGTGTCTGCAGGTAAGGTGGGGAGGCCACACAGAGGCACAGCGGCTGGGCCCTGCAAGACTCAGGGAGGGCGGGCCAGCATGTCCGAGGGCAGGAGGCAGATGCCACAGGGCATCACCAGCTGCATGTTGCACCTCGACGGCAAAACACAGAAGCCACTGCCCACCGCAGGGAGCGCAGACTGAAGGGACCCGGGCTCCTTGGCCGAGCTCCAGCCGGAGGTGCTTCCGGTGCAATCCAGGCCTCTCATCCTCCCACGGATTCCCCACAGAGGGCTTCGGTTCCATTATTGTATAGACTTCACGTATGTAAAAGGTACAGGAATTCAGCATTTGGACCCCGTGGGGCAGTGTCACCATGGAGCACGCACAGGGTGCCTCCCTGAGCTGGCACATCCCTGGAGGCATGCGTGCCTCTGCCGACATCCCAAAGCGCCCGTGCTGGGGTCCCACATGGTGTCCGCTGTGCCGTGGGGTTCCTCTTCCAACCCCCACAAGAAAGAGAAGGTCACCCTGCCCCCCACCTCTCCACAGCTCCCTGGACTGGGCCACATTTCTTTATCCTCTTCTTGGTTTTTAATTAACTTTGGGCCAGCCCATCTGTGCCTGTTCTGGACTCCAGTTTTGACAGCTACTGACTGAATTGCCTGGTCAGTTCCGTGAAAAACTAGAAATAGAAATGCACCCGGCCAGCTGCTGCCTGAGCTGACCAGCCCCGGCCGTCAGTGGCCTTCCCTGGTTGGACGGACCGTGAATGCTGCCAGTTCTGTTTCATTTTAACTATGTGTATTTGTATAAATATAAGAAACTGTCTGCTCTCTACCCACAGAGTAATTGTCTAGCTCTATCATCTAATTATCTCAACACGTTTAGTGAGCGAGATATTAAGGCCCAGATTAGATATTAAAAGGCATCGTTAAAGAACAGAAATGAGATTTGCATGGAGTGGTATCTAGTTCCAGCGTGGAAACGCGTTCACACAGCACTCAATTAGATATGTGGACTCAGCTCTGAAACGTTCCTATAGGAGAACAAAGATGAAAATTCATTACTACCTCCAAATACTGCCAACTCCGCCATTTCTTTTAAAACTGCAGTCTTGGGAAGCTCCAAGAGTGTTCGATAATAACCAAGACGTGGATCCTGTGTGTGAAAAGTGGCCCAGCTCCTGGAGAGGCGCGAAGGCTGTGGGTGGACTGTGGGGTGGGCTGCTTCTCTGGGGTCACGTGGACATCCCTAGAGAGAGTCTTGGCTTGGGCACCACCCTCAGGTGTGTGTCCTCAGGTGGCCTGACTGCAGTGACCTCTGAAATCCAGGGTATGCAGAGATCGCAGGCTGTGGGCCCTGCCACCACAGGCTGGGGCCTCAGGGAATTGGGTCTGGGTCGTTGCAAGTCTCGAGGCTCCCCCAGTGGGCTGCTGCTCCATAGCAGGCTGTCCCCACTCTGCTCCACAGGAATCACGAAGCCGCATGCTGTCTCTGGGGTCTGTGCTGCAGAGCTGGGGGCTCTCCCTGCAGGAGTGTGTACAGTGGCTGGGGCTCTCCCTGCAGGAGTGTGGGTGGTGGCCGGGGCTCTCCCTGCAGGAGTGTGTACAGTGGCTGGGGGGCTCTCCCTGCAGGAGTGTGGGTGGTGGCTGGGAGGCTCTCCCTGCAGGAGTGTGTACAGTGGCTGGGGCTCTCCCTGCAGGAGTGTGTACAGTAGCTGGGGCTCTCCCTGCAGGAGTGTGGGTGGTGGCTGGGGGACTCTCCCTGCAGGAGTGTGGGTGGTGGCTGGGGGGCTCTCCCTGCAGGAGTGTGGGTGGTGGCCGGGGCTCTCCCTACAGGAGTGTGGGTGGTGACGGGGCTCTCCCTGCAGGAGTGTGGGTGGTGGCTGGGAGGCTCTCCCTGCAGGAGTGTGGGTGGTGACGGGGCTCTCCCTGCAGGAGTGTGGGTGGTGGCTGGGGGGCTCTCCCTGCAGGAGTGTGGGTGGTGGCTGGGAGGCTCTCCCTGCAGGAGTGTGGGTGGTGGCTGGGGGGCTCTCCCTGCAGGAGTGTGGGTGGTAGCTGGGGGGCTCTCCCTGCAGGAGTGTGGGTGGTAGCTGGGGGGCTCTCCCTGCAGGAGTGTGGGTGGTGGCTGGGAGGCTCTCCCTGCAGGAGTGTGGGTGGTGACGGGGCTCTCCCTGCAGGAGTGTGGGTGGTAGCTGGGGGGCTCTCCCTGCAGGAGTGTGGGTGGTGGCCGGGGCTCTCCCTGCAGGAGTGTGTACAGTGGCTGGGGGGCTCTCCCTGCAGGAGTGTGGGTGGTGGCTGGGAGGCTCTCCCTGCAGGAGTGTGTACAGTGGCTGGGGCTCTCCCTGCAGGAGTGTGTACAGTAGCTGGGGCTCTCCCTGCAGGAGTGTGGGTGGTGGCTGGGGGACTCTCCCTGCAGGAGTGTGGGTGGTGGCCGGGGCTCTCCCTACAGGAGTGTGGGTGGTGACGGGGCTCTCCCTGCAGGAGTGTGGGTGGTGGCTGGGAGGCTCTCCCTGCAGGAGTGTGGGTGGTGGCTGGGAGGCTCTCCCTGCAGGAGTGTGGGTGGTGACGGGGCTCTCCCTGCAGGAGTGTGGGTGGTGGCTGGGAGGCTCTCCCTGCAGGAGTGTGGGTGGTGACGGGGTTCTCCCTGCAGGAGTGTGGGTGGTAGCTGGGGGGCTCTCCCTGCAGGAGTGTGGGTGGTAGCTGGGGGGCTCTCCCTGCAGGAGTGTGGGTGGTGACGGGGCTCTCCCTGCAGGAGTGTGGGTGGTAGCTGGGGGGCTCTCCCTGCAGGAGTGTGGGTGGTGGCTGGGAGGCTCTCCCTGCAGGAGTGTGGGTGGTGACGGGGCTCTCCCTGCAGGAGTGTGGGTGGTAGCTGGGGGGCTCTCCCTGCAGGAGTGTGGGTGGTAGCTGGGGGGCTCTCCCTGCAGGAGTGTGGGTGGTAGCTGGGGGGCTCTCCCTGCAGGAGTGTGGGTGGTGGCTGGGAGGCTCTCCCTGCAGGAGTGTGGGTGGTGACGGGGCTCTCCCTGCAGGAGTGTGGGTGGTAGCTGGGGGGCTCTCCCTGCAGGAGTGTGGGTGGTGGCCGGGGCTCTCCCTGCAGGAGTGTGTACAGTGGCTGGGGGGCTCTCCCTGCAGGAGTGTGGGTGGTGGCTGGGAGGCTCTCCCTGCAGGAGTGTGTACAGTGGCTGGGGCTCTCCCTGCAGGAGTGTGTACAGTAGCTGGGGCTCTCCCTGCAGGAGTGTGGGTGGTGGCTGGGGGACTCTCCCTGCAGGAGTGTGGGTGGTGGCCGGGGCTCTCCCTACAGGAGTGTGGGTGGTGACGGGGCTCTCCCTGCAGGAGTGTGGGTGGTGGCTGGGAGGCTCTCCCTGCAGGAGTGTGGGTGGTGGCTGGGAGGCTCTCCCTGCAGGAGTGTGGGTGGTGACGGGGCTCTCCCTGCAGGAGTGTGGGTGGTGGCTGGGAGGCTCTCCCTGCAGGAGTGTGGGTGGTGACGGGGTTCTCCCTGCAGGAGTGTGGGTGGTAGCTGGGGGGCTGACTCAGAGAACCAGCAAAGGCCGTGTTTCTTTTCAGGCCCCCCGACAAAGGGCTCCCTTCCCTCACAAGGCTTTCTCATACCCGCCGTCTTTGAGTACGTGTCTGTTCCTGATCTGAGCCACTGGGGCCAGGCCTGCTGTGTGGGCACACGTGCTCCTGGCAGACACTCCTGCTTTGTGATTCCACCCCCAACCTCGGGATGGAGGTCAGGACCACGCCTGCTCACATCTGTTTCTCAAACGTCTAGTGCGGGCGCTTGCACGAAGAGGTGCTGAGACGTGCCTCACAGGATGTGGAGGATGACCAGTTATGGACGGACACGTGGCGCGTCAGGGAAGGCTCCGGAAACTTTGCTGTGTGAACTTTTCTACTCAGGGCACGGACCTCAGAGCTGGATCTGGTTGTCATCCCAGATGAGGAAACAGGTCAGGCGGATGATGCAGAAGGAGCTGTGACTCCCCGGTGGCCACTGGTGGGTGTAGGAGCCTCACCTGGCATGAGTAGGAGCAGCCACAGGCTGTGGGGCGGGCACCCTCTAAACAGAGCCCTGCAGAAGGGGCTCCTCCATCACGCGCCGAGCCTGCCACACAGAGGAGAGGACGCTCCGGAGAGAGAGGAGCGCAGAGCCTGTGCAGATCTGCCATCTCCTCCTCCCTAGGGGATGCTCCTGGCCCTTGTGTGGGTGAACGGGTGCCGTGATGTGGCCATGAGGCGCACGGACCTCTGGACTCAACGTGGCCTCTCCATAGGCTTGAGGGAAAACAGGAACGGTGAAATCAACTCTCCGCCCCACACGGGCCCAGCTTCAGTGTTGGGCACAGCAGAGCCCCAGCTTCCTCCTGCAGCATCCCCCTCCCTCCCCTTCCAGCGTCCCCCTCCCTCCCCATCCAGCGTTCCCCTCCCTCCCCCTCCAGCATCCCCAGCTCCACCAGCAATGCCGATGGCCATGCCCTCGTGCTGTGGCCCCGGCTGTGACTCCCACTCATGGCGCCCAAGCTGATGGCACTGCAGCTTTGCAAACCTGGCCACCTCCCTTGTCAGCAATGCTTGGAAGATAAATAGAAGATGCTGCTAAAAATTTGGAGAAAAATTTGAGAATAAATCATGAGCCGTGGAAGTCTGCTACACAGTTGGGTGAATGTACAGGTTGTTCAAACCTTTCTTGGTGTACACTCATTGCTAAGCAATACTTAACAGGTCAAAAAAAGTTTTAAAAATTGGAATAACTATGGATGAAGTGACCACTTTGACTGACAGACATACGAAAAAGATTCTGGGTGAGGTGAGGGAACCAGCAGGTCATATGAAATCCACCCCACACATCATTGCAGCACAGCAAGGACCTGAAGCTCAGTGTGCAAGAAGTGAATTTTGTATGTTTAATGTATTTTGTCACTTTATCCATTTTATAAAAATGAGACCTTTGCACTACTGTGAGTTAACCTTTGTGATACATTTTGTAATAAAGCCAGGAGAAACCAGTAGAACTGTGTGCCACACACGGCTTGCTGGTTGTCTGCGGCAAACTCATGTAAGAGGGTTGAAGGCTGAGCCTCGGAGGCACCGGCCTGTGGTGGGAACGGGACGCCCCAGCAAACACTCCCCAGTAAAATAAACCTTCAGTGTAAAATAGACATCTGAGCTGTGTGTGAGAAAATGTGTGTGCTTGAAAAGCGAAAACAAAAAACAGCCAGCTGTGGCACATTTTGAAAATGAATATTTGGAAATAGTTTCATTGCCGTGTGAAATGTTTCAGACAACTGGGTCTCCTATAAAGTCATCCACAGTCACGACTCTAAAAAGCATGGAAATGACATTTTCTAACCCACTTCACATCTTTCCAAATGAAATGTTTCCATGGGTTGAACATATACTGAAATTATTATCATAAAAATCCAAGACATCCCACCGTGTTAAAAATGGTGCCGAGAATCAGGCAGGGAGGACAAGGCCTTTGCAGAGCTGGTGAGCAGGACCGGGACGGAGACTCCACGGTTAAGCAGCACAGCTGACTTCCTCCACCCGGTCCGCCGTGTGGGGCAGCTTTTCAGCTGCAGGAGCCTTAAATCAAGTACTGAGATAACCCTGCACTTCCGGCCAGGCCTCCAGTGACCTGTAGGGCAAAATATCAACTCAGTATCAGAAAAAATGATGGTGCCGTGCAGTTGGGTGGCTGTCCCTGAAATAATCACCAGAGTACTTTTAGAGAGAGGAAAGTTCATTAAATCATAGAGGGCGTTAGTTTTTAGATGTTCATTTCATCTTTTCCTCATCCTCTAAAAGTGACTTTGTATCGCCGCCCCCCTGGGCCCAATCAGTGGCTTTCCTGGCTCCGGCTCTCCCTCGGCTCAGCCACAGGCATCCCTCAGCTCTAACGCTCCCGCCGGGATGTGCTCTATGCAGTGAGGGCTATTCCTGACATCCCCCCTTCCAGGGAAGCCCCATCACTACATCACAGCAGGCCGCATCCAGATTATCCTAATTAGAGAATTACTTGTATCAAGTGAATCCCCAAACCACTGTCCAGGGTCGCTGTAGGAGGGACCCTGCTGGCCTTGAGCTCCCCAAGAAGCGGCACCACTCAGCGTTTAGCTTCAAAAGGTCCCCAGAGGTTTCGTGCTCCATGGGTTTGTTTGTTGTTTGGAAACTGTTGTTAAAATAATCGTTATTAGGTGACCCCAGGAAACTTGTTGCTCAGGTGTTTGAGTCTGTCACTTAAGAGGCCGAGCTCGAGAAGCCGGCGCGTGGGTTGGGGCCGCTCCCTGGGCGTCCGCAGAGCACGAGAGTCAGCAAGCCCCGCACACACGCCTGCAATGGTGCAGCCATCCTCCCCGATCCGGCCCCACACACACCCCTGCAATGGTGCAGCCATCCTCCCCGATCCGGCCCCGCACACACCCCTGCAACCGTGCAGCCATCCTCCCCGATCCGGCCCCACACACATCCCTGCAACGGCACAGCCATCCTCCCCGATCCAGCCCCACACACACCCCTGCAACAGCAAAGCCAGCCTCCCTGATCCAGCCCCACACACACCCCTGCAATGGTGCAGCCATCCTCCCCGATCCAGCCCCACACACACCCCTACAACGGCACAGCCATCCTCCCCGATCCAGCCCCACACACATCCCTGCAACAGCACAGCCAGCCTCCCCGATGCATACCTTTCTCAGGGCCTCAGCAGCCCCCAAGGCCCCGAGGGACATGGCAGCCTGCTCTGTGAAACGTCCTGTCTGTTCTGCATTGTCCTGGGCCTCCTCCCAGCCCTTCCCACAACGCCCAGGCCAGCTCCAACAGAGGGGAAGTTGGCCTTCACCATCCAGCGAGGCAGGGTCCTGGGGTCGGGCATCTTTGAGCCAGGGGCTGGGGCAGTCCTGACAGCTCCACCTGCTCATGCCATGCCTTGCAGCCTCCCTGCCCGTCCGATCGCCTGAGTCAGGCGTGGTCCTGGCCTCTCTTGCCCCATTTGTTTTTTCAAAAACCTGCAAGCGGAATGCTGCTGCTTCCGTCTTCATAGGCACAGAGCCGGATTTAAGAAGAGGAACTGTCTTCATTTTGCTCAACCACAAGGGCAGTGACCTTGGGTTCAACCCTGGGCCTCTCTGACTGCTTTCCTGGCCACGGCTGCTCTTTGGCCCCATGAGGAGCCACGTGGACGTGGGTGTGCCGATTGCACAGCTGGAGAGACGTGGGCAGACAGGCTGGGACTGAAGGTTTGTCCCAGAGCTGAGGGTGGGGCAGAGGCAGCCACGGTATCCAGGCTTCTGAGCCCAGCCCTTGCCTTCATGTCGGGGGATGACAGTCTCGCCATCAGCAGCACCCAATGTAGGCCCTGTCCAGGGAGTCAGTGCTGCATCGTCAGTGATGGGAGAGGGAGGCGGAGGCAGGGAAATGCACAGAGCCAGTGGCCTTGGCTGCTGTGACAGCATAGCAGACGGGGCGGCGCAAACCGCAGATTCATCGCCCACCACTCACAGGCTGGGAGTCCAGGGTCAATGTGTGGGCAGGGCTGGTTTCTTCTGAGGCCCTCGGAGAAGAATCTGTCCCAGATCTCTCTCCTCGGCTTGTGGGTGCCGTCTCCGTCTTCACGCGGTGTTCCCTGTGGCTGCCCCGTGTCCGCATCTCCGCCTTTGATAAGGACCCCCGTCTTGTTGGATTAGGGCCCGCCCTAATGACCTCATTGAAACTTAGCCAGTTACCTCCACAAAGACCCTATTCCCCGATAAGGTCACGTCCACAGGTACTGGGCTTAGGGCTTGGCATGCGAATTTGGGGAACTCAATTCATCCCAAAACACGGGGAGTATCTCCCTCAGACCTACGGGCAGTGGGGCGTGGAGCATCTCCGCACGTGTGGCTCGGTTATTCTACATGATGCACCAGTTCCGCCGTGGAGGAGGCTCCTCGGACAGTTCCCTTCCTGAGCGCTCAGCTCTTGTCTGCTCCAAGGTCAGGCCCTGAGAAAGTGCCCCAAGACCGTGGGCCTGGGAGAAAGGGTCACGGGGCTTGTGCTGGATTTTGGGACTTTTCTCTTCAGCCTGTACACAAAGGTTACACACAAAGAAGACGGCAAAGGGAGGTGGGGGGGTGGGGAGAGGGCCAGACAGAGGCAAACATGGTTCTCCAGGGTTTAAAGTGGGCACGGTGCGGGATGCTTCCTCCCTGGCTGGAGAGGATCCTTACCTCCAGTGGCTCTGCGGGCCGTGCCTGTTGAGAAGAAGGCTCTGAAGTTACCCCATGCCACAGGCCTTTCCGTTGCAGGCCCGGCTCGGCCGTCATCATGTGAGCGTGAGCCTCTGGGTCTCCATCTTGCTCATGCCCCTCATGACTACATGACTCCTCGGAATGCAAGGGGCAGTGTGGTGTTGCCAGTGAGCTGCTTCTTGTTTCCTACCAGGAATCACACATCGCATCCGTGTGAGTACAAGAAAGACCCAAATACCCATCCACTGCCTGCTGATCTGGAGGCGGAGAGAGGACGGCCCCAGAGACCATCCACCCTCCCCATTCACCCATGGTCCACACAGTGATGGGAAACCACATTCCAAAATCAACACTTTTCCAAAACAGTGGGCAGAAAAAGCTGGTGGCATGGCCACTCCGGACGCACATCTCAGAGGGTTTGCTGCTGGCGCTTCAGGGTCCACTGTGCTAGTATTTTTTTTTTTTTTTTTTTTGAGAGACTTGCTGTGTTGCCGAGCTGGAGTGCAGTGGTGCGATCTTGGCTCACTGCAACCTCTGCCTCCTGGGTTAAAGCGATTCTCCTGCCTCAGCCTCCCGAGTAGCTGGGATTACAGGCGCCCACCACCACACCCAGCTAATTTTTGTGTTTTTAGTAGAGACGGGGTTTCACCATGTTGGCCAGGATGGTCTCAGCATCTTGACCTCGTGATCCGCCCTTCTCAGCCTCCCAAAGTGCTGGGATTACAGGCGTGAGCCACCGCACCCGGCCAGTGTATTTTTTAAGGAAGCAGGAGAAAACAAAATCTGAAAAATATAAACACTTTTATTTTAAACACACACTCCTTCACCATTGAATGTGTTTTTAAGATCAACCTATTTAAACTTTCAATTTAAAAATGGTCGTCTGTTAGAGGGTAGGAGACTTGGCTTAGAAAGCATTTGATTAAAACATGCAGATCTCCATTCTCAGCTTGGTCTTCTGAATTTTGTTAATAAAATTATTTCCATGGAAGTGAACCTCATTCTACTTTTTTTAGTCAGGTTATTTAATGCTTGTTTTCATAATTGTTTTCAACAGAGATACACAAACTGACTTTTAAAAAAATACTGTGCCTTCAGGTGAAAGCTTATATAATTGAGCAGAGTTTGCCAACATTTTGGAACTTTTTTGACAAAATAATTCCCACATAAATATAACTTTCCTTGGTTCTGTTGGCTGAGACCCTAAGTCATTTCTGGCGTATTTTAAAAATCCAGACTCCTCAGCGGGCACCGCTGCAAACAGACCTGCCTCTAAGGCTGATAACGTGAAGGTGTCGTTTTCAACACAAAAGGCTCTGCACAGAGGTTTTTTCTTCTGAGCGGGTGGTTATTTGAGTAACACGTCCTCTTGTCAATCTTTAGGAAAACGGGTGTTGCCCGCAGCGAGGTGGGCGGAGGCACAAGTGAGCTGGGCCCGGAAGAGGCTGTTTTGTTCAGTGGTAGGGCAGGCGCGGGAGCGCTGAGGCTTTGTGCCAAAGAGAAACAGAAAAGAAAGTTTGCCATGTGAGCGTCTCACATCACTGTCTGCCAAATTCCGCATGTGAGAGAAGGCTGGAAGGACCACACTGTTACAGGAGAGGCTCTTTGCCTCCACACGGCCTGATTGCTCAGGGGTTTTGTTAGGGTTTCAAATGTGGAGAGCAGAAAACACTCAGGCACCTAGAGCTGGGCGGTCTCTGCAGAGCAGGGACACAAGGTGCCCTTGGCGGGTGTGCCCTGGCCAGTCCCTCCCTCGGGATATGGACAATCTCCATCTCCCATACTGGATCCTTCACCCTTTCTTACAGCGGATAGGGACGCTGGACTGAGGCAGGTTCTGTGCCCGGAACCTCAGTGATGGCAAAGTCGCTGTTCCATGCACCAGGAGATGACAGGGAGGGGCCTCCGTAGGTTGGGTTTCAGAGACTTTCCATCAGACTATATTTGTATTAAAGAAAGCGCATTTTTATTCATGAGCCATATTTGTATGAATGTTCAAATGCCTGTTATGATTATTTTGAGAAGTTAAGGGATAATTTAGATTCTCTGCTGATATTCTTGTTATTATTTAAACAGTGCATTTGCTGATTAAGCATTAACCGCCACTCTATAGGAGGCAGGAACCCAAACAGCCTCGTTAAGGGACTGATAAAATGCACCCTCGTTAGAGAACCCTTTTTGGGGGTTGGTAATTATCACAGATATTTATTAGGCAGAAAGGCACAGGAGCGGCTGGAGGCTGGGTGAGTCCGGTGTGCGGGGCCATGGGACAGAAGGCCCAGCAGGCTCTGCACGGTACCTCCCTCGCCGCCTTTTGTTCGACAGCCCGCCCATTCCGCTGCTTTTCTCTTCCACCCTTCACCCCAGCAAGAACTCGCTTTGCTTTGGGTAAACCAAGAATAGGGAAGATCTGAAAAATCCTAATGTGCAAAGCATATTTCAGAGATGACCATTCGTTCTCCCACATGAAGATTGTATTTTACACATTGATGTGGCACAGCATTCCTGATCCTGCATGAATTTAAAGTTGGTTTCTCCCGTCAACTCTACCGTGGCCGCTTGTGGTGTGAAGAAGCTTCCGCCTCCATGCCCCAGCCTGCACCTGCCCTGCAGGACTCCCAGGAACCTGGAATCCCAGGCTATTCTACACCTTTTGTCTGTCAAGGAATTGGAGGGTCCAGGACCCACCCCCTGGCCTCAAAACAGACTCATATTGTGGGGAGCTGAATAAGTTAGTCTGTGGATGGTTTGAGAAAGGAGAATTCTGGATTTGGTGGATGTGAGATGGTGCAGGACTGTCTGTGCTTCTTTCTCACAGCTTCCTTGTGGAATATGTAGTCTGTGGTGCACACACCAGGCCCCGGGAGACCTGGGATCCCTTATGCGAGCGTGAGGCACCCCACGTCGGAAATTCGGATACCTGGGATCCCTTACACGAGCCTGAGGCACCCCACGTCGGAAATGGAAATTCGGAGACCTGGGATCCCTTACGCGAGCCTGAGGCACCCACGTCGGAAATTCGGAGACCTGGGATCCCTTACGCGAGCCTGAGGCACCCCATGTCGGAAATTTGGAGACCTGGGATCCCTTATGTGAGCCTGAGGCTCCGCACTTCGGAAATTTGGAATCTGACCACATCATGTTTCTCCCCAGTTCCTCAAAGGCCTGGAAATGCTGGTGTTGGGTGGAGAGGGGATAACCTGAGCTCTGTTTGTTATGAATGTTCTCTTTTCCTCCCATAAAAGATTTTCAAGCAAATTTTATCTGGCAATTTATTTAAACCAAAAGCATATGAGTAGAAAGTGGTTTAAACTGAAATAAAAAACGTGTAAGATGCTCCAATCCTTGGAAGACCATCCCTGAGGGACGGGGAGCCTGGCTATCTCATGTCGTCCCCAGGACACGGCACACACGGGCCCCAGCTGCCATCAGGGCCAGCGGTGAAGGGTCTGTGCCGTCTTCCCCTCCTCCATGGTGATCGAACCCTAAGTTTAGCTAAAATAACACGTTTGGCCTCCCCTGTGCTTAGATGTGGTCACTGAGTGAGACCTGGCCATGAGCTGTGGCTGTACAGTACTCTGGGCAGAAAGGCTTCTTGATGGGAAATGACGGCCACCTGGATAGTGGATCCTAGGCTGATGTGGTTCCCGTAAATGTCCCTGGCCAGGATGCGGGACCCAGACTGCCCATTTAGATGGGTTTTGTGTGGGAGGGAAGAAAAGCCTCAGGTGTTCACACCAACCTTGTCAGAAGTTTTCTGTTATATGCAGCTGAATTTAGTCCTAAACAGCACATCTTGTCAGAACCCAGGGGTTGGCCCAGGCTGGTCACTCTGAGTGGCGTGGGGCTGCAGCAGCATCTCGGGAAGGGTACAAGCAGTCAGAGGAACGGTGGCTCAGGGACCTGGGAGACCTTCTGCTGAGCTTCCTTGCTGAGGTGTGACCCTGAGAGGACGCACACCCACATGAGCCTCGGCCCCGTAGTGTCTGACATGAATCGCAACTTCCGGATGGCCCCAGCTCACACACTGGGAATGACGGTGGCCTCATGCTGCCTCCTCCATCCCAGCCTGGGGGAGAAAGGCACCGCGAACTCCAGCTTTCTGCCTCTTCGGTGGGAACAGTGGGTGTCCTCTTGCTGTGTTAAATTTGATCTGAGCTGAGGGAAACCCGAAGAATCAGCTCCATCACCCTGGAGACCAGCGTCAGCCCGGCCGGTGGGAACTGAGAAGGACCTGGGTGTAGAGGTGCTGGGGTCCTGGACGCCAGCCACGCTGGGACCGAGGGGCTCCGCAGACGTCATCCCAAGACCCGCTATTGGTTCAGAGCTTGTGGATCAGGACCAGAGCCAGTCCTCTCACTGGGGCAGTGAGAGCCTGACATATGTCCAGAAGGCAGCCCCTGTGATCCTCCCAGGGTGGCAGCGGCCAAGTGAGTGGTCCAGGGCACACCGTGGTGCACACGGGGCTTCCCTGGGTCTGGGACTGCAGAGGCGTCGGGGCTGCTGGCTGCACCACTATAGCCGTGGGCTCACTGCAGGGTGCGGGCCACCATTCAGGACAAGCGTTCCTGTGGACGACCTGCCAGAGGTGGCAGCCTGCGGACAGGGGCCCCACTCACTTCAGCTCTGGCTTACAGAACCTTCATGGGATCCCGCGGAAGCCGTCATTTCTGTCAGGTGGGGCCCCATTCACTCCTGGCAAGCTCTGTGGCTTCATTGACTGGTGGGAGCATTTTGTTGCCTGTAAAGCCAGGAACTGTTGCCCATCTCACAGCAGTGGTGCAAATCAAACGGAATGAGAGAGGGCTCCGTAAATATCGGGCACACATGACAGAGTGAGAGAGGGCTCTGTAAACATTGGGCACGCATGATGCAGTGAGAGAGGGCTCTGTAAACATCAGGCACACATGATGTAATGAGAGAGGGCTCTGTAAACATTGGGCACATATGATGTAATGAAAGAGGGCTCTGTAAACATCTGTAAACATACTGCACCCATGAGGGAGTGAGAGAGGGCTCTGTAAACATCAGGCACACACGATGTAATGAGAGAGGGCTCTGTAAACATCAGGCACACATGATGTAATGAAAGAGGGCTCTATAAACATCTGTAAACATACGGCACCCATGAGGGAGTGAGAGAGGGCTCTGTAAACATCAGGCACACACGATGTAATGAGAGAGGGCTCTGTAAACATCAGGCACACATGATGTAATGAAAGAGGGCTCTGTAAACATCTGTAAACATACGGCACCCATGAGGGAGTGAGAGAGGGCTCTGTAAACATCAGGCACACACGATGTAATGAGAGAGGGCTCTGTAAACATCAGGCACACATGATGTAATGAAAGAGGGCTCTGTAAACATCGGGCATACATGATGGAGTGAGAGAGGGCTCTGTAGACATCGGGCACACATGATGTAATGAGAGAGGGCTCTGTAAACATCGGGCACACATGATGTAATGAGAGAGGGCTCTGTAGACATCGGGCACACATGATGGAGTGAGAGAGGGCTCTGTAGACATCGGGCACGCATGATGGAGTGAGAGAGGGCTCTGTAGACATCGGGCACGCATGATGGAGTGAGAGAGGGCTCTGTAGACATTGGGCACACATGATGGAGTGAGAGAGCGCTCTGTAAACATCTGTAAACATCCGGCATGCATGACAGAGTGAGAGAGGGCTCTGTAGACATTGGGCACACATGATGGAGTGAGAGAGGGCTCTGTAGACATCGGGCACGCATGATGGAGTGAGAGAGGGCTCTGTAGACATCGGGCACGCATGATGGAGTGAGAGAGGGCTCTGTAGACATCGGGCACGCATGATGGAGTGAGAGAGGGCTCTGTAGACATCGGGCACGCATGATGGAGTGAGAGAGGGCTTTGTAGACATCAGGCACACCTGATGGAGTGAGAGAGGGCTCTGTAAACATTGGGCACACGTGATAGAGTCAGAGAGGGCTCTGTAAACATCGGGCACAGAAGATGTAATGAGAGAGGGCTCTGTAAACATCGGCCACACATGATGTAGTGAGGGAGGGCTCTGTAAACATTGGCCACATATGAAGGAGTGAGAGAGGGCTCTGTAAACATCGGGCACACATGATGGAGTCAGAGAGGGCTCTGTAAACATCGGGCACACGTGATGGAGTGAGAGAGGGCTCTGTCGACATCGGGCACGCATGATGGAGTGAGAGAGGGCTCTGTAGACATCGGGCACACATGATGGAGTCAGAGAGGGCTCTGTAAACATCGGGCACAGAAGATGTAATGAGAGAGGGCTCTGTAAACATCGGCCACACATGATGTAGTGAGGGAGGGCTCTGTAAACATTGGCCACACATGAAGGAGTGAGAGAGGGCTCTGTAAACATTGGGCACACATGAAGGAGTGAGAGAGGGCTCTGTAAACATCAGGCACACATGATGGAGTCAGAGAGGGCTCTGTAAACATCGGGCACACGTGATGGAGTGAGAGAGGGCTCTGTCGACATCGGGCACGCATGATGGAGTGAGAGAGGGCTCTGTAGATATCGGGCACGCATGATGGAGTGAGAGAGGGCTCTGTAGACATCGGGCACGCATGATGGAGTGAGAGAGGGCTCTGTAGATATCGGGCACGCATGATGGAGTGAGAGAGGGCTCTGTAGACATCGGGCACGCATGATGGAGCGAGAGAGGTCTCTGTAAACATCAGACACACCTGCAGCACAGGGATGATGATCCATGACACGATTTTCTCTCAGACAGCAGCAGGCAGGGTGTTGGGGCAGCGCACTCAGGGCAGTGACAAACTGGTGCCTGTTCCCCCTCCGTTCCGGCCCCAAAATTGTGGGGACGCCCCACAGCAGCTTAGTATCACCCAGGGGAGGGGAAAGGGTGTTTCTCGGTGGTTGGTTCAGAGCTTTGCATTTTTAGAGCGTCATTTCCTGGAGGCCTGAGAGATTTCATAATGATACCGAGTTCTCTCAATACGTCTCTGAAGGAGAAACGGACTGTTCTTAGGTTCATAGAATCAAGCAGCTCTTGGTTTTCCAGATGGGTTTTTTTACCTCTTTAATTTCCTAGGATGCAAACGTACATCACACCTTGGCCAGTTTTCAGAAGACTTGTTTTGGTGACTCCCACCCCCGCTTTTCTTCCTAGAATATTGGCGGCTCATCTTCATTGCCTGGCTGGACGCAGACCCAGCCCTTTCATCTGACAGAGGTGCCGTGAATCTCGCTTCCTGGCGGGTGGCTCACCCCCACCTTTTCCCACTTTTTAATAGTGTTTCTTGAAGCACAGAAGCTGCTTCACTTGATTTGATCAAATTTTACCACTCCCTTCCTCCGTAGTTTGTGTTGTTTGAGGAAAGGATTTGAGGAAACTGTTTTCTGCCCTGAGTTCAGAGAGGCTCAAATGTTTTCTTCAAAACATTTACAGGTTTTTTCCCCCCATTTAGGCTTTAATCTGCCTGGGGTTAATTTTTGTGTTTTGTGGAGAGCCGGGATCCACTTCTGTCTTCCGTCCCTCCCCATGGCCCCACGTTGCTTGTCCTTCCTCTGCCCATGGCCCTGCTGTGTCCTTGCTGCCGTCCCCGTCTCTGTGAGTCATGAGCACAGGGACCTCTCTGGGGCCTCAGCTCCATGTTGGTTTCTTTCCTGTGCACCCACCTGCCCCGCGGGGAGGTTCTGTGCCGCACAGTGGGTTACCGCATCTGCAAGTGGCTCCTCCATGCAATGCTCCTTAACATTGCCTGGGCTGTTCTTGGCCCTGTGTGGCCGGGAACGTGGTGAGTTAGGCTGCATGGTTCACCGGGATGTGGCCGGGAACATGCTGAGTTAGGCTGCGTGGTTCACCAGGGTGTGGTCGGGAACATGGTGAGTTAGGCTGTGTGGTTCACTGGGGTATGGCCGGGAACATGGTGAGTTAGGCCAGTAACCTGGTGAGTTAGGCTGCGTGATTCACTGTGGCGTGGCCGGGAACATGGTGAGTTAGGCTGCGTGATTCACCAGGGAAAAGAGGGCGGATCACTCTGTGTATGTCCTCTGGGTGGTGCAGGGAGGACAGAAAGGCCATCGAGTATCTGCCATGCATTTTTTTCCTACAGCTGGCTAAGGGTGCTAGTGTATTCATTACATTAGCCTGTGTATCTTTTTCTAGGAATAAAATAGTCCATTTGAAAAACAACAAAGGCAGCCATCCAAGTTGCTCTCTGCCCGTCGTGGACCAACGTGAGGTCAGGGCTGCGTCCCTGTGACCTTGTGCTCACCTCTCCCTTTGTCTATCTCTACACCAAGGGCAAACCCTGGAAGATAAGGCAGGTGTCACCAGGTGGATCCCAACCGATCTGTAGGGTTTGCTGGAAAACCAGTGTCCAGGGCTCCAGGGCATCTTCCCACAGGCCAGAATAAGAAAAACGCCCCTGAAATAACAAAACAAAAGAGACAAAGGCCGTCACAGTGCACGGACACGAGCACCCGGAGGCTCACAGGACTCTGCGGTAGACAGAACACCACAGATGCTAACATACTGCTATCTCGTCAGATGCAGGCAGCGCCCAGCTCACCCCTGCGGAGCCGCTGACCTGCACCAGTCCTGAGAACTCAGTGCCGGGTACGTTGCCGGGAACACAGAGCAACTTAGGACGTGAACAAGCCTCTCGTACTAGAAGTGGAGGAGTAATAATGCTTTCTTCATCTCCAGCAGTGTGCCCTCATCACCACCCTGGGGTCGTGCTGTGGAAGGCCTTCTCTTTCTAGAGCATTGCTTCAGGACCCCAGGCTGGTCACGCTGGGCTCCTGTCCCCGTGTCAGCCTCACCCTCTCCTCCTGGCCCTCACCTGGCAGTTTCCTCAGTGGCTTTGGGTCGTTCCTCTGCCCCAGATGTCCGGTTTCTTCCTCGAATTTCAGCTCTAGTGTTCTTTCTTCTCCCCACTGTCCTCCATCTCCCACATGCCAGTGGCCTCGCTAGCTGTGCCCAGGCCTTCAGCTGCCTGGAGGGTGCAGGCTGGGGATGGGGCTGGGGCCTGGACGGCTTCTACAGAGAAGTGGGAATGTAGAATCTCCTTCAGAGAGTGTGTGGCCGTCTCACCACCCGCCAAGGCCAGTCCCTCCTGTTCCCTTTCCTGCAGAGACACGTGCTGCACACCACCTCCTGTGTGTGGGGCTTGCACACTCCTATGTTCAAAAGGCCTGCGTTCCACACCCATGACGTGGAGGGGCCTGCATTCCACACCCACGATGTGGAGGGGCCTGCGTTCCACATCCACGACGTGGAGGGGCCTGCGTTCCACACCGATGACGTGGAGGGGCCTGCGCCGCCCCCTCCTCCGTGCAGGGGGTCAGAGTCTTTCTCTGCACCTTTCCTCTCCGTGGAAGAGCTCCCGGTGCCTGCAGTGGGGTGGCACTGGTGACGGCACCACATCGAAAGGACCCCAATGTGGAGCCCTGTTTGCTCCAGTTGTCTGGAAGGAATGCCATGCAGCCCCGACCTGTTCCTCCTCCCCTTTCTATCAGCAAATTAACATCCCACGCATTAAGCCTTGGTCCTGGAATAATCAGCACAGAGCAGAGGTTTCCTTCGAAACTGCGAGTGTGAATCATAGAACCGTAAGTATCATGATATTGTGTGGCACGCTGGAAAGAAAGCAAGAGAGTTGCGTAGGTTAATGTGTGTTCCCAAATTTTTTTCCGACACCTGCACTCAATGAGCGGCTCTGGGCCTTCTGTGTTTTTCTGCACCAGCCGTCTCTCCACCTGCCCTCCCCCAGGGAATCCCGACAGTCAGTGGCCAGGGAAGTTGGGTCTGGAAGGAGGGGACCTCTTGACTTCTCCAGGGGAGGCTCAGAGGCACAGTCCTTTGCTGAGGAGCTCCAGGTGGAGGAAGGCAGAGAACGCACAGCCAGGCAGTGGGCATGGACTGAAACCAGCCCATAAACCCCCACGCCGGCCCCCCTACCACCACAATTAATTCATTAATGCTGGAAACCACCATTGCATTGTTTTCTTGTAATTATACACACCTCAAATGCTTGCTTTTGAAGACATTAATTGCATGATTAGTTTTATGATTTCTGATTACCAATTAGGTTACCTTTTTGTGTATTTCATACATACCATTAGGCTTTATGGTACAGCTTTTGTAATTTCTCACCTAGCAGGGGTTCTCACACATTTGAAGGCTACATTATCCACTCAATAAACAGAGAGAGTTTAATTTTCTGTGTAAAGTATTGGTGTGGACTTGGGAAGATGATGTTTCAGATATTATGCTATCAAGAGTGACATTTAATTTTACAGGGGAAAAGTCGTGGTTTTCACTGTCATAACGATGTTCACAGAGCATGACTTTAGAGATGGGAGGAGGCCGGGTCCAATGGATCTGTGTCTGCGGTGTGGATTGGGCTGTCACATCCCTTCTCTGAGGAAGATATTCCTAATCACTCTACCCTTTACTCCGACTTGTTAATATATTTAATTTACTTGTGCCTTGCCTCTTTCCCAAGAATAGTTAGAAAGCATTTGGTGCTGTTGGGTTTCCTATGTGAAGTTCCTTGGAGATTCCATTCCCTCTGATCTGAAATCAAAGGGCTGGGTGTGCACTGTGGCGGAGACAGGGGCACAGGATTCTTAACGTGCCCTTGTGAGGCCAGATGAGAAAGTAATCCCAGCACTTTGGGAGGCTGAGGTGGGCGAATCACAAGGTCTGGAGTTCGAAACCAGCCTGACCGACATGGTGAAACCCCATCTCTACTAAAAATACAAAAATTAGCTGGGCATGGTGGTGCCTGCCTGTAATTCCAGCTACTCAGGAGGTTGAGGCAGGAGAATCACTTGAATACGGGAGGTGGAGGTTGCGGTGAGCCAAGATCATGCCACTGCACTCCAGCCTGGGTGACAGAGCGAGACACCGTCTCAAAAAAAAAAAAAAAAAAAAAAGTCTCCTGAATCTGCACACAAAGCGGCATTTGAGCCCCTTTTGTACCATTTGCACTTTAAATCTCCTCCCTTCCCCCAGGGAAAATAAGAGCAGATAGATCAGTAATCAAGAGATGGTCAGGTGGACGAGGCGGCTGATTGGAGCGCGCTGAAATGACCCCATAAAGCAGGAATGTGTGGGGGAGGCCTGGTTTGACCATGTGATGCAGCAGCACCGATTCACAGCCCCACGCACAAAGGGGCCAGCAAATAATGCCGTTTCTAATGTTGTGTATGGGTTGGGGACCTTCCTGTTATTTAAAATGGATGCATGGTTCCAGTGCTCTGACAGCCAGGCCTCCCCGAAAGGGAAGCCACTGGGAGGTCTAAGATACTTTCAATTGGATGTGGCTATAGAAAGAGAAAGTTCCAATTTTGATGTTGATCCTTAAAGTATTAGCTTGACAAAGCTTTGCATTATGGGGGAGAGAAAGGGAGAGGAGGGAGGAAAAAAGACACAGTCCCCGGGTACTGTATGCTGTCCTGTGGGCCCCTGCAGGCTGCAGGCCCGCAGGAAGGAAAGCGCAGAATCCAGGGTGTTCTCCTGATAACCAGAGAGGACGTCCCCAGCACCCCGAACGCTGCAATATTTTCATAAATGTAGAAAAAATAGTAGTGTTTCTCAAGCAACCTTTATTTACCCCCAGCTTTGCTTCTCTTTCTATGGAAGGCTTCCTTATTGTCCCACGTGCTCCTGAATAATGCATGAGCCTCAGAGTCCGCCAGGCCAGGAAGCACAAAGGCCCCGTGGTGGGGGCCCTTCCAGGCAGGCACCCCAGCAGCCTCGGGTAATTACTGGCCCTTAATGGGCAGTTTCCCTGCCTCAGATAGATTTGTGTGTGTGTTTAAGACTAATTTAGGGTTCCTTTGGGGGAGCTTTTCAAAATCATCACCTGCGGGTGGGGTGGGAAGGGGAGGATCCTTCACTCAAGTTTCACTTAAAGCCACGTACAATACGGTAAGTTTGAAAAACCATCAGGAAAAGGAAGGCCGACCTGTTAGTGAGCATTTGAGCTTCCCACCATGTGGGGCTCTGCACTTTAGATAATGTCCTCGTTCACAGTTTTGTCTCTTCACCGATGTTCAGCCAGTGACAGGGAGCGTGTGGGGAGTGAAGGCGGTGAAGAAGCTTTCAAGACCCCATAGCCTGTTCCAAAAACAGCCTGAATTAACTTAAAGCTGCCCTTGCTGCCATCGTGGCCAGCGCATGAACTGTTACTGCAGAAGGACTTTCACAGAACTTAAAAGTAGATCATGCAGCTCTGCGACCGCCTCTGCCCTGTGCTGGGAGCGAGTGCAGGGCGGACACGGCTGGCACTTCCAGCAGAAGGCACTGCAGAGCTCCCAGGCCAGGCAGCGGCCGTTGTGAATTGCAGGTTGCCCTGCAGACTGGACGTTGAGAGAGGAGGAGGGGGCAGGCAGGCGGTGAGGTGGTGGCTCCAGCCCCCGCCGGTGCTTCTCCCTGGGCACTGCCTGAGAGGGCGCCCAGCCCCTCACCTCTCCAAGAAGAAACACTTCTGGCTCCTGGAGGGGTCTGAGGACGGGGCTCCTCTTCAGGGGTCCTGTGGCCTGAGACCAGGAAGAAACAACCTGTCCCCCTGACTGCTGAGCAGCAGCAACCCACTGGGTGAAAACGCTGGAGGCTCTGGATGCTGCCTGGTGGCGGCTGTGAGTGATCAGGTGCCAGCGTCAGCATCGGGTCATCCACTGTCCAGAATCCAGCACCACTCCCTAAATTCCAACTTCCCCCCAACACGGGGCCTGCTCTGTGGGCTTCAGCCGGCTCGGATGTTGTCTGCAGCTCCCGTCCCGTACCCTCTCCACTCCCACACCCTGCCTGGACATGGTTACACAGTCACACACACTCCACACAGTCACACAGTCACACAGTCACACGTGGCCACACAGTCACACGCGGTCACACAGTCACACGCGGTCACACAGTCACACACAGTCACACAGTCACACACGGTCACACAGTCACACGCGGTCACACAGTCACACGCGGCCACACAGTCACACGCGGCCACACGTCACACGCGGTCACACAGTCACACGTGGCCACACAGTCACACAGTCACACGGTCACACAGTCACACGCGGCCACACAGTCACACGCGGTTACACAGTCACACACAGTCACACAGTCACACGTGGCCACACAGTCACACGCGGTCACAGTCACACACGGTCACACAGTCACACAGGGCCACACAGTCACATGTGGTAACAGTGACGGCCACACAGTCACAGTCACACAGTCACGCGGTCACACAGTCACATATGGCCACACAATCACACATAGTTACACAGTCACACACACTCCATGTGGTCACACAGTCACACACAGTCACACAGTCACACACAGTCACACACGGCCACACAGTCAAATGTGGTCACACAGTCACACGTGGCCACACAGTCACACGCAGTCACACACAGTCACACAGTCACATATGGCCACACAGTCACACATGGTTACACAGTCACACACACTCCACACGGTCACACAGTCACACACAGTCACACAGTCACACGTGGCCACACAGTCACACCTGGTCACACAGTCACATATGGCCACACAGCCACACATGGTTACATAGTCACGCACACAGCCACACACACTTCACACAGCCACACAGTCACACAGTCACACAGACATGCACTCCCACACAGTTGCACATACACATTCCACACAGCTACACAGTCACACACACTACACATAGCCACACAGTCATACACAGACACATTCCCACACAGGCCCTTGCACTCCACATAGCCACATGCTCACACAGTCACACACACAATCTCTCACACACACACAGACACACAGAGTAATACAAAGTCACACACACAGACAGACACATAGACACAGCCACACATGCACATTCACATACACTCCCACACAGTCACACAACCACACACACAGCCAGACACACACACAGTCTCTCTCACAAACACAAACACACGCCACACACACTCCACCACATACACACTCCCACACAGCCACACAGACACACACAGTCATACACTCACATGCAGCCACACATATGGACACAGTGACACACTGACAGTGATGAACATGCACTCACAGTCATGCACATACATTCAAACACACTCAGATACACATACGACTATACATGCTTCAGTCAACTCACACAGTCAGATACCAATTCAGTAAAGAACAATTACGTGTTAATCTGTCTTGTGCCAAATATAAGTCATTGGCTTTTAGAGGATGGAATCAGAGGCAACTTCACGAAGACAAGAACACTGTAGCCACCCCAGGGAAGACGAGAGGAACTGGAGTAGCCACGGCGGAGAGGAGCTTTCTCCCGTGCCATCCACTACGAGAGGAACTGGAGTAGCCACGGTGGAGAGGAGCTTTCTCCCATGCCATCCACTACGAGAGGAACTGGAGTAGCCACAGTGGAGAGGAGCTTTCTCCCGTGCCATCCACTACGAGAGGAACTGGAGTAGCCACGGCGGAGAGGAGCTTTCTCCCGTGCCATCCACTACGAGAGGAACTGGAGTAGCCACGGCGGAGAGGAGCTTTCTCCCGTGCCATCCACTACGAGAGGAACTGGAGTAGCCACGGCGGAGAGGAGCTTTCTCCCGTGCCATCCACTACGAGAGGAACTGGAGTAGCCACGGCGGAGAGGAGCTTTCTCCCGTGCCATCCACTACGAGAGGAACTGGAGTAGCCACGGCGGAGAGGAGCTTTCTCCCGTGCCATCCACTACGAGAGGAACTGGAGTAGCCACGGTGGAGAGGAGCTTTCTCCCATGCCATCCACTATGAGAGGAACTGGAGTAGCCACGGTGGAGAGGAGCTTTCTCCCGTGCCATCCACTATGAGAGGAACTGGAGTAGCCACGGTGGAGAGGAGCTTTCTCCCGTGCCATCCACTATGAGAGGAACTGGAGTAGCCACGGTGGAGAGGAGCTTTCTCCCGTGCCATCCACTATGAGAGGAACTGGAGTAGCCACGGCAGAGAGCAGCTTTCTCCCATGCCATCCACTACGAGAGGAACTGGAGTAGGCACGGCGGAGAGGAGCTTTCTCCCATGCCATCCACTACGAGAGGAACTGGAATAGGTACGGCGGAGAGGAGCTTTCTCCCGTGCCATCCACTATGAGAGGAACTGGAGTAGGCATAGTGGAGAGGAGCTTTCTCCCGTACCATCCACTATGAGAGGAACTGGAGTAGGCATAGTGGAGAGGAGCTTTCTCCCGTGCCATCCACTATGAGAGGAACTGGAGTAGGCATAGTGGAGAGGAGCTTTCTCCCGTACCATCCACTATGAGAGGAACTGGAGTAGGCACGGCGGAGAGGAGCTTTCTCCCGTGCCATCCACTACGAGAGGAACTGGAGTAGGCATAGTGGAGAGGAGCTTTCTCCCGTGCCATCCACTGTGAGAGGAACTGGAGTAGCCACGGTGGAGAGGAGCTTTCTCCCTTGCCATCCACTCAGCAAGTGTCGGACTCCACTGAGTCACTTGTGTGTCCTATGCTGGGCAGCAGGGCTGTGAGATCCACGGGACCCACCCCTGAGTCCAAGGCTCCGTGTCTAACAGGTGCAACAGACGTGTGGCGGCAACAAGGAAGGGTCATGGAGTGAAGGAGGATGTGAGTCCTGCCCTGTGGAGGCTGGATACACTGTGTCCTTGTGAGGGTCATGGAGGATGTGAGCCCTGCCCTGCGGGGGCTGGATGCACCGTGTCCTTGCAGACGGCAGGAGTGCGAAGGACTCAGGCACAGAGCAAGAGGGCATGACCCAGCAGAGGCTGTCAAGCCCAGGGTGTTCCTGGGTGCGTGTGCTGGGGAGTCGACCTCCACAGAATGTGGTACATGGCCCTGGCTCCTCATGGTGCCCCTTCTGAGCCATCTCGGATGACTCTGCATCAAAACAGCCTCCCCCCTCCACCACCTCTTCCATCAGACACTACATCCCCCATGGGCATTAATAATGTCCTAGCCGTCCATAAACCTCAGAGCCTGGCCCACAGCACACAACAAGCGAGCAATTCTCTGGGTGGGTGGGTAGATGGAGGGACGTGTCGATGGGCAGGTGGGTGGACAGGTGGTGGTGAGTGGATGGGTGGGTGGATGGGTGGAGGGACACATGGAAGGGTGGATGTGTGGATGGGTGGGCAGGTGGACAGGTGGTAGTGAGTGGATGGGTGGGTGGATGGGTGGGTGGATGGAGGGACACACGGAAGGGCGGATGTGTGGATGGGTGGGCAGGTGGACAGGTGGTGGTGAGTGGATAGGTGGGTGGATGGGTGGGTGGATGGAGGGACACATGGAAGGGCAGATGTGTGGATGGGTGGGTGGGTGGACAGGTGGTGGTGGGTGGATGGGTGGGTGGATGGAGGGATGCATGGAAGGGCAGACGTGTGGACAGGTGGTGGTGAGTGGACAGGTGGTGGTGAGTGGATAGGTGGTGGTGAGTGCAGGGTGGGTGGGTAGATGGATGAGTAAGTGGGTGGTTTGGTCGGGGGATGGATGGATGGATGGATGGATGAATGGACACACAGTTGTAGATTTGGTGACACAATTTGGAAGTCTCTGGAGCAATTAAAAATGGTCCAGGCCAGGACATGGTCATGACATAGGCCAAACCTCTTCTATATTATCTGTCAGGAAATCATATTTTTGTTAAAATACTTGTTTTGTGTCTATTGAACACTTAGCGTGGAAAACTTAGAAAATGCTTACTATTTGATATTCTTTTAGGATGTGTGTGTGTGTGTGTGTGTCTTTATTTTGCTTTTCAGTTTGTATGTGTGCCTTATCAAATTGTCTTTAAAATATGCTTCTGAGGAACACTTTGGTCTTTATGTGGTTCTGCTGTAAGTTCTTCAACCCATGTGCTATTGTTGAACATTTAGCTTGTTTCTAGTATTTCATTATCATAAGTCTTGCTGCAATTAATATCCTTGGGCATACATTCAATCTATGTGGCTTACTGTTTCTTTAGGATACACTCCTAGAAATCTAACTACTATGTGAAATGGTGCAAGCTCTTCTAAATACCTCAATTCCTCTTATCCAGTTGAACTAATATCTCCAACAAATGCAGGTGCATCTGGCAAGTCCAATAAACCTGCCATCATCCACTCACTTAACACCAAGGGTTAGGACTTCATTTAAGTGCATGCAATTATTTAGGGCAAACGATAGCATCTTATCATTGGTTTAATTTATAGTTTTTGATTTATTGTAGATTTAAACATTTTATCATACTTGATTATTGATGGTTCTGCTTCCTGGGATAATCTCTTCATGAATTTTCCTATGGGAGTGTGAATTTTCTGAAATAGACTCACGAGTACTCTTCATATTTGTTTTTGCCTCTTACTTTTGGCCAATGTTCTGCCAGGCTTGTCTGTGTCTAACGTTGCTTGTTGTACTGTCTGAAGTTCAGAAAGGCTGAGCTCTGGTGGATTCAAATGCACAGTCGTTTCCTTTAAGATTTTGTCAATCGCTCTCATGTTTAGAAAGTGCTTGCTCATCCTGTCATCAGTGAAACACAAGTTTTTATTTGTTATTTTTATGGTTCCATTAATGTGTTAATGTATCTGGATCATTTCTGGTGGTTGTAATGTGTGTGAAGTGAGGGATAAACTAGGACCTTCCCCCAAGTAAACTCTAGTTTCTTGAATAAGCCATTGTTTCCCACGCATTTGCAGTGCACCCTTCGGCTATGTTGTTAATTTCGCCCCTGCACCCTCCCGAGCGCCCTGAGAGCCGAGGCATTGCTGCAGATCCCTGTTTCCTGTTCTTCCTACTAGTCATTCTAGCTTCTTCTTGCAAACTCTCCCCCATCCTTAGGACGAGTCTCTTTCCTGTGCCGTACGTCTCTAATATCCCCTCTTTTAGCATCTTTTGTGCTTTGCTCGTGATTCTCGAAGAGCTTTGCGGGTTCGGTTGTGAACTGTAGTCAGTTCTGCTCTGCCGCCTCAATGTGAATTTTAACTCTGCTATTGTAGTTTTAATTTCCTCACAGTTATTTCTCATCTCTCCCAGTTCCAGCTCTTTGCCTTCATAACTTGGTAACGGTTCTGTTTTTATGACACCCTGTTTTTCCCGTTGTGTTGTGTGTTTCTGCTCCTGTTTTTAGAGAGGCTGTGTGTCTTGCATCTTCGTTGGAAAGGGTAGCAGAGTTCTCTTCCAGCCACCTTAGGAAATCCTCCTGGAAGGTCTGCTTGTCCTAGGGGGCTCAGGACGCTGTGGCCTGTCTCTTACTGAAACCATATTTTCAGCTGTCCCTGGTTGCTGGCTTTTATCTTCCCTCTTCACTCATTCTCAAAGGAAGAGAAGAGAAATCTATCCAGCTTCTTTTCCTGACAAAAGGCAAGAAGTAGCTCATCACTGCCCCAGCTCCATTCACCACCCACAGCAGGCTACATGCATTCTTTCCCCAGATCTGTGGCTCGGGGAGTAGGCGGACAGGTCAATGTTCACAGCTGCAGGAAAATCCCTGGTTTTGCTAAGAGAAGCATTGAAAGCTGGGTCCGGTGCTCTTATTGACAACACATTTGGGGTTCATGACAACAAGCCCCGTAGCCTCATGTGCGTCTGTCCTCCTAAGGTGGGTCCCCACACCCGCCTGGGGTCCTCCCTGCAGGCCGGCTCCAGGCTCACTGGAGGCTGGGCCCGCAGCCCCGTGGCTTCCCCTCTGCGAGCGTGCACTCTGCACACACAAGCACACCCACGTTTCTGTCTGGAGCCGCCCGCTCGCCCTGACTTCCCTGTGAGCGCAGCTGCGCTGGGTGCCCCTGGTAGCCAGCGGGTGGGTCGACTGATCAATTGATGGATTGATCACAGGGAGTGCTTCTGGCTCACTGATTGGTGGGTGGAATTGATGGATTGATCACAGGGAGTGCTGCTGGCTCACTGATTGGTGGGTGGAATTGATGGATTGATCACAGGGAGTGCTGCTGGCTCACTGATTGGTGGGTGGAATTGATGGATTGATCACAGGGAGTGCTGCTGGCTCACTGATTGGTGGGTGGAATTGATGGATTGATCACAGGGAGTGCTGCTGGCTCACTGGTGGGTGGAATTGATGGATTGATCACAGGGAGTGCTGCTGGCTCACTGATTGGTGGGTGGAATTGATGGATTGATCTCAGGGAGTGCTGCTGGCTCACTGATTGGTGGGTGGAATTGATGGATTGATCACAGGGAGTGCTGCTGGCTCACTGATTGGTGGGTGGAATTGATGGATTGATCACAGGGAGTGCTGCTGGCTCACTGATTGGTGGGTGGAATTGATGGATTGATCACAGGGAATGCTGCTGGCTCATTGATTGGCGGATAGAAAGTACTACAGAGAGTTTCGAAGGACGTTGGCAGAGGAGAAATCCGCCAGCTCCTTCTTTCGGCACCAGGTCAGAGAGAATCTGGGGCTGCAGTGTTGGTTTCTGGGTTCAGTGCGCCTCAGCCCAGTGAGGAGTGGAGACCAACAGCGCCAGCTGCCCACGTCCTGTCCGATTCGACTCAGAAAGCCACAATGCTGATTTATGGAAATGAGCGGCTTGTTACTCCTAAAATGTCCATGGATGAGAGTTGTGACCAGAAGAAATGCAAAATATTGAAATTTATCTGGAAGGAAATTGAAGCAGCGGATAAGATCATCATACTAACGGCTGCATCTCCACACCCTCCCCAATTTCCTAAAACCCAGGAGAGCTGCTCCCGGAACTATGCTCCATCAAGTTTACCATCATACAGGATGGATGGGCTCCGGCCACGTCACACACTTCCTGAACGAGTTTACAATCATATGGGATAGATGGGCACCGGCCACATCTCGCTCCTGGACAAATTCACCGTCATACAGGATGGATGGGCGCCGGCCACGTCGCATACTTCCTGGACGAGTTTACCATCATATGGGATGGATGGGCACCGGCCACATCTCGCTCCTGGACAAGTTCACCATCATACAGGATGGATGGGCGCCCCCCACGTCACACACTTCCTGGACGAGTTTACCATCATATGGGATGGATGGGCACCAGCCACATCTCGCTCCTGGACGAGTTCACCGTCATACAGGATGGATGGGCACCGGCCACATCACACACTTCCTGGACGAGTTTACAATCATATGGGATAGATGGGCACCGGCCACATCTCGCTCCTGGATAAGTTCACCATCATACAGGATGGATGGGCGCTGGCCACGTCGCATACTTCCTGAACGAGTTTACGATCATATGGGATGGATGGGCACCAGCCACATCTCGCTCCTGGACAAGTTCACCGTCATACAGGATGGATGGGCACCGGCCACATCACACACTTCCTGGACGAGTTTACCATCATACAGGATGGATGGGCACCGGCCACATCTCGCTCCTGGACGAGTTTATCATCATACAGGATGGATGGGCACCAGCCACATCACGCACCTCCTGGAGAATCCCGCCATCTCATCACAGTTCTTTGACCAGTTGGCTATTTTCTCCATTGAGTAAATTGGTTTGGTAACTTTTCCCACTGTCCCCATTCTGATCACAAATCCAGTCACTCTCTGCTGTTGCTTTTGCTACTAGAAGGAAGAGAACTGCTCCATATACTGAAATATTTTGGGCCAAGCCTTCCAGTAACTGAAGATCCATTCAGCCTTTGAATCAACCCCAGATTCCCACGCGAAGCATATGTGTTTGGAAACTGTGACAGATTGTGCCTTTCCTTCCTTCTCACCCTCACCTCCCCCACACGTGCAGCTCCTTCGTGTTTCCATTTCTTTTTTTCTTTTTAACAGCAATTTTTGTGGCATCTAGAAGCAAGTGCAGTAAGTCTCTGGGTTTGAAGGGAGCTTCAGTGTGTTGGTCAGTCAGGCAAAGCGTGGGTGAAACTTAGGAATCCTGTGTTTCTCTTTGAACTCAACAGAACCGCTACATTTCTTGACTTCCACCTTCCCAAATGTATGTTTAAAACAAAAACAAAAGTATTCTGTCTCCAGTTTACAAAGGCAACCTTCCTGAACAGACCAACATGGATTAGTGCCGCCTGTCGGAGGAGCCACTTGGCAATGTGTGAGCGCAGCCACAGCACACGGTAATTTGCAGAATGCAGCCGCCTCTGATCGGTCTGAAATAATCCTCCTGTTTATGAAACAGAGCCTGAGATGCAGCATCGAGCCTGGTGCCAATCACAGTGGTAGTGCGGCTTAACACAGAGCTCGAGTCCTGAGCCTGTGAGACCGGCTGAGCAGCTGCCACAGCCTTGGTGCCACCTCTCATGTCCTCCGAGCTTCCGGGCGCTGCTGAAGAATTCATCACATGGTTGTGCAAGTGCCTCCACCCCGGAGAATTAGCGGAGGTGCCAGGTGCTCCGGGAGGACCCCTCAGGGCCATCAGCAGCCCAGCCGTCACTCCTCATGCAGACGAAGCAACTGCCAGACAAACTTCTTTCCGTTTTCCAACAACTTACCCCGCTCTGGAGCTCCATAACTGCCCTCCCCCAGCTTAAGGATGGCTATGAATTAAACCCTGGAATATCCATATATTTTATGGCCTAGGGTTCCATTCGTGGGACGTCTCGTGAGGGTCTAACGTGGCCAGGCTTGTCATAGGACTGGGCTGTGCTGGTGTGAGGACAGCCCCAGCTGCCTGGGGGAGGGAGACGGCAGCCTATACCTTCCCTGCTTCTCGCAGGCCCGAAGTAGAGGGGAGCTCAGTGCAGAACACCTGTGTAGACTCCCAATAAGGGTTGGATGTCTTCCTGCTCGTTCTGACAGGTGGAGATGGCTCTGAAATGCTCACTGAGACCCTCCCAGCCACTCCTCTGCTCCTCCTCTTCCCTGCCTCACCCTGCTCAGTACTGCAGGGTGAGAGGGGCCGTGGACAGGGATGGGGAGGGCAGCTCCGTCTCCCAGCCCCAGCCCCAGGGCAACTCCAAATGCACCCAGCCCTGCCCTGCTCTTCCCTGGACACAGAACCCGCATCAGTTAAGATGCTTCGGGAAGAAATAACAGAAAACCCCAACGAGAGAAGGCTTAGACTACAGGATATTCACGGCTGCACATGGCGGGACACCTGGAGGAGGAGTGGCCGCAGTGCTGGATGAGGCTACAGGTCGCTGGGACAGGCCTGCACCATGGGGGCTTCTGTCTCTGGACTTCCCTGCACCCCTTGTAAGATGCTGCAGGGCCCGAGCAGTTCCTCCCCACAGCTGGGCTCACAGCAAGGAGTCCCTCTTCCTGTGCTTCTCCCTTTATCCCAGAATTTTATTTTGCAAACTCCACACTGTCAAACAAGTTGAAAGAAGAGTAAAATGAGCACCTGCACCCTCTTCCTCCAGAGTCACCAACTTTGAGCTCTCAGTCATGCCTGCAACTCTGTCATTTACCTGTGTGTCTGGATGGAAGTCACAAAGGTTGCTGCAGACATCACAAAACTTCCCCGTGAGGTGCAGAAAAGGGAGTGTCTGCATCATCCCCCAGCGTGCAGCCTGGAAGCAGTGACGTTACTTAGCACACGTTCGTATGTGGCCAGTTTTCCCGTTGTCCCAATAGCTTGCTTTTTATTTTTAATCCAGATTCCAATCAAGGGTGAATGCTGTGTTTTGTTGTGACATCTCGGATTTTCTTTGTTCTAGAATACTTCTACCTTTACGTTTTAGTTTTGGTCTTTTCTAGCATTGCAATTGTTAGAGAAACCAGGCTTGTCCTGTGGGATATCCTGTGGCCTGGGCCTGTTGGATTGCCCCACACTACTAGATTCAGATGCAGGTCTTCAGCATGTGGTGATGTGTGTGCCTCCGGCAGCTGTGGGTGCACGGTCAGCCCCTCCCCGCGTGGCGATGTGTGTGCCTCCGGCCACAGCAGGTGCACGGTCAACCCCTCCCCGCGTGGTGATGTGTGTGCCTCCAGCCACAGCGGGTGCACGGCCAGCCCCTCCCTGCTGGGACAATGCCAAGTGCAGTCGCTTTGGTAAAAGAGGCACCTGCCACATCACTCCATTGTAAAGGTAAATTCTTCCCTTGGTAATTCATCGTTGATTTGCAGGATGATACCTTGAGAACTTAGGGGTATCTTGTTACCAGCAGCCTTTTACCATGTGCCTCTTTTTAAGGGCTGAGTAGGGAAGAAGGGTGGGCTGGATGCCCCTGAGTCTGAGGATGAGGACTGTGAATTCAGGGACCCCAGATGCCCCTGGGGGTGCTCAGCTGCCAGTGAGCAGGCACAGAGAAGCCAGCCCCTCCTTTCTTCCAGGGTTGGCACTTCCCATGGGACCAAGAGCAGGAAGACAGGAGGTCAAGGACACCATCCAGAAAGGACAGTGGGAGGGAGGGTGGGGCAGGAGGGGGTGGTAACACGGGGGAGAGAGGATACTGCAGACCAGGAGTTCTGGTGACCAGGACACAATGTCTTTGGAAGCATGGAGGGACAGTGCAGCTAGAAGCACGGCCCACAGACAGGTGGAGCTGCCACTGCAGAGGTGCAGGGCAGGCAGCTGCCATGGGGCAGAGGAGACATCACCATCATGAGATTCAGGGTGAAACAGAGTTTGCCCAGGGACAAACGTGTTGCCGCCAAGTCAACATCTGTACCATCATGCCTGAGGAGTCGGGCCAGGGCTTTTCCTGGAGCGACCTTCAATGCGGCTGCTCTCCCGGCCCTCTGGACGGGGTGGTGCTGGGGCAGCCACTTGGGCTCTCAGCAGGTGGGTGCACGGTCATGCTCTGTCCTTCCATTGCAGAGATGGCTCAGCTCACAGTGTGGCGCCTTCCGCCTTTGTAAGGAGTCTTCACCAACATCCTCGTCCTCAGCTTTTCCGTGTCAGTCTTGCTGGAGCCTCTAGAAAGCAGAGGCTTTCACGCCGTTTAGCATCACCTACGCTTTAATGACAGCCTTGTCCAGACTTTCAAACTTACCTAACCCCACGTATGGCCTGCGGTGCACACGGGCCCGCATCTGTGGCCTCACGGTCAGGGTGACCCCACAAAAAGAGCGCCCCAGATGAGGACCTGTTTGATGTTCGTCTTTTTTAAGGACTTCTACTTACCAGCCGAGTGTTTGATCAGTGGCGAGGCCTCATCTCTTTTGCGCCACCGTGTTCAGATAGCACCTGCCCCAACACTCGCAGCAAGACGGGACCCTTGCCTTTTTGTTTTTGACTTTAAATAGCTCCTCATTGTAGAAGACAGTTTATTATGGACTCTTCAAAATACATTTCTAGGGAAACAAATTTAGTTGTCCTTATTAAAAATGTATTACATATTTCAGAATCAAAGCTCACGGCTCACGAGCATCCCGCGCCCGGCTGCGCCCCGCGCTGGCATCGCAGACGTGTCCTGGAAGGAAGAACTCCAAGTGCATTTGAAATTCAAATTGTGTTTGGTTTTAAGATGGGGATGTCATCAATTTCCCTTAGAAAATTATAAAAACCATGATGCATAAAGAAATACAGTTGGAGAAAACAGTGACACCATCTTCGTTCCTGAATTGGTGACTCCAAACGGCTTGCCCTTGGAGGTCACTTTTATAGGGGGTTACGCAAATAAAACTGAGTGGCGTTGTTAAAATTCTCCACTACTGGACCTTTTTAGCCAAAGTGGGCATTTTCGGGAGTCGGCAACACAGACAGACCCTGTCTTACTTGTCAGCTGTTTGGCAGGAAGTTGGTACTTTGCCATAGATTTCAGTTTACCTGGTTTTGTTGAATGTCTCATAAACAGATACTTGATTTGACTGTTTGTACCTGCAGTAACCAGGACATCTCTCAGGGTCTTGCTGTGATCATACCTGCAGTAACCAGGACATCTCTCAGGGTCTTGCTGTGATCATACCTGCAGTAACCAGGACGTCTCTCAGGGTCTTGCTGTGAGCTGCTGCCACTTTCCAGACTCTTCCTTCACCATATAGTCTTGGTGCTGATGACACGGATGGCTCTGGGGCAGGGAAGTGGTCCCGAGGGGCACAGCTGTGGGTGCCGAGGGCTTGCGGAAGTGGGGGCAAGTCTTGTATCCGATCGCTGTTCCGTCCATGGGCTCTGTAGTCAACGTGGCCTCTTCTGTGGTTGCTCGTGAAGACACAGCTCAGCATCTACAGTCTGTAGCAAGGTGGACAGTCTGTCTACAGCCTACAGCAGGGGCATCCGGACAGGTTGGAAAAGGGAGACTGTGGTGACCACACGCGTGGAAGGGGCTCAGAGAAGCATGAGGACCTCCCACCATCTTCCTCTGAGTAAGACGTGATGCTGAATTTTAACCCAGAGGCTGGTCCCAGCTCCATCTGCATGTGGGGAAAATTAATGTCAGGAAGGAGGAAAACCAGAACTTACGAAATGTACTTCCGTGGCCGTGAAGGCAGGCAGGTCCCACGGTGGGGACGCCCAGAGCTGCACCCCAAGCTGCCGTCTGAGGGACCCTCCAGGGCAGCTGCCTTGCGGAGACCTGTCAGCCCAACTGTGTCCTGGGGCTTCAAGCATTTTCTTTATGTTTACCTTTTCAAAAAAAAACAAAATCAGAACGTGCAGCCCGAGGAAGGCACTGAGACTCTGGGAACAGCCCGTGACACGGTGGCCGTCCCTGAGTCAAAGCATCACAGCCGGCGAGGGCGGGGCCGGCAGCTCAGGGGCCACATCCACCCCGGCACGGTGAGTCGTAGTGGAGACACCACCAACCGCCCTCCTCCAAGGCACCCCAGCACCTGGTCCTCAGTCCTCGCTCAAGGAACATCTGCAGAGCACACTGGGTTCCCCCAAATGCCGGAGGGGTCCTTTGTGGACGCAGTGCCCACTCCCTGGGCCACTGGGTTTGAAGGACAACTCAGCCCCCATGGGGGAAATAAGTGAATTGAATGGAGGACGTCACGCCTCACTGGAGGTCTTAGGTCCAACCCCCACCACCCACACAGCCCGAACGCTTTCTCAGGCCCCCAGACAGTGCCCAGGGACATTCTGATCGAGCTTGGCCTCCAGACAGCCACGGCCCACACTGTGTTGTGTTGTGTTGTGTTGTGTTGTGTTGTGTTGTGTTGTGTTGTGGTCTCTGGCTTCCTTCATCCATAAATGGGTGCCCACCTCTCAAAACCGCTGCAGGAATCGAATGAGATAATATGAGGGCTCAAGATGAAAACCCAAATGCAGGGTGTTGTCGAAAAGCTCTAGAGAATGGAAACTCCAGAAAACCACAAGGGCCTTTGATGCTTCATGAGTTTGAAAACAATGTTTATACAGGAGTTAGGGTTAGGTTTTGGATGACATTCAGTTAGAAAAACTCATAGCCAGTCTGCTTGGTTAGAAAATATAGTAACTTCAGATGTCTGGCAGTGTTGTGTTAGGACCAGAGAACCTAGTGTTTTGACCAAGGAAGCATCATCTCTAGTGCAATGTGTCTGCTGGGGACACGGTCGGAGATGCAGGACAACTTGAAGACATTTGGAGGGTCCTGTGCAGGAGCCGGGTCAGTATAGACCCCTCTGGTGCCTGTGGGATAAGTCGTGCTCCTGGGCAGATGAATTCGCTGCCCCGTGCGCAGGATATATGGGCGCCTTTCCTGGCTCCCCATTGCCCCATGACCTCACAGGAGGACGGTGACATCCTAAAGCCATGTTCTGCCCACCCTCTGGGATGCCATGGTCCCCACCCTCTGCAATCAGGACTCCCACTTGCTCCTGTGACACCCCCAAGTCCCCGCCAGGCTCCGCTGAGATTACCAGGGCCCTCACCTGTGAACTGGGAAGAGTAATGCCCACCTTGTTGCCTGGCGTGAGGGTGAAATACAGCTTAGCACAGCACGCGTGGAAATGGCGCTCACGATTGTGACGATCGTGTTCGTGCTGCCATCTTTGCACAGCACGCGTGGAAATGGCGCTCGCGATTGTGACGATCGTGTTCGTGCTGCCGTCTTTGCACAGCACGCGTGGAAATGGCGCTCGCGATTGTGACGATCGTGTTCGTGCTGCCGTCTTTGCACAGCACGCGTGGAAATGGCGCTCGCGATTGTGACGATCGTGTTCGTGCTGCCGTCTTTGCACAGCACGCGTGGAAATGGCGCTCGCGATTGTGACGATCGTGTTCGTGCTGCCGTCTTTGCACAGCACGCGTGGAAATGGCGCTCGCGATTGTGACGATCGTGTTCGTGCTGCCGTCTTTGCACAGCACGCGTGGAAATGGCGCTCGCGATTGTGACGATCGTGTTCGTGCTGCTGTCTTTGCACAGCACGCGTGGAAATGGCGCTCGTTGTGATGATTGTGGTCATCACAGTTGTGTTGTCATCTCAGCACAGCACGCGTGGAAATGGCGCTCATTGTGATGACTGTGGTGATCACGGTTGTGCTGCCGTTCTATTTACTGGTGGTGGCTTGAGCAGAGGGGATTGCCTGACCCCTTACATGCACGGGGGAACAAAGTGAAAGTGGTGAATAAAGCACTTGCGCTTCTCCAAAGCCTTGACTCAGTGTACAAAAGAGCATCTGTAACTTTTCAAGCACCCCTAAGCCACAGACATCCAGAAGCTCTCTACAGTGATGCTACTTTTTGTCTCCTGGAGCCTTGAGGTCTCCAGAACAGTGCCTGGGAGCTCGGCAGAGAAGCTGAGTGGTGGAAGCTGAATGGGGCTGGGGCCAGCGCTGCTGCTCCCCCGGGATCCAGCCAGGTTTTCTCAGATCTGCAGAGAAGGCGCCTGAGGTCTGCCTCGAGAGAGATACCTGTGTGAGCCCCAGGTGTGAACTCAGACATGAACAAATGTGGAGGGCAGTGGTCCAGGCAGCAGAGCTCACTCGTCCTCTTAACACGGGAGCCTTCATTGTTCAAAGGTGTGATTCATACACTGACGTGGCATTTTGACACTTTTGAGAGGATAATCTGTTCACTGGCAAACACGTGTGTATTAGTCAGGATTAGTGTGACTGAGTGTGACAGAAAATAAAAAATAAAAGTGGCTTAAATGAGCTGGAAATGCACTTTCATTTCCTGTGGAAGAAGTCTGGGGGGGAGGCAGTCTGAGGACCTTGCAGCCTCTGAGGTCCCAGAAACAAGGTGTTCTACTCCTGCCGCTCCAGCCCTCAGCCCTGAGCTGCTCCTCATGATCCCAGATGGCTGCTGGAGATCCCACCATCCAGGTCTCATTTCAGCCAGCAGGAAGGGGGAAGAAGAGGAGCAGGGCGCGCGTCCCACCATGAGACACTCCCTGAAAGCAGCACACAACTCTCACTTGGGTTGCCTTGGCCAGAACCGAGTCGCATGTCCAGCTTCAAGAAAGGCTGGGAAAGAGAAACTTCATCCACGTGTCCAGCTACAGACCAGAGGCTCCAAGGAAGCAGAGGAAGACCAGCAGGCCTGGGATGGTGAAGAATCCTCGTTTGCCCTGAGCCAAGCTGCCTTGAGATGGGGTGGGGTCTGCAGGGTCCTTGGGGCCACATTGGCTGACTCCCCAGGCCCTCAGTTTTCCCAGCATGACTCAGCCCTAATGTGGGCCCTGGGTGCCGCTCGTGATCCGCCTGCTTTGTGGCTTCATTCAGCATGTGGAAGTGGTTCCATCATCTGCTCCAGCCAAGGCGAGGCGGGTTCTGCCTCACGGGAAACAGGTCACCCTTTCTCTGAGGAGTGTTGCCTTCTGCCCAAGTATTTGGGGCACAGCACTAGTTGGGGGTCACTGCAGTGTAGCATCCAGGTTCACACCCAAAGACTCTTCTGCCCACCAACAGACAGCCAGTGACCCAAAAGCATGCCTGTCCTCTAGAACTTCCTGTCGAGCCAGGTCTCACCATGTCCCTCCGGAATGGGGCAGCCTCCATTCCCTATTTTGCGGGAGGCTCAGTTGCCAACAGTCCAGAGTTCCTACCGAGTTCTTCCGGGGGCCTGTGTGGCAGCCTTGAGTCAGCAAAGAGTCCCTGAGTGTCAGTGACACACCTCACGCCATGCAGGCACAGAGAATCCACGGACAGCATGCACTTGTCCTCGGGAAGCTGCTGCCCATTGGACAGGTGGGGCACCAGACAGAGGCCTCCCATCCTTAACATCCCAAGACAAACCTGCTAATTAAGGCTTCAGGTGCAAAGGGGAAGGCCCTCTTGTGGTTCTCTGGCAGCGGTCGGCACAACAAGCTCGCCCCCTGCCCTAGGAGGAGGACCTGTGGTCAGCTTCTACCTTCAGGAGGGTGACTCTCTGGCAGCCGTCGGCAAGCTGAGCTCGCCCCTGCCTTGGGAGGAGGACTTGTGGTCAGCTCCTACCTTCAGGAGGGTCACAGGAGGCTGTGCACAAACCCCACTGACGGTCTGAGCTCTGGGGCCGTGTGCTCTCGCTGGGTTCAGGGGGATTGTTACTGATGGCAGAGCGAAGGTGACTTGAGATGCATCAGTTCTCTATGAGGGCTTGAAGTCCAGGCCACTTTTGAGCCAGTCCATCTGCTCATCTCTAGAGTAAGGAGGAAAAAGGAAAAAACACTTCTAATTTCTCTGTCTGTCTCATACCCAGCTGTGGAACGAAGGACTGATTCAACCTCCTCCCCACTTTGCCCTCCAGATTCCCCTTAGAGACACAGGCTGGTTAGGGTATCTGAATTATTTGAGCAAAATTTTCATGCTTAGGGAAAAGCTTGATGTGATCAAAACCTAAGTCTCAGGACATCAAATCCCCAGATGTTTAAGGTAGACTATATATATCAAGCCTTTGAAGAGTTCAAAGGAATGCTAGCCAATGAGTGAGAAAATCTGAAAACTTCACCAGTCCTTGCCTGTCATATGAACTTGATGATCTAACCTGTAGTCTTGGATGTCAGGGGCCTCAGAAACACAACTTCCAAACCAGAACATCCTTGGGGGATGAAGACAACAGGGATCCTAGGAGTCCAATTCTAGTCTCTCCATTCTGGATATCTCCACATCAAGAATGAATAATAGATGGAGTCCAGCTGTTTTGTAGCAGACTGCAGATTAGTGATTCACTGATTGTAATCAGAAGCAGCTGCTCATAATCACAGCCCAGGTACGGACGCTCATTGTCAAGTACTAGGTGTTAATTTTTTGCCTATACCCTGAGCCTGAGGCTAGGAGTGTCTTGAAGCTAATGATAACATAATCTTGCAAACATTAATTAGAATTTCTTGAACTTATTCTAATAATTTGTTATTTTGCCAGGCTTTAGTATTTTAGGTATTTATGTGTTTTAAGGTTTTATTAAATATTTTAGGTGATTATTAGCTCTATTTTTTAACAATATGGGTCCTCAATAGAAATCTGGATGGATGGATGGATGGATATATGCTTCCATAGGTAGATGGACAGAATGGATGGAAGGAAGGATAGATGGATGCATGCATGGATGGATGATGGATAGTGGGTGAATGGATGAGTGGATAGAAGGATGGAAGGATAGAAAGATGGATGGGTGCATGTATGTCTGTATGGATCATGGGTGGATGGATGAATGCTTGATAGTGGATGAATACATGGATAAGTGATGGATAGTATATAGATAAATGGATGGATGAGTGGATGGATGGATGACAGATTGGCTGATGGATGAGAGGAAGGATGGATGCCTGCATGGATGATGGGTGGATGGATAGATGGATAGTGGATGGATATAAGGATGGATGGATGGATGGGCTGATGGATATATAGGAGGAAGGATGGATGCATGTACGCATGGATGATGGGATATGTGGATGGGTAGATGGATAGTGGATGGGTGGATAGAAGAGTGGATGGATAGATAATGGATAGTGTGTAGATGGATGCATGGTGAGTGGATGGGTAGATGAATGGATGGATGAAAGGGTAGATGGATGATGGATAGTGGATGATTGGATGAATGGATAAGTGTATTATGGAAAGATAATGGATAGCGGATGATTGGATGGATGGATAAGTGTATTATGGATAGATAATGGCTAATATATAGGTGGATGGATGATGGATAGCATATAGATGGGTGGATGAGTGGATAGATGGATGATGGATAGTATATAGATGGATAGATGAGTGGATGGATAGTTAATGGATAGTATATAGATGGATAGATGAGTAGGTGGATGGATAGTGTATAGATGGATGGACGGATGGATGGATGGATGAGTGGGAGGATGGCTCATGGATAGCAGATGGGTGGATGGATGCATGAGTGTATTATGGATGGATGATGGATAGTGGGTGAGTGGATGGATGGATGAGTGTATAGATGGATAATGGATCGTATATAGATGGATGGATGAGTATTTGGATGGATGATGGATAGTGTATAGATGGATGAATGGATGAGTGGGTAGATGAATGCACAATGGATAGTGGATGAGTGGATGGATGAGTGTATGGGTGATTGATGGATAGTATATAGATGGATGGATGAGTGAATGGATGGTTATTGGATGGTGTATAGATAGAGGGAGGGATGGATAGATGAGTAGATGGATGGATGATGGATAGTGTACAGATGGATGGATGGGTGGATGAGTGGGTGTATGGATGATGGATAGTGTATATATAGATGGATGAATGAGTGCCTGGATGGATGAATGGCTTCCTAACCCATGTCCCTCCTCCCCCTTAGTCACGTCTCTCACAATTATCTTCACCACAACCTATGTCATCATTCTCTGTGACATCAACAACCATTGGTTTCCCTGGCCTCTGGTTTATTTGTCTTCCTGTTTGCATTCTCCCCAATCCTCCATCTACCTCAGCCACTGCCTCTGCCCCGGCCACAGGTGCAGACTCCAGCTCATTCAGAGTGGCTTCTATCCCACCATGCCAACCAAGGCCAGCTGTGATTTCATGGTGCTGAAGCCAATGGCCACTCTTCAATCCTCATCAACTGTGGGCTCTCCATCAGCTTTTGAGAGCTAATAAGCCCCTTCTCAAAACTTCCTCTTGTCTTGGTGTCAACCATGCTGGGCTCACCTTCATCTCCGATGTCTCTGGCTGCTCTTTCTCAGGCTCATCAATGGTGGCCTCCCCACATGCTCTCCAAATGCTGGGTTCCTCAGGACACTTCTCTCCAGACACCACCTCCCTCCATGACCTCATTCATCTGTATAACTCCAAATGGCAGCCATGGAGTGAATTGACCCTGAATTTATAGCTCTGACCAGATCCTAGAGTTATGTCTTTACTCAGAGGTCTTATAGGCCTCTCATAACTAAAACTGAATTCTTGTTGTTGTCTCCAAACTTATGATTGTGCTGGTTCTCAGGAGAGAGGACAGCACTGTTCACAGGTGAGTTGCCTTCTTCCACCTACATTCAGCAGAGGCAGCAAAGTACACCCGAGTGGCATTGGCACAAGGATGCTGGGTGTGTCATCTGCACCTAGATCCTGCCATGCCTGCCTTGGGGTCACACAAGCTGTCCAGTATGCCTGGCCTCATCCTCCTCTCCTCCAGCATGGGAGACTCCACCAGGCTGCAGGGTGCACTCTTGCCTCCCCTCCAGCGTGGGAGACTCCACCAGGCTGCGGGGTGCACTCCTGCTGCCCTGTGGCAGTTACTGTTTCCTTCATCCTCGGCTCCAAAGGGCAAAAAGTGAGCCCCAGCCTGACACTTTCCCTCTGGGTGAGGCTGTCAAATCCTCTCCTTTCTGATTTCACCTTTCCTGGCATGTAGAGAATAAGGAATAACTCCAAGATCATTCTCATGGGTTTTGAAACCTCAGATGCAAAAGAAGAAATGCTCTGAGGTTCCTCAGCCTCCAGATGCCACTTCCCAGATCACTCCCCCTTGGCTTGGCCTCAGGTGAAGGTGTGTGTATGTGTGTGTGCATGTGTGTGTGCACGTGTGTAGGGGTCTGCTGTGTGCATGTGTAAGAATGCGTGTGTGGGGGAGTCTGCTGTGAGTGCATGTATGAGTGTGTGTGCGTGTGTGTGCACGTGTGTGGGTCTGCTGTGTGCATGTGTAAGAATGCGTGTGTTGGATCTGCTGTGAGTGCGTGTATGAGTGTGGGTGTTTGTGTGCATGTGTGTGGGGATCTGCTGTGTGCAGGTGTGTGGAGTGCATGTGTGAGTGTGGATGTGTTGTGTGTTTGAATATGCATATATATGGGTCTGCTGTGTGCATGTATGTTTGAGTGCATATGTGACTGTGTTGTGTGTGTGAACGTGTGTGGGTCTGCTGTGTGTGACATGGGTGTGGTGTGTGCACGTGTGTGTGTCTGCTGCATGTGTGGATTGCATGTGTGAATGTGTTGGTGTGTGACTGTGTGGGTCTGCTGTGTTCATATATATGTGAGTGCATAAGTGTGGGTGTTCTATATGTGTGTGCGTGTGTGGGGGTCTGCTGTGTGCATGTATGTGGAGTGCATGTGTGAGTGTGGATGTGTTGTGTGTGTGCATATACATTGTGGATCTGCTGTATGTGTGTGGTGGTGCATGTGTGACTGTGGGTGTGTGTGTGCATGTGTGTGTGGAGTGCCTCTGTGTGTGTGGGTGTGTTGTGCGTGTGAACGTGTTTGGGTCTGCTGTGTTCATGTATGTGTGAGTGCCTGGGCTAGTGCAGGTGTGTTGTGTGTGTGCACATAAGCATGTGTCTGTTGTGTGCGTGTGTGTGACTGCATGTGTGGGTGTGGGGGGGGTCATGCAGTGTGATCGCATGTGTGAGTGTGTTTTGCGTGTTCATGAATACACAAATATTGTGTGTGTGCCCATGGCTGGCAGTGGGTGGGCGGGTGATGGGGCGTGCAGAGGGATCCCATCCTTCCAGGAGACGTGACAGGGAGCCCCCTCCCATCCAGCACGCTCCCCTGAATGCACCTGCGCTGCCAAAAGGAGGTAGGGGTGGGGAGGGCTGTGCCGTGGCCGCTTGGTGTACCCTTGTGGCGGGAGGGCTGTGCTGCGGCCACTCGGTGTGTGCTTGGGGCGGGGAGGGCTGTGCCGTGGCCGCTCGGTGTGTGCTTGGGGCGGGAGGGAGGGCTGTGCTGCGGCCGCTCGGTGTGTGCTCAGGCGCTGTGAGCCTGCAGGGCGCCCTCGCGCTTCTTCCTCTGCGCAGCCCCTGGTGTTGCGTTCTGAGCTGAGGCTTCCTAATTGACGCTGACGGATGGGCTCAGACTCGAGCCGACAGAGCCAGCTGAGCGGAGCCTGTTAAAAATCTCACTTATTAACCCAAGTCCTCTACCACACTCCTGTCCCTGTCAGGGCCATGCTGATGAGGCATGGGGGTGAGGGCTCACTTTGGAAGACCCAGCGCCAAATGAGCGCGTCCCTGGGTGCTGGAGCTCCCAGGCAGCAGAGCCCTGGGCTTCCGAAGGGGGCTGCCCAGGCCACCCTGAGCGGGTGCAGGTGGGCCACTGTGGACCCAGGCCCAGCAGGTGTTTGGGGGGCTGGGGCCAGTGGTGTCCACAGGGCAGCTTAGTGGCAGAAATGAAGAATCCCACAGGCACGTGGGCTGATGGCCTCTGTCCTGAGAGGAGGCTCAGGGTGCAGATTTCATGGGTGCCTGGGCCTGGCCTGTCCTGAGAGGTGGCTCGGGGTGCAGTTGTCACGGGTGCCTGGGCCTGGCCTTGCTGGTTTCAGAGGAGGGGTGTGTTGGGCGAGGGCTGCTGGAGGAGGGCGGGCCAGCTTCTCCTGTTTGTGGCTGGAGTGCCATGTGCCTGGCACCCAGGAGGTTCTCCACACGTAATTAATGAATTAATTAATCACAAAAGCATTTATGTTTTACATTTTCTCTAAAATTAACATTTAATCTTCCTAATAATTGCCTGAGGGGTAAATACTATATTGTCTTCATTTGGCACATGAGGAAATTAAATTTTAGCATCCCAGGGACTCACACCCAGGGCCTTGGACTCCAGTGCCCCTCATCACTCAGCCACAGGAGGCACCAGCTGGGGGCCTCGGTGTCGTGGCCTCTGCCCTTCTGGAAGCTGCCACCTGAACTCCTTGGCTCAGGCCACGCCCTCTCTTGAGACGTCCCTCCCCGTTTCCTGTCTTCCTCATCGTTGAAGATGTAGCTTGGGCACCTGGCCCCCAAGACATCTTCCCAAATGTCCAGATTATTGATCCAGCTCCCCAATGACCCCACCCATCTCTGAGGCCACACAGCCCCCGTGTCATTTCCCACGCTTTAGAAAAAACCACCCATCTGTTTCTCTGCTGCTAGACCGCAGCCTCCACCTTCCCTCCCTATGACCAACACACTGCCGGCATCTACCACACACATACCATACACCACACATGCACGGGCACACACATACACATGCATGCAAACACACATGTGCACACACTTTCACATGAATGCACACACACCACACACCTACCACACACACCACACATGCACATACACATATACACACACTACACACACCCACACTGTACACACAACACACATACCACATATGCACACACCACACACACCACACATGCCACACATCCACAGACACAAACATATACATATATACACACACCGCACACATGCCCCACGCACAACACATATATCACACATGTACAAACAGGCACACACCATGCACATAACACACATATACACCATACATACACATCACACATGATACATACACACATCTCACTACACACACCACACAAACATCATGTGCACTCACCACACACACGCACCACACACATACGCTACACACACACACCAAACATGCACACATACACAGACATGTACACATGCACACATCACACACGTCTCTCACACATTACACATAGACACACACGTGCATGCACACAGGCCACACGGACACACCCTCTGCAGGGCAGCCAGGGCTCTCCTTGGCCCCCTCACCCCATTGATGGCCCCGGCCGTAGCTCCAGATGCTGCTTTGTGCAGGTCGGGTGTGTCCCTGGTCGACAGGTCCTCTCAGATGCATTCTCTCCTCTTTTCCCTGAGGACAGATGTGGTGTAATGTGGTCTTTGGCCACCTGAGGACGTGGGGAGGACTGGATGGGATGAAACGGTGCCGTGATGGTGGCTCTGGGGTGGCTCCGGCAGTGGCACCATCTGCCTGATACTCATGTGACCTCAGTGACCTCTCCTTTCCCCACAGCCTGCTCCTCATTGTCTTCTCAGCTCCCTGTTCTCCTGCTGGGAGGCACAGTCAAAAGGGGGGTTTGTCATGGTTTCCTGTGACATGATTCTTCGTTTGGGGGAGCAGCAACGTCTTCTCCGAATAAGACACACAGACCCCCAGCGCACCAGCAAAATGCAGCAGAAGGGAAGCAGAGCCAGACGTGTGCAAAACCCTCTCCTAAGAGCACAAGTGAAGGGTTTTATGTGAAAGGATTTGGGTTTAAATCAGAGCTGCTGGTGTGACGCGTAAGCAGCCTGGGGAGGAGGGACCCGCGGCGCCCCCGGAACACAGCGCTCCCATGCCGACACCCCCGGTGCACAGCCTCCCTCCACCTTGAGCAGCGAGAGGGCCCATCGGCCTCCGGGGTGTCAGCAAATGGCCCGAGACTGGCCGGAGGCCAGAGGCATGTGGTCGGCAGCCCATCTGCAGTGCCCTGGATGTGGGGACCCCTGTTAGAGAGAGGTCTTGGGGTGCCCAGCCCCGTAACTAAGATGGGATATTCCTGAGTAAAGAGAAAAGAGGAGGAGAAAGGGAGGGGGATGCTGCAGGGTCTGTGCGAATCCACATGTGGGGCAAGAGAGGGGGCCAGGGAGCCGCAGTCCCAGCAAAGCACTCAACGCCAGGGCAGAGGGCAGAGGGCAGAGGGTAGAGGGCAGAGTCTCGCACCACCCGCTTCCAAGGATGTGCCGAATGCCAGCCTGCCTGCTTTTCTGAGAGCAGAGCTCCTGTCTGAGTGCCAGAGGCCTGTAGACTGCGGGGGCTTCAGTGCCTGCCCCCGGGCCCCTCCTGGAGACAGGCAGTGGACAGTAAAAAGAACACTAGGGACTTTAAACACATCCCCGAAATCTTAACAACTTAACCCAAGAAAGTTTGTTTCTCACTCATATCCAGTGCAGCGTCCTGAGGTGGAGTGTGGCTCTGCTCCGTGTGGCCACTCTGAGATCCAGGCTGGCTCGGCCTCTGCCAGCCCTTGGCTTCCAAGCTTGCCCTGCCCTAGAGCTCGTGGAGGGGAGGAAAGTGTGTGGAAGGTCTCCACAGCCAGTTTAGGGTGGAACCCATCACTCATTCACCCTGGGGCCGACCCAGGCCCCCGACCACACCGAGCAGCAGAGTCTGCAAGGCAGCATGGCCCAGGGAGGCGGGGCAGGCACGGGGCAGCAGCTGGTCTCCACCTCAGAGCACGCTAGGAGGCGGGAGGCAGGAGGCGAGCCGGCAGGGCTGGGGGGTCTCTGGGCTGCAATTCATGGAATTCTGTGTCTTCTCAGGCTGCTGCTGTGAACAAGGGTGGAGAAGGAGTGAGTGTATTTGTATATATGAGGGGAGCATGTGTTCACATGTACACCAGCGAGAGGGCGTGATCTGTACGTGCATGAGTGAGAGCACATCTTCACATCTGCACGAGGGTGACAGTATGTTCATATGAGCACAAGCCAGAGAGGGCGTGTGCTGGGGAGTCTGCAACATGCTTACTTGTGTGAATCTTGCCGCCCAGCTCTTTCTGAAGCACAGCGATGTCTGCAACGTGTCACCGCCTGAGCGTGTGCAGAGTGTGCACAGTGTGCACTGCTTAGCCTCTGCTTTGTGGCATGCATGTGTGCTGCTTTACACACATGTGCGCGCGCCCCAGCTCATGGCAGGCTGTAAGGGTGGTCTGTCCCAGGATCTCTACAGCTTCTGGTGGCCTCCAACAGTCCTTGGATGTGGGTGGCTCTCTCCTTCACGTCGACCCCCATGAGTGCCTGTCTGCATCCGAATGTCCCTTTAAAAGGATGCCAGCAACACTGGACTAGGGCCAACTCCCATGACGTCATCTAAATGTGATCCTCTAGAAAGACCCTATTTCCAAACAAGGTCCCAGCACAGAGTCTGGGCCCAGGACCCCAGCACCCTGAGCTCAGCCCACTGGCTGGGACTCCGGCTTTCCCACCTCGGCAGCGGTGCTTCTCTAAGTGGCTCTACAGGTAACAAAATGTCAGGAAACACCACACACCAGTCCTGCCTTTTGACCACACTGATGCGCGGAGGCCTAGGCCTGGCACCCTGGAGGGCAAAGGACCGAGGAAGAGGCCACGGCCATGGGAGGGCGCAGGCCTGAGCCCACCTGTGGCCCAGCCCTCAGGAGGTGCACACAGCCTCAGCCTCCCGTCCTGCAAACGGCTGGCCCTGCTCTTCCCAGCGTGCCCAGCGCCTGCCCACAGCAGCACCCAGGCCAGGTGAGGACGGTGAGGCTGAAGGGCGCAGAATCTTCTGCAGGGAAACCGGTCATGCAGGCCCAGCAGCCGGAGCCTGCTTCCACGTCTCCACTGCCTCCCGCGCTGCTCCCAGAATAAAGACTAGGAGGGTTCAGGTGCAGAGGAGAGAAACGCAGGGCCCCGTGTGGAAGGTCAGCCTCAAAGTCACCTGAAATCAAACATCACCGTCACCATGCACGGGTGACCACGTAGCTTTGGAGAAACAAATATTTAAAGTTGGGTGAGATTTGCTTCCCTCCATCTGGGACTCGTGCGCTTCTGTGCAGAGGCGCCCTCTGCAAAGTGTGGACACCTGAAACAGGCTGCCTGCAAAGCTGCTCTGTGACAAGAAGCCAATTCAAAGATGAAAAGAAGCTCAGTTTTTAGAAACATTTTCAAATAATGGAATGAGCCTGTGGATGGGGTGCTGGGGCCCCATCACTCTGTGTTCATTTGGGTTTAGAGGGATCTCCCCGCTTCTCGCCTCCTTGCCATGGTGAATCGTACATTTTGGGCAGAGGGTGGCAGATGGCCCCATATGGGATTGGAGAAGACGTGGCTCCCTGCCCCCTCCTGCCCCCTCCTGCCCCCCGTCTCTCCTCCGTCCCTGTCCTCCCTCTGTCCTGCCCCCGCCTGTCCCCGTCCTGCCCCGTCCTGCCCCGTGTCTCTCCTCTGTCCCTGTCCTGCCCCCTCCTGTCCCCTCCTGTTCCCATCCTGCTCCCGTCCTGCCCCATGTCGAGCGCCAGTTCTCCTGTCCTTGTGGCCTCCCCACCCTTCTCCCTGCCCGTCAAACGCTGAGGAAGCCATTGCTGTCAGGCGGCACCGTGGACGTGGCCTTCTCCGGGGGAGCTCTCTGTGGACACCCACGTTTCCTTCACGCGCACATCCGTTTTATGATGTGGAGCTTTAAGGACCTGGGAGGAAATGGGAGGTTTGCAGTTGTAAATGGCGTCAGCAGGGGCTTCCTCGCCTGCCTGTCAAGATGGAGGCCAAGCCCAGGGAGGGGTTCCTGAGCAGATGGCAGGAGAAGGCCCTTCGCCGTGTCCCCCAGGGGCTCCGTGCACCAGGCCTCACCTGCGCAGCACGGCAGTGTGGGTGTGGCGACCACTGCCTCGCGTGGGCACAGTCTCGCAGCTCTGAAGAGGCCATTGGGGCAGAACAATCCCCCTCACTCTAAGGAGCAAACTCCTCCAAAGCACCACAAACCGCGACTTGTGTCGGGGCTCTCACGGCGGGGTCCCCGGGGTCACCAGCAGCATCACCTGGGGAACAACGCAAATGCACGTTCTTGGGCCCAGCCCTGGCTCAGAAGCTCTGGCTGGCCCCGAGCTGTTTTACCCGCGCTCCAGGCCATTCTGACTCAGGGTCCAGATGAAAACCACCGGGGTAAGGAATGCGTGCTGTGTAGACAGCCACACGCAGGGCAGCTGGAGCACTCGGGGCAGCTGCTAATTAAAAAGCAATGCTCATTCCTCAGTGGACATCTGGAAAATACAGCGATGCAGTGAGGAAGAAATGCGACTCCCCCGGACCCGCCCAGAGGCAGCAAAGGCGCTTATCATTCGTGGGCATCTTGTCCTCTGATCTTTCTTCTGCGCATTTGAACTTTCTTTTTTATACGAGTAGGATCACCACATTTTGTACACTAACAAAGTTTAACAAATTGTTAGACTTTCCCATGACATTAGGGCCTTTTCCATTTAACGAGAGCTGCACATGCTGTTTTGGGGACCTGAATGGCGTATCGAACCCCTGTCCGCCTCTGACTCTGGTCTCCCACCCTCTTCCCTCCCCACCGTTCCCCGCTGTCCTTGGTCTTTGTTGTCCTAGCCACACCGGCTTCCCAGCACTGGCTGGACTCACACCCCACAGCAGGAGGACCGGGCAGGGTGAGGGGTCCCAAAGGTCTGGGCTTACCACTGAAGTTCCACTTCTCCAACCGGCTTGCCCTGGCCCTGTCACTGCCTTCTCTACGGTCCCACGCGCTCTGGAGATGCTTGTCTGTGGGCCCGGGTGGTTGGCTTGGGGGAGGCTGCCATGCGTGTGGTTTTAGCACGGCACAGGTCTTTGCAGATACACGGCACGTGTCACAGTCATTTGAGCACCGTCCTCCTGTTTGTCACCGAGTCATCTCTTTTTAACAGAAGCTCATCCAGAGGCTGTGGTCCGGGTGAAATTAGGGAGCAGCGTGGAATGTGGGTAGGGACTTGGCTTAGGGACTTCTAAACCAAGACGAAGGCTTCTGGGTTTGGAAGGAGGGCGAGTTTTCCACATCCTAACCCCGGTTTGCACAACGCTGGTTTCCAAACGGAATTCTCAACATACCAGCCCTGGGCTACCGCTCCGGGAACTCAACCTCCATTTCTGTGAAGCCCAGCTACCCATCTGTGGTGGGTCAGACAGGTGAAATCACGGGCCTCCTTGGCTATACGTTAAATGGAAGTTAAATGGAAATTGGCCAGCACCCGGCTACCAAGGGTGACACCGGCTGATGAAAGATGCACCAAAGCACAGATGAGCCGTCCATTCATCTCTCTCGCTTACAGCTTTCTCAGCTGACATAGAGTTTCTGGTCTCCTCTGACAACTTCTTTCTTTTCACCATTAAGAAAAACTCCAAATAATTTCAATTTGCAGCTCATTAGCACCCTATGCACAGGGAGTGTTGAAAGAGTTTTTCTTTTTCCTCTTGATGAAAGAAGTCCCTGGAACTCAGGACGCCCTCCTCAGAATTCTCTCCTTTGTTCTTCCCACCCTCCTCCCTCACCTCCCTCATGCCCCAAAGGGAGTGGAGTGGAAAGGGAGGAAAGAAAGACAAAAAGCGAAACAGGTGCCCCAGGAAGGGCAGCGGAACCCCTCCTCCCACAAAGCCCCTTCCCTCTGGGCGTCTCTCCCGGCAAGCCCCAAGGGTCCCAGCACGGGAGGAGGACGGCCCCTCGGATCTAATGAGCGGACCTCACATCCAAAAGGGGCTGCGATGTTGGGGTGCCCCTGCCTTGGCCAGAGCAGACACTGCCCTCTGCTCACCTGTGTGCACCAGAGAACATGGTCGAGGGATGCCGGGTTGATAAGGGGAGCCCGGCCAAACCCTCAGTCACATGGAGTCCGCCTGCCCTGAACCTCCTCATTTCTCACTGCCTGTCCTCAGAGCGAGGCTTTTTTCACTGAGCCATGTCTTAAGTCGAGGGTGGTCCTTCCCTACTTAGACAGCGACCCCATCGCCCTATCACCTGTCGGAGACTCATTCAGCATTGGGGATACAGATGGCCTTGTCCTGAGTTCCAGGGACCCCAAAATGTATAAAACAGCCTCAGCTTTGGTCTAGACCCTAAAATCCAGAGAAGCACCCTATGCAAAGAGGTGTGGGTAGAATTGGACCCGCTGTTTGGACCTCGTCAGATGAGGGGAGGCTGTCACAGCGAGGAAGCCACTGCGTGGAGTCTCGGCACAGGGGCCGGCCTGTGGGGAGCATCAGTCTCCCATAAGCCGAGTGCTCATCAGGTTCCCCAAGCTTAGCAGCTTGGCAGCATTTATTATTGAGCAAGTATTTCATGGGCTCACGCACGTTCCTGTGTGATGCCTGGTGCTGAGGACATTAAATCCTGTATATTTGGCCAGGGTTCTTAGGATTTGGGTGCCAGCCCTGGGCTATCTCCTGCCCTTAAGCTTAGAAATCTCAAGACGTTGAACACACTCAGGTACACAGCACTGTGCCAACAGCCACGATGGAGAGGAGACGCATCTACTTCACGTGGAGATTTGGGGTGAAGTCATTTTGATACTAAAACATACATGTGTGTGCATATATATATATATATATATATATATAATAGAGTAGATTACAAAAATCCATGAGTTTTTTTTGTTTTATTTTTTTGGGTTTTTTTTTTTGAGATGGAGTCTCGCTCTGTCATCCAGGCTGGGGTATAGTGGTGCGATCTCCGCTCACTGCAAGCTCCACCTCCCGGGTTCATGCCATTCTCCTGCCTCAGCCTCCCGAGTAGCTGGGACTACAGGTGCCCGCCACCACGCCCGGCTAATTTTTTGTGTTTTTAGTAGAGATGGGGTTTCACTGTGTTAGCCAGGATGGTCTCGATCTCCTGACTTCGTGATCCGCCTGCCTTGGCCTCCCAAAGTGCTAGGATTACAGGCATGAGCCACAGCGCCCCGCCCCAAAAATCCACGAGTTTTTAAGATAACAGATGAAACTTCAAAGACATCTCCTACCTGCTGCTGACCCTCAGTGCTCAGTCTTCAGAGCCCCCGATGTGGCTGGGGAGGGTCTCATGGAAAAGCGTGAGCCCTGGGGTGAGGAGCACAGACCCCAGCAGTCCCGCCGTCCCCGTGGAAAGCCTGTGCCCAGCAGTCCTGCCGTCCTTGTGGAGAGCCTGTGCCCAGCAGTCCCGCCGTCCCCGTGGAGAGCCAGCCTCCAGCAGTCCCGCCGTCCCCGTGGAGAGCCAGCCCCCAGAAGTCCCGCCGTCCCCGTGAAGAGCCCAGCCCCCAGCAGTCCCGCCGTTCCCGTCCCCGTCCCCATGGAGAGCCCAGCCCCCAGCAGTCCCGCCGTCCCCGTCCCTGTCCCCATGGAGAGCCCAGCCCCCAGCAGTCCCGCCGTCCCCGTCCCCGTGGAGAACCCAGCTCCCAGCAGTCCCGCCGTCCCCATGGAGACCCTGTGCCCAGCAGCCCCGCTGTCCCCGTGGAGAGCCTGTGCCCAGCAGCCCCGCCGTCCCCGTGGAGAGCCTGTGCCCAGCAGTCCCGCCATCCCGTGGAGAGCCTGTGCCCAGCACGGCACCTCTAGCCCAGCCTGGCATAGCCTCGTCAAGTTGCAGAGCCCCCAGTGCCAGGGCGCCCGCCTGTGGACCCCACACGTCTAGATCGCTGCTTTGGGATCACGGGGGATGGTGCGCTGCGACCATGATGTGTTGTGAAGTTCTGTGCTCACTGTCCGCAGCCTTTGCTTAAACAACAACGGTTGGCTTTATCTGATGAAGGTGGAACTGCAGTGTTCTCCACGTGGCCCTCACATGGCTCCGCAGAAGCTCAGGGTGTTGTGGGCCAGGTTCGCCTCCACCCACTTCAGCCAGCAGGGGAAGCTCCCCTGTCCTCTCTGCCGAGCCCTCGTGAGTTGGACGGTGGCCCCGGCTTCCAGCTCCGGCCTGGCGGTTCCCTGATCTCCTCCCCACGCACCCTCTGCCATCAGCCTGGTATTTTCCATGACCCATTACAGTCCTGTTCCCCGAACCTGCCTCCTGTTCAAGGACAGCAAGTCCATCCCATGGGCAGGGCCCAGCAGGACTGGGCCAGTGAGACGGTTTCCTGTGAGGATCCTGGGGTCAAAGTGCCACAAACTGGGTGGCTTCAAACCACAGAAATGAATTGTCTGACGGGACCGCGGGCCGGAAGCTGGAGATCCAGGTGTTGTCAGGGCCACGTGCTCAGGAAGCTCTCGGGCGACTCTCTGTGGCTCCTGGCAATGCCGGGGGCTCCTTGGCAGGTAGACGCCTCACTCCGTTCCGTCTCCGTCCTCGGGGCGTGTCTGTGCTGTCTCTTCTTAGAAGGATGCCGGCCGTACTGGATAAGGGCCTCATCTTTACTAACTCCATCCACAGAGACCCTATGTCCAGAAGGCGGCATTCACTGTGCTGGTGTTAGGAGTTGAACGTGTCTTTTTGGGGAAACGGTTCTGCTCGCCACAGTGCCTTGGTGTCATCTCATCCAACCCTGGGCCTACGCGGGAGCTCACACGGCGGGGGTGGCGCGGGGCTCCTTCCACACCTCGCTCAGGGCTGAGCCCCCTCCAGGGCCAGAGTCACAGCCTCCTGGCTCCACAGCCTCGGTGTCATCTCATCCAACCCTGGGCCTACGTGGGAGCTCACACGGCAGGGGTGGTGCCGGGCTCCTTCCACACCTCGCTCAGGGCTGAGCCCCCTCCAGGGCCAGAGTCACAGCCTCCTGGCTCCATAAGGCATCTGGCTTGTCGCAACACGTTCCTCTTTGGACTGACTCAGCTTTCGAAACCTTCTTACTTATCCTAAGCAACAGTACCCACAAAATTCATGTTTTTGATGTACTATTTTGCTTTTTCTCGTGCACATTAAAATAAAGTTTTAAAAATTGCCCACATTCCACATAAAAGCAAGTGACACAGCACACTTCGGGAGGTGCTGCAGGGACTGAACGTGTGCATTAAAATAAAGTTTTAAGAACTGCCCACATTCCACATAAAAGCAAGTGACACACCACACTTCGGGAGGTGCTGCAGGGACTGACCATGTGAAATGTGAATCGTCCAAGGCAACAACTGAATCTTATAGATGCTTAATCCAAAAGAGTGTTTTCAACAAGGTCAATTCCAGGCCCAGGGTTTGTCCAGGACAGCGGTCCATACTCTTTTTGGCACCAGGGACCTGTTCCATGGAAGACGGTTTTTCCATGGACCAAGGTTGGGGGAAGGTTTCAGGATGATTCAAACGCATTACATTTACTGTGCACTTAATTTGTGTTATTATTACATTGTAATATATAATTAAATAATTATAAAACCCACCATCATGTAGAATCAGTGGGTGCCCTGAGCTTGTTTTCCTGCAACTGGCTGGTCCCATCTGGGGGTGATGGGAGACAGTGACAGATCATCAGGCATTAGATTTTCATAAGGAGCGTGCAACCTGGATCCCTCACATGCACAGTTCACAACAGGGCTCAAGCTCCTATGAGAATCTGATGCCACTGCTGAGCTGACAGGAGGTGGAGCCCAGGCAGTACTGTGAGCCATGGGGACTGGCTATAAATACCGACAAAGTTTCACTCGCTCACTCACCCGCCACTCACCCGCTTACCTGCCACTCACGTACTCACTCACCCACCACTCACCGGCCACTCAACAGCTCACTCTCCCGCCACTCACCCACTCACCTACCTGCCACTCACCTGCTCACTCACCCACCACTCACCGGCCACTCAACAGCTCACTCACCCACCACTCACCTCCTGCTGTGCACCCCAGTTCCTAACAGGCCACAGACTGGTGTCAGTCCGTGGCCCAGAGGCTGGGGATGCCTGGTCCAGTGGGAAGACATGGGTGGGAGATCTGGGATGCCCATGGACTTTTACAGAGTGTGAGTTTGGGGGCAAACACACTTGGAGTTGGACCTCAGCTCTGCTGCTCACTAGCCAATGATCTCAGCTCACAGTGCTTAATGTTCTAAGCCTCAGTTTTCTCATCTGTAAAGTGGGAATCATAGCAGCAGTTCTCAGGGATTTGGTAGGGTAACCCACGTAAACATCCATCCCAGAGCCTGACGTGCCATGAGAGGCTCCACAGACACTGGATCTCAGCTTCTGCCCTGGAAGGAAGCCACTGTCCCCAGAACCACTTCCGGGCCAGAGTGAAGGCAGCTGGACAGCAGGAGGCCAGGCATTTGCAGGGGCGGTGCCTAGTCTCTGCAGCTGACAGCTGTATGGAACCCTGCAGTGTTCAGTACAAAGCTCCAGGATGTGAAGGATTTGTCAGCTCTCAGGCATGCAGCCCTGCCCTCACCCTCCTGTGATGAATTGGGCCAGGCAAACAGTAGAAATAGGAGCAGTCCCCTGGCTGTGCAGAAAGGCATCTGCCCACTGGGCTCCTGCTTGTCCCAAGGAACACCTCTTCCCTCCCCATGGCCCCAGGTCTGAGGCTCCATCCTCCTGGGACCAGAGGAGACATCTGGGCCCTGTGGAGTCCTAAACCTTGGCCACAGCATGACAAGGGCAGGGAGTGCTATTCCTGCTCTCTGAACCCACACTCGTTCTGGCTGCCATGTGTGTGCAGCACCATCTCTCCAAGCAGCCGTCTTGTGGCTTCCCCATCCAATGGGCCGGGATTTCCTTGTAATCAGCCAGGAAGCATTCCTACTCTGTCTGCCCCAACCCATCTCAAGAGGGCACGGAAAGGGCTGGGCACCTGCAAGCTGACAAACCCCATTGTTGTGGGAACATATGTGTTCTCGGGCACAGTTCCCTGGTGGTACAAACCGTTCACCTACAGCTTTGCCAGCTACATCGGAAGGGCCCCATTTCTGCCTCTCCTCCCAGAAGATCATGTCAAAGACACCAGCCTGGCCAAACCTAGCAGAGAACTGAGGGCCCAGTCTGGGGAAGAATCAGCTTTCTGCTAGAAGGAGGTGGGCCCTGAGGGGAGCAGAGGCTCTCCCTGGAACAGAGGAGCTGATGCTCAGAGGGGAGCCCAGGGCAGCCCCTGAGCTTGGTGCTGCTGAGGTGCAGGTCTGATGGGATAGAGGCTGTGCATGCAGAGGAGAGCGGGAAGCTGGGCCCATGCCAGTGGCCCTCCAAGTACTCACTTTGTTCATGCAGACCACCGGGCCGTGGTCTGCCTGGACTGAGGGGGTTCTCAGTGCCTCAACCCAGATAGCTCTGAGAAACTGGCAGGCCACGGAAATCATCCTGGCCTCCTCAGAAAGATCCAATAGTTCCCAATAATCCTGCCAGTAAGAATGCAGAGACAGAAGATGTACACACACACACACATACATGCGTATGCACATACACATGCATATATCTTTATGGGCACACAGATGTACACGCATATACATGTATACACACATATGCATCTATGTATACATACATACACACATATACACGTATATGCATCTATTGCACACATTTACACCTGCACATATACATATATACCAGACATCTATAGACACATATGCACACATACATGCACACATATACATATATACAGATACATCTGTATGTACATATGTGCATATTTTTGTACACATGCATGAATACATATGTAGATATACATATATACACATATATACATGCACCTACAGGTTGAGCATCCCAGATCTAAAACCCAAAATGCCCCCAAATCGAAAACTTTTTGAGCATAGGCCTGACCCTAAAGGAAAATGCTGATTTGGAGCATCTTGGATTTCAGATTTTTGTATTTGGGATGCTCAACCAGTAAGTGTGATGTAAATATTCTAAAATGCAAAATTTGAGACACTTCTGGTTCCAATCACTTCAGATAAGGAATGGTCGACCTTTATATATATTACACACACACACATTTTTGTGGCTTGTGATAGTCTGCTCTCTACTGTGTGCACATCTTCCCACACCTCTTCACAAAGAGGCTAAGTGGGCCTTTCAGGTGCACTCAGCATCAGCAGCTGGCACAAAACCACCTGGGCCGTCACCCAGCCGGTGCACACACAGCCACGGTGTGTGTGGAGAAGCACCAGACCCCATCGCTAACGCAGAACAGGACAGGGCTGGCCCCAAGCACTCGGGTCCCTCCTGCCTCAGAACAAAGCCAGGCTCACACAGACACTCCATGTCCCCAAGGTGGGGGCTCCTGGGGCCTCTGGCTGTGTCTCTCTCCCTTTTGAATTGCTTCTGTTCTGCTTTGCAAAACACTGCCTGGTCTTATTATTGAAGTTACTTTCTTGGGTTTATTAAGATTCTTCTTTTACTCAAATATTGACCAAGGCCTGCCCTGCCCCCACCGCTTAACTGGCAAACAGGCTGTGGAGCCATAACCTGACACTAGACATAACGACACAACGTTAATGACTTTAAACAACCGGGAGTTTACGTCGAATACATGTTCTATGTGTCTAATTTTCACCCCTGGTGCTCATTTAAATTCTTCGCATGTTTTAAAAATTTATGTCTTCCTTTTCCCATCTCCCTGAATTTTACTCCAGCCTAATTTATAAGAAAAATGTGCTTTGAACTTTTAACTAGGATGCTGGAGAACAAGCCACCTTTCATTCCTGATGAGCTGCGATCTTTTCCCTTTTCTTCAGACCTTCAGTTGATGATGTATTTGCACACGCACACACACACACACACACACACACACAGGAGTATATATATTTTTTCTATGCTTCTTAAAGAAACAACAAGTCCTTTTAAAACACCTTTCAAATGCACAGTATAAGAAGCACTGTGGGGGAGAGGAACAGAGACTCCCAGAGAAGGAGTTTCCTTAATGCTTACTGGAATTTGCTATTTTCTTCTTTTCATGGAAAATGTGTCTGAGAGCACCAGTACAGCTATTATCTGTATCCTGTGGCCTTTGTGGGTATTTCCAGGCAGAGAGAGGACTGAGTCTAGTGTGCAGAGCGGCACTCCCACCCCACGCTGAGGCAGCGCATCCCTCTGAGAGCTCAGGGGCAGCAAGGGCAGTGAGGGCACTGCATGGCGAGAGGGTAACCTGGATCACACCAATGTGGGATGCTTGTTGCCAGGCTCCACACACAGTGGATAAAACCAGCCTTCTCTCGTGAGTGAGGCCTAGACCTGCAGGGTGGGAAGAGGCAGGACTGGGAGAAGGGGGGCTGGGAGGAAGATGACATCGGATCTGTCTGCAGAAATCATCTGTCAAGAGTCAGAAGGTGTCAGATCTTGCTGAATGGTGGGTGGGTGGTCTCTGCATCACCTACTGGTCACCCAGTAGGGCGAGAAGGGTCAGAGGGGAGACTGTGTGCATGTGTGTGCAAGTGTGTGTATGTGTGTGCACGCGTGGGTCCTCACCTTATGTGTCACCCCTCATCTAGAGCTATTTGGCTGGGACCTTGGCATTCTCTGGAGCAGCTGCAGTTACAGAATGGAAGCTCCGTGCACAGTCTAGAATCATCTAGAGCTTTTTGGCTGGGACCTTGGCATTCTCTGGAGCAGCTGCATGGTTACAGAATGGAAGCTCCGTGCACAGACACTGGAGTTGTTCACCACTGCAGTCCCTAGAACTTGGTCTGACATATCATGAGTGCTCAGCAGGTACACAACGAATGAAGAAGTGTGTGGAAAGAAGGGAAGGCAGTCCTCACAGACATGGAAGAAAAATTCCCAGCCTTAGCAAATTGTTTCATGAAGTAGGAGGTTAATCCTCTCTGATATTAAGAGCTAATAAGCATTCTTAAGAGCTGTATGCCACCAAACTATGACTTCGCGGGGGCATTGGGTAAACAGGCCCCTCCACACCCGGTGAGGAATTAGATGCTACGAAATAAGGGCTTGCGCCTGTTTCTTAAGGAATCCCTTACTGTGCAATTTTTAAATTTCCCATAAGATCCTCTTTAATTTTAACTTCTAAATATAATAAGGATACATCAATATTATCTACTCTTGCATATGTTTCTACTAAATAATTTCAATAGTTTTTCTTGAGGAACTTTTAGAAAATGTTTATTATTTCACTGTCTAGGGAAAATGTTAGCAATGAAGAAATTACACCAAAAAGAAAAGTTGACATATTTTGCCATCATGAAAAACCTGCCCAGAGCTCCACAAAAAATCATGCAACAGTTCCCAATTCCAAAATATATTACAAAGCTATGGTTATTAAAACAATACACTACTGGCATAAAAACAGACTTATAGATCAATGGAACAGAGAGTCCAGAAACAACTCATACACTGCCAAGTGCTCCTTCATAAGCATGAGGAGAATACACCATAGGGAAGGGTCGCCTCTTCACAGGTGCTGGGGAAACTGGATGTCCACATGCAAAAGAACGGCATCGGACCCTCACCTCACATCCACAAAAACCCACTCAACATGGGCTAAAGACTGAGACATAAGACTGGAAACCATAAACGTACTAGAAGAAAACACGGGGGAAGCATGATGACATTCATCTAGGCAAAGGTTTCTTGGATCTGACACCAAAGGCACAAGCAACAGAAGCAAATGTGAACATGCAGGACAACATCAAACCAGTGAGCTCCTGCATCAGCAGGGAAACAATCAGCAAATCCAGAGGGCAGCCCACGAAAGGTAGGGTGAGTGGTGGGTGTGTGGTCTCTGCATCCCCTACTGGTCACCGGGGAGGAAATATTTGCATACCACATAACGGATAAGGAGTTAATATTTAAAATGTATAGGTGGCTGGGTGTGGTGGCTCACACCTATAATCCCAGCACTTTGGGAGGCAAAGGTGGGTGGATCACTTAAGGTCAGGAGTTCGAGACCAGCCTGGCTAACATGGCAAAACCCTGTCTCTACTAAAAATACAAAAATTAGCTGGGTGTGATGGCGGGCACCCGTAATCCCAGCTACTTGGGAGGCTGAGGCAGGAGAATCACTTGAATCTGGGAGGTGGAGGTTGCAGTGAGCCGAGATGGTGCCACTGCATTCCAGCCTGGATGACAGAGCAAGACTCCATCTCCAAAAAGTAATAATAATAAAATAAAATGTATAGGGACTTCCTACAATTCAATAGCAAATAATAATGATAACCTGATTTAAAAATGGGCAAAGGACTTTAGTAGACATTTCTCCAAAGAAGGCATACAAATGGCCAACACACTGTACATGGAAAGATGCTCAACATCACTAATGATCAGGAACATGCAAATCAGAGCCACGATGAGATACGTCTCTGTACCCATCAGGAGGCTGTGACCAAAAAGACGTGTGTTGGTGAGGATGTGTAGACTCTGAACACTTACATGCTGTTGGTGGGAATATAAATGGTGCAACCATTATGGAAAACAGTATGAAGTTTTCTCAAAAAATTAAAAATAGAGCCACCATATGATTCAGCAATCCCACTTCCAGATATTTATCCAAAGGAAGTTAAATCAGGACCTCGAAGTGACGGGTGCGCTCCGGAGTTCATCACGGCATTGTTCACAGGAGCCAAGACATGGAAGCACATGTCCCCCAGGGACGAGCGGGCAGGAAAGCGTGGTGCATAGACCCAGTGGGTGCTCTTCAGCCTTAAGACAAGACGGACAACCTGCCATCTGCAACAACAGGGATAAACCTGCATGACATGACGTGAAGTGAAACAAAAGCCAGGCCCAGGACAGAGGCTGCACGACGTCGCTGAAGCGTGGAATCTATGACAATTGAACGCACCGAAGAAGAGAGGAGGATGGAGGCTGCCGGGTCTGGCGCTGGGGGAAGCACGGGAAGGGGCCGTTCCAAGGGCACAAGGTTTCAGCGACGCGGCCTCAACGCGGTCTCGACATCTGCCGTACGGTTGAGAGCCAACAGTACCACGCTGCACACTCAGGGAAGTGTCAACACGGTGGGCCTCGCTACACGTTCTTAGCACACGGAAGTGAAGTCCCATGAAGGAAGCGGAGTCGGAGAGGGACGCCGGGGCGGGTTTCACGGTGGACGAAGGAGCTGCACGCCGAGAAGTCCAGCCAGGTGCCACAAGCCAGAAAAGGTCAGGAGCCGCCCCAGAGCGTGCGGCCCACCCAAGCCCTGACTTCAGCTCAGTGAAACCCATCTGGACCGTGGCCTCCTGTGAGAGAATAAATCTGTGTTGTTTTCCTGCAGGTTTCTGATAAGCCACGTGTGTTTTGGGGGAGACACAGGAAGCCAAGGACCAAGCACTTTCTGTGCGGCCGTTCTGTTCTTCCACTAAGCGGGCGTTTTCCTTCCCAGAACCCTCGGTGGAGGCATTCAGCAGCCGCCTCTCCTGTGAATTTTTCTTAAATATCATTTGGCAATAAATCATAGCGTGCCCATCAAATTTTTCCCTAGAGAAAATTATTATTTTTAGGCCTTTAAAACATTTGCTCTTTCCTTCTTCTAAGATGATGTTTGTTTTCATGCAGGCTAAGATGTTTTTACCTATACTCTATCACCCACAGATTTCTCAACCCAGTGGGGCAGAAATGGGGATTTGTGCTGTTTCATATGGAATTTGACATTAAAAAAATCCATGCAGCTGCTCTCACGGGGAGGATAATATCCCCCGCACCTGGGTTAACGCAGCACTCTCGTGATGCAGAGCCTCTCCGTGAATAAATAAACCTCGACAGCTCTTTCTGGAGACGGCAAAGCAGTGCTCCGTGGATGAGGCCGTTCATCCTGCCTCACCGCCGTTGCTCCTAACAGGGGTCGAGAGACTGATCTCGAAGGCAGCGCTAAGCGGAAGGCCTGATACTTTCAGCGTCGGTTCAGTTTCTGGTCTGGCGTAACTTGCACCGTGTAGCGGAATCAGATGAGAGGCACAAGACGCATTGTGACACCACATAAGCACCACAAAGAGAAAGCTGTGGATTGGGTATTGGGTATTCATATATATGTGCATATATATATGTGTGTGTGTGTGTATATATATGTGTATATATATGTGTATATATGTGTATATATATGTGTATATATATGTGTGTGTATATGTATATGTGTGTATATATATGTGTGTGTATATATATATATGTATATATATATTTTTTTTGAAACGGAGTCTCTCTCTGTTGCCCAGGCTGGAGTGCAGTGGTGCGATCTCGGCTCACTGCAAGCTCCGCCTCCCGGGTTCACGCCATTCTCCTGCCTCAGCCTCCTGAGTAGCTGGGACTACAGGTGCCCGCCACCACACCCGGCTGGTTTTTTGTATTTTTAGTAGAGACGGGGTTTCACCGTGTTGGCCAGGATGGTCTCGATCTCCTGACCTCGTGATCCGCCCGCCTCGGCCTCCCAAAGTGCTGGGATTACAGGCCTGAGCCACCGCACCCGGCAGGTATTCATATTTTAAAAGTTAAAAAAAGCAAAGAACCTCTTTCTTTCTCTAATAAGATGTTGATTAAATTTTAAGTGAACAAGGTACAAGAGGTGAAAACACAACATCTATTTCCACAGAACGTCCGTACGAGGGTGTTCCCAGGAGGAGGAGTGCGGCGGCCTGGGAGGCACATGGATGCCGAGTCTTTGGATCAGCAGAGGGTCGTTGAGTCGCTTTGAGGGGCCAGACACTGTTGTAGGAGCTGGGAGCGCAGCGGGGAAGCACGCTAGGGGTCCCCTTGTCGCGGAGAAGGGACAGGCACTATAGTGACCGGGTAATTTCTAGTAAGGTGTGATGTGAAGAAAGGAGAAGAGGGCACAGTGATGGAAGGTGGGGCTAAGCAGAGGCCTCTGAGCGTTAGGACGAGAAGAAGCCCAGCCTGGAAAGACCCCGGGGAGAAACACAGAGGCCACGCAGGCTGGCTGTGGTGCCTCTGAGGGATGGAGGAGGGCATCTGTGGTACCTCTGAGGGATGGGGAGGCCGCCTGTGGTGCCTCTGAGGGATGGAGGAGGCCGCCTGTGGTGCCTCAGGGATGGAGGAGGCTGCCTGTGGTACCTCTAAGGGATGGGGGAGGCCGGCTGTGGTGCCTCTGAGGGACAGAGGAGGCTGCCTGTGGTGCCTCTGAGGTATGGGGGAGGCCGGCTGTGGTACCTCTGAGGGACAAAGGAGGCCGGCTGTGGTGCCTCTGAGGGATGGAGGGGGCCGGCTGTGGTGCCTCTGAGGGATGGAGGGGGCCGGCTGTGGTGCCTCTGAGGGATGGAGGGGGCCGGCTGTGGTGCCTCTGAGGGATGGAGGGGGCCGGCTGTGGTGCCTCTGAGGGACGGGGTAGGCCGATTGTGGTGACTCTGAGGGATGGAGGGGGCCGGCTCGGGAGGTGGTTCGTGATGCCGTGTGTTGAAGGCTGTGGATCTTGTCCTTGGTGGGTGCAAAGCCAGCAGACATTTCCAGAGGGAGAGGGATGTGACTTAAATTGTGACTTAGAAAGTTCACTCCACGCTCAGAACACTGGGCCTGAGGAGCACACGCTGGAGTGGAGGCCCTGGGCCAGTCGGAGGGGCAGTGTGCGAGTCAGATGAGGGACCCGCACATGGAGCTGGGGCAGGACCTGCTGTAGGTCCCAAGGTGAGGAGGGAGCCCTGGGCTGGGTCTGCTCTGGTGGGGAAAATGAAATGTCTGCTTGGCCAAGTTACACTGGGGCCTGCAGTGGAGACGTTGAGTAAGTGGCTAGAGGAACACACGTTCAGCGTGGGGAGGTCTCACGGCAAGAGATGGCGATGTGGGGTCTTTGGAGCCTGGGGAGAGATGAAGGCCAGGCCAGCCCGGATCCGAGGCTGACAGCAGAGAGCAGGGCTGCTGAAGCCTCGGTGCAGGGAGGGCCCGTTGCCCTCAGCATCCCTGTCCAGCACCTCCCACCCACGCTCCAGCCTCACCCAGCCCTTCCTCCCCACGAGCACACAGCGTGCTCCTGCTCCTGCTGGCCCCACCCCGATGGTGGGCCAGGCCCAGCTGCAACCACTACCTCTCTGACCCGATGGGGTTGTCATGTCTGAAGGGCTTGCCACGTTATTCAGTCACATTTAGGGGCCAAATCTAGAAGTTGGAGAAGAAAGGAGGAGGGGGCAGCACCCTAGTCACAGGGGTGGTATTGAAGATGGCACGGGGGTCTCCTCTCCTGCTGCCTTCCTGGGAGAGGGACTGGAGGGCACAGGTGCTGAGAAGAAGTGGAGTCCCTGAGTGGAGCCGATGGGATGTGGAGGAAGGCCTGAGGAGCCGGTGGGACGCCCACCCTGCCCCACCCCACCCCACAGCACCAGCATCTGCTGATTGAGTTTAAATATCAACGGTTCAATGTGTAGAGCCATCTGTAATACTTTTAGCCCCAGATTCTTTCACATCAATAGGCAAAAAAGAGGTAATTAATAAAACGAACATAAAGTTCTAATTATAGGGTGTAAATATCGCTCTCAGGAGAATTATTAAGATGAAGGATGGGTTTTGTGATTAGGAGAAGAAAATAACCTGCCCAGGGGAATGGAAAGGAGGCAGACATTCTCAGACCAGAAGCGACGTGTGTGTGTGTGTCCGTGTGTGTCCATGTGTGTGTCTGTGTGTGTCCGTGTGTGTCTGTGTGTGTGGAGGGGCCACTGCTAACGACTGTACAGCCAAATGGGAGAAATGGCCGGTCTGTTACTGATGCAAACAAGAAAGCCAGCATGGTGACAAAATATTTAGCATGGGGACAAAGGTCACAGAGGCATCCTTGTCATCTCCCAGAGGTGACAAATCACAGGTTCGTCTCAGAGGCAATTTCACATTCCAAAAGGTAGAGAAATAATTCTTTTCTATTTTTATTTTTATTTATTTTTTTAGGACTGAGTCTCGCTCTGTCACCGAGGCTGGAGTGCAGTGGCACGATCTCAGCTCACTGCAACCTCCGCCTCCCAGGTTCAAACGATTCTCCTGCCTCAGTCTCCCGAGCAGCTTGGATTACAGGCGTGCGCCACCACACCCAGCTAATTTTTGTATTTTTAGTAGAGACGGGATTTCACCATATTGGACAGACTGGTCTCGAACTCCTGACCTCAGGTGATCCACCCGCCTCAGCCTCCCAAAGTGCCGGGATTACAGGCATGAGCCACGACGCCTGGCCCAGAGAAATAATCGTTAAAGAAATGTAGGAAGACAGACCTGGGGTCAAAGGAAAGATGAGCATAGTCCCCAGTCCTCCAGCTTGAGAGCTGCGGGGCCTCTGGAGGTTCAGAGGGGTCTCAGGAATGGGCTCAGAATTCAAGACTACAAAGGATGCTAAAGACAAAGATTCAGGCTCCAAAGAAAGGAAGGAGGACACATAGGAAAATGTAACTGACAGGTGCACACCCAGCCTGGCCCAACGCAGCCCCTCACCATGGTCTCAGGGCTCAGGGAGCTCCTGGAATGCAAGCTTCGCGTTGAAGGATCCCACAGGCCTGCAGGGCAGCTCTCTGGCCAGGCCCTGCCACCGAGTGGTACGTCCCACAGCACACCCAGGAGCCTGTGGCCGCCTCCCGTCCGGGCCTTGGAATTCCTTTTGGCTGACAGTCTTTGCCTGTGTGACCCTCACGGGATGCCTCCCACGACCTCAGCCTGTGACCCTCACGGGATGCCTCCCACGACCTCAGCCCATAAGCATCCCTGTGGCCAGCTTGTGTAACCTGCCAGGCAGGAGGCTGGGATGAAATTCTCACTTGCCACACCTTGTAAATATCAGGTGTAAATATCACCCTCAGGAGAATTAAGATGAGCGATGGGATGTCCTGCAGGCCCAGCAACAAGGCCGGACTCTCCTCCGCTTCATGAGAAAATGTGTGTTGTCATCAGATAGCCTTTGGGGCTGCCTGGGTGCAGATTCGAGGCTACCTACTTCTCATTTCACGTTGGAGGTTTCACGGATCCTACATATTGCAGAGAAACCTGAGGTCCGTTTTTGGTTTTGCTTTATAGTGATAAATCCGGGATGACACAGCCGTGGGCCGTGTTGAGGGCTGGGATTTCGGTGCAGTTGAATCCCCGGCTGTGGCCCCAGTGCCCGTTCATGGGCCCCTCCCGTGTGATTCTCCCAGCTGAGCCGTGAGTTCGTCTGAGCGGCGAGTCGGAACTCGAGGCAGATCACTCTTTGCTGTTGAGATGGTTGGATCAGTGTGCCCCAAAATCTCCTGTCGAACCGTAATCCCCAGTGTTGGGTGTGGGGCCTGGGGGGTGGTGACTGGACTTGGGGGTGATTTTTGAATGGTTTTGCACCACCCTCTCCTTGCTGTTCTCATGATAGTGAGTTTTCTGAGACCCGTGTGTTTAAACCTGGGTAGCCCCTCCCACCTTGCGCCTACGCCCACCGTGGGACGAGATTGCTTCCCTTTCGCCTTCCACCGTGACTGGAAGCTCCCTGAGGCCTCCCCAGAAGCAGAAGCTGCCGTGCTCCCTGTGCAACCTGCAGAGCTCTGAGCCGATTAAGCCTCTTTCCTAGAATCATCCAGTCTCAGGTGTTTCTTTGTAGCCATGGAGAATGGACTAATACCACTGTCAAAGATGGTCCAAGTTTGTTTCCTCTCTCCAACCAGATTTTTAACGTTTCCTTCTCTTCTCTGCGCCTTTCCCAGTGATGAGGACAGTGGCTTCCATGGGCAGGCGTTCAGTAAACAGCACCCAGTGAACTCAGAGCTGCCAGTTTACCCCGCAGGGGCAGCAGAGCTGACTAGGATTGGGTGTAGATGAGCTCAGAGCCCACAAGGCCCCACAGGGATGTCACCATCCCGGTAAAATGTGAGATTCGGGAATGAATAGGAAAATCATGTGCTTAGTGCACGTAACATCAGCAGTTGGGAAAGTTCACCGGGAAAGAAAAGCGCCACAAGTCCTCGCATCAATACTTGCAGAGACAAAATAACCTCAAGGCCGATCTTTCATGCCTGTGCCTGGGCATCCCCGCGTCTCTAAGGAGGACAGTTATGTAATTTAGATGGAAAATTGACAGGACTGGGCAGGTCCCTCTGATTGATGTGGAGGCCGTATCTCACGTCCTGGAACGCGTGTGTTTATTTGCTGTTTCACGGGGCGGGCCATTTTTCTCCAGCCAGGAAGGGTAGGGGTGTGCACCATAGGGCCTCTCCCAAGTTCGCCTCGGCGCCTGCCCCCCTCCATCACGGTGATCAGGTGTGGCCTTAGCCCCAGGTTTCTGAGGGCGTCAGCATCACATGTGTTTGTTCTGCTTCATGGGCTCCCTCCGTCAGGCAGGTCAGGGTGTGACATGCACCCCTTGGTGACCGATGGGCTGGCTGGGTCTCACAGAAGGTACACCAGGTGAGCTGCCAGGTGCCACCTCCTCCACCTCCCGCCTCCCGCCTCGTCCACAGGCTCAGGAACCCTCTGGGGATGAGCACAAGCACTTTCTTTTGAAAACGCCTCCATGGCGGAAGTTCCTTGGTTGGGGAGGACTTTGTTGTTATCAATAGCTTGAAAATGAATCAAGTTCCCTGAATAAACATGAGGTCAACCTCAGCAACGTTAGTTTGGGCAAATGTCAGAGCAAGCACAGAAAGTGGCTGGAAGGACTTTCTCATGCGACTTGTAAATAAATGACTGCCGAGTACAGAACTCCAAGGGCCACAGATAGACAGCACCTTGGGAAGAGGTTGAGAGTTAAAGAGCAGTGGTTCCCAGCCTCAGCCCCCTGGGGAGGGTGAGCAAACAGACGGTGCTGAGGCCCCATGTGGAGTCGGAGATTTTGCAGGCTGTGGCTGGGGCCCAGCTTTGCTGCAGCTCCTGGGGGCCTCCCAGGTGCATAGGTGAGGGGCTTTTAGTTTGAGCACCCTCCCTCCTGCCAAAGTGCCCCCTAGATGCACAGGTGAGGGGGCTTTGAGCTTGAGTCCCCCTCCCAGGTGCCACCCAGGTGCACAGGTGAGGGGCTTTTAGCTTGAGCCCCCCCCGCCCCCGACCCCGCCGAAGTGCCTCCTAGATGCACAGGTGAGGGGGCTTTGAGCTTGAGCCCCAGGAGCCTCCCAGGTGCACAGGTGAGGGGCTTCAAGCTTGACACCCCCACCCCATCCCCAGGTGCCTCCCAGGTGCACAGGTGAGGGGCTGCGACGCACAGGGATCCATGTCTTAGAGGAAGTTTCAATACTTTATAATTGCATCCCCGCTAAGTGAGGGAAGCACTCTGGCCTCTTTCACATGGAAATCCCTCCTCTCTGAGGACCGAGGTGATGTGCTTTAGCATGACAATGAGTGCAGGCAGATATGAAGTATTTTGTGATTTAAATTTTGCTTGTGATATTTCAAAGAGGTTTCCTCTGGAAAAGGTTACTGGGAGAGAAGGTAGCTCACTGTTCTGCTGGTGAGCTGTCTCCACAACTCCACACATTTATCGTGGTTTCAGGCTGGGTGTCTTCAGGCTCCTTGAGCTGCTTTGCAGTAAGTGACACAATAAAAAATGTAAAATACAGAAGGCACCCACTTTTCCCACTTACGGTTTTAGTGGGTGTTCACAGAGGCGATGAAGAAATGAAATCCCCACATTTAAACAAAGCGGAGAGTGACAGTGAGGGTGATAGTCCTATTGTATAATTGCCTCCTTTGACTCAGAGAGGGAGAGCCTATTTTCATACTTATCCGAAAGCAGTGAAGCTTCAAAGAATAGGGGCAGACACAATGGGCTTTCAGAGGGAAGCTGCCATCGTCGACGCTATAATTGGTCACCGCACTGCCCGAGTGCCCGTAGGCCGGCCAGACGCAGAACCGGAAGTGCAGGCAGCCTGGGTGGAGCAGGGAGGTGTGAGCCCGGGTCAGAGCAGAGAACGAGGGGAGGTGTGAGCCCGGGTCGGAGCAGAGAACGAGGGGAGGTGTGAGCCCGGGTCGGAGCAGAGAACGAGGGGAGGTGTGAGCCCGGGTCGGAGGTGTGATCCCGGGTCAGGGCAGAGAACGAGGAGAGGTGCGAGCCCGGGTCAGAGCAGAGAACGAGGGGAGGTGCGAGCCCGGGTCAGAGCAGAGAATGAGGGGCGAGACACAGGCGGCCCCCTCCCGGCCACCTGGGCCCCGAGCTTGTCCTGGGCCCCTCGAGGTGTGCTGCCGAGGCCCGAAGGTGGCCTGGAGGGTGGGGACCCGGGAAGGGGCTGTGGGGCCCTCAGCGTGGCCTCAGAAACACCGAAAGCCTTGACCTCAGACCTGGCTCTGGCAGAGAGGGGGCCGAGGGAGGCAGGTCAGCCCTGGGGTCCCTGCAAGGCGGAGGAGGCAAAGGAGGAAATTGACTTCTGCCTGGAGGTCAGGAGATTACTGCTTCTAAGCCATGGGAGGAGAAGGGGACAGAAACACCCCTGTGTGGTGCCAGGGGTGCCACGAATTATGCCATTCAGGCCTCCAGTGGATCTATACGTGGCCCTGGGGGACGGTGTCTCCTAGAGGCTCCGAGCTGCTGACAGGACACTTAAAACCCAGAGAAGCCAACGTGTTTTCCACGTGTGGCAGAACTCACCATTGCTCCTGACAGCCGGAGGGCGAGCATGTGAGAATCCCACGTGGGAATGAACCACGAGCATCCACCCATCCCACCCCGGAAGAGGCACCACGCCCCGCCCTTGCCCCCACCCCAGGGTGAAGCCACGGGCCCTGGAGGCCCCTCAGATCCTTTCCTCCCCCAATTTCTGTGATTCTACTTATAATTTGAACAATTCAAGGGTCAAACTCCACCTCTAGAAACGTGCATACTCACAGGGTACACAGGGGGTCCACAGAGCACCCCAAAATGTAAAGGTTATCACCGCCGCGAGGGTCATCTGTGACATGGAGACCAACCTCTGCCATCTCACGTAATGAAACACCTTTAGAAAACCTTACAATTTTTGTTCATCTGCCACATTCTTTTCAGCAGAAACTGTGTTTGCTCTGCAGAGGGAACAGCAGGGGACTCTCGGCTGGGTGCCTGTGCCTGAGCCCGTCCTGGGCAGCTCCAGGCCCTCATTCTCCCGACCACAACCGCAGCTGCAGATGCAGCTGCGCCCCCTTCCTCTCCCCGGGCACAGCGCATTGTAGAGGGGTCCCATTAATTCTGAAAAAAAGCCTTACAAGATAGATAGAAAATTTATCTCATTTATTTAAGCTCATCACTGCTGATTAATCCCAAACTGGGGTCCCTTGCCTCCACTTTAGAAAAAGAGATGAGTTTTAAACTCGGCACCCGCGGCCCTGGGAGATTGATCCGCCCGGTCATGCTTTGAAGTTGAAGCGCAGTGCCCATCGATTGCACACATTAAATGACCAGCCACGCTGTAGAACGTACAGCTCATGAATAAGAAGTACCCAAGCCCTCCTAGTCACTGGAAAGCCTCAGGTCCAGCCATCACGGGGCAGCCTCCGGGTGGCCCATCTGCGGGCTGTAGGAGCAGAGACCCCCGGCCCCAGCCTGGGCAGACGTCTGTCGTGCAGTGTGGCCAGCGGACAAGCCTGCTTTCCTCATTCGCTTACAAGGTGTTCTGTGAGCACCCAGCTTCCCCAAGGTCCTACTGAGTTGCTTGGGACACTGGGGAGCAGGCAAAGACGACTAGCAGATGCCCTGGACGTGCAGGAGCCGTGCCATGTGGGATCCCCACCCCCGAAAACACACCCTCGAGCTGAAGGCAGCTGGTGCTGGGACGCGGAGACCTCGGCTGAGCTCCCTGGGGGTGGAGATGGGCTTCTCTCCACTGCTGGCTAATGTCCGCCAGAGCCACAGCAAAGAGGGGACCCAGGAGAGGTGGCCCCGGGGAGCTGAAACTCAGGGAGATGGCCCAGGGCTGGGCTGGCCTGAGTATAGCAAGTACGCTGCACACCAGGCGCAGATGCCCCGCTGCGGGCGCCTGGCCTCTCCCGCGGCTTGCTGGCTCAGTGCGGGCTGCAGGTCAGAGGCCACACCTTGCAGAAGGCAGATGGGAACGCGAGCCCCACCCCATGAGGCAGCTCAAGATGATCTGTAAGAGTCACTCGATTGAGCGGCATGAACGGGGAGGGGGCTTCATAAGGCCAGAGAGTTCCAGGCAGGGGCCACTTCGCCCAACTTTGACAAACTGGCAGTGTGACCCCCAGAGGGGAAGGACAGGCTCTCCGGGCAAAGGGGACTCCTCCATGACAGGCTGGTTTTATTTTATCGAAGCACTTCGTGGAGGCCTGGTCGGCAGGAAAAGCCGCACATATTTTCCGTACATATCTTCAGGATTTTGGGGATCCGCGTGCGCCCCTCTGATCTGCCCTCTTGGGTGCGCTCCGAGCGTGCTGCACGGCGTTGCTGGCTGTAGGTGCGATACCCTCCAGGTCCTCAGGAAACATGGTCTGTACCAGAAACCTCCTAGGAGAACGCTTTGTGTTTGTGACATAACAAATGTAAGCATTTTTGATGTTCAAAGTCCTCTCTCAAACTTTTTTTGTTGCCAAGTGAATGTAAAATCCAGAGGATGCTCTTGGTCGAGAGGGTGACTAGGAGACGTGTGGATGAAGCCCCAGAGCCCCTCCGCTCTCACCACCCTGAGTAGGGCAGGTGGGTGCAGGGAGGGGGGGCGGGTGCAGGGAGGGGGGGCAGGTGGGTGCAGGGAGCGGGGGCGGGTGCAGGGAGGACAGGCAGGCTGGCGCCAGGCAGGCGTGTGGAGGCGGGACCCGGGCACATACATGCATCCGCCTGCACCAGTCCCGACCTCAGAGCCAAGCCCAGCGGCCGCTCCGCTTCCCAAGCACGTAAAACACGCCAGGCACGAGAATATGTGGACGCGGGCGCTTATTTCTTGTTGAATTTTGTTCTGTTCTGTTTTCAAACATGGAATCGGGTGTTGCATCGTGTTCCATGATTTGCTGAAAATACTTAACAAATACGAAACTGTGGAATATCTTTTCTTATCACAGCAAATGGACGTATCTCATTCTTCTTAGTCACATAAAATATTTAAATACCCTCCGCGAGAGCTTGTTTGCCACTCATTTATTTGCTGTTGCAGGCGATGCCAGAGTGACTGTTCTCATACACATACATGCACTTATGCTATAATTCTTATCAATTAGATTATAAGAAACGGGATTTTTTTTGCTCATAAAGTATGTGCATTTTTATTGCCAAATTACTTTCCAAAAAGGCTTTATCAGTTTGCATGTGCAACAGCAGTATATTAAAAAAAGTTATTAAACCTTTTAACGTTTACCAATGTGATGGTGTTAACTTTTGATTTTTTAATCATTACAGAACGGAATGTCTTTCATGTACTTATGTCTTCCCCTGAGCTTCACCCGAGCAGAGAAAATGCTCCTGGACCCTGTTTCCTCACCAAGTTGTAGGAGCTATTTGTCTATAGGAAATAGCAAACTTTTAATACTTCTGGATTAAAAAAAATAGCTTAGGTTTTGTGACAACTTGAACCCAAGATTAAAAAGTATTTTATATTTTCTTCTAATTATCTTATGGTAAATTGTTTATTATTTAGATTTTGACCTATCTGACTTTTTAATATTGGAATCTCACTTCATTTTCTTACACAATTTCCCACTTGTGTTTATCGGGTGGATTTTTTCTGTACCCACGGGTTTGAAATGCCCCCTTCGTCATACACTCCAGGCCCTTGTGTTGTCACGTTCATTCCTAGACCATCTGTTTTGTACTACTGGTCTGAACGCTGATCTTCACGCAAAACACGATTTAATACCTGCAGGAGCGCCCGGTCTCCTTCCTGTGCCCCCAGATTGCTTGACAGTTCCTGAGCATGTACTCCAGGACCTGAACCCAAACCACCTTTAGAACCAAGTTAATGACATCCTGCCACCCCCGCACCACACACACACACCACCATACACACACCACACACATTCACACCACACAAACACCACACACACACCCCCACCACAGACACACACACACACCACCATACACACACGTCACCACCCCACGCACCACACACACACACCACCATACACACACCACACACACCACATTCACACCACACACACCCCCACCACACACACACCACACACACACCACCATACACACATGTCACCACCACACACACCACACACACACACCACACATTCACACCACACAAACACCACACACACCCCCACCACACACACATTCACACCACACAAACACCACACACACCCCCACCACACACACACCACCATACGCACATGTCACCACCACACACACACCACATACCATACACACACAACATACCACACACACAGCACCACACATACCACACACATACCTGCACACATACTACACACACCACATACACATCACACCACATATACTACACACACAAACATACCACATACTACACACATCACACACACACCACACACATACCATATACACACACACCACACATATACCCCACACACACCACACATGTACCCCACAGACACACACACCATACCACACACACCACACACACATACCCCCACACACATACATGCACACATACCACACACACATATCACACCCACATTTCACACCACACACCACATACACACACACTGTCAAAGGCTGGGGACCTCAGGGGACCACGGAGCCACCTGGTGTGTGGCTGAATTCCCTTGTTGTCAGGTAACACTTTTGAAGAGAAGCCCAGGCCGCCCCTTTTCTCTCCGGCAGAGACCTGACCCTGGAGGCCTCCCACGAGCCTCCTGAGAGCTGAATTTCTGAGGCTCATGAAGCCCGAAACCCAGTCTCTCTGACCTTGTACAAGATGTCTGTGCCCAGGGGGCCTGGATGTCCCAGGGTGGGTCTGGCTGCCCCGGGACCACCAGGAGGGAACGTGCCCAACAGGCAGCTTAGAAACAGTAGAAGCCAGCGGCACCGGGCGGGGAGCTTCTCGAGGGAGCGGAGAGTACAAGGCCCAGCCAGTTTTGTTGTGTTGCTTTCAAAGTGTCCTTCAAAGGTGAACCAAATTCATCCCGGAAGCATCTGACTTCATCTGTCACCAAAGAGGACCAGCCCGCCGGAAGACAGTGATTTCCCCCATCAGGTGTGGGCATTACCTAAAGTTGCTGACCTCCTAGAATTTTTGTGACGCTCTCTAATTCTAGCAATTTAGCTCAAATCCTACCATTCTGACTGTCCTGTAGTGACTGTTACGGTGACAGCTTGGGAAATGGAGGCAGGAAGGGGCGTGAGCTCCGTTCCTTGGGGAAGGTGTGGGTTTCGCCTCTGTGAGAAAGGAGATGGCTCCAGGGAGCTATCCCCAGCATTGGAGAGGTGGTTCCAGCGGCCTCCAGCATAGCAGAGATGTGGCCCCGGCTGCCTCCCACATGGCAGAGAAGTGGGCCGGCAGCCTCACGTGTGGCAGAGGGCTGGCCCCAGAAGCCTCCCCTATGGCGGAGATGTGGCCCCCGAGGCCTCCCGCGTGGCAGTGGGGTGGCCCCGGAGGCCTCCTGCATGGCAGTTGGGTGGCCCCAGAGGCCTTCAGAGCACACATCTTCCCCGCATAGCCCAGCAGGGCTGCATGCCTGGGAGCTGGGCTCCATGTGGCTTCTCATGGTGGGAAATCTGCCTTCTAGGCCCTTCCTAGGGGTGACGACTAAGAGGTCGTGGGGGACTCTTTGGAGCTTGGGGACTGCTCCAGCCCCGTGGAGGCCTGTGGAGAGCTCCTCCCTAAACCAGGATGGGTTCTGGTCACGTTGGTTGATGGCACACTTCTCCCAGGGTCTCCAGACAGCAGTGTCTTGCCAAGGAGGCTGAAAGCTTCCTGTACTTTCTTTTTTTTTTTTTTTTTTGAGATGGAGTCTCATTCTGTTTCCCAGGCTGGAGTGCAGTGGTGCAATCTCAGCTCACTGCAACCTCCGCCTCCCAGGTTCAAGTGAATCTCCTGCCTCAGCCTCCCCAGTAGCTGGGACTACAGGCTCATGCTACCACACCTGGCTACTTTTTTGTACTTTTAGTAGAGACGGAGTTTCACCATGTTAGCCGGGATGATCTCGATCTCCTGACCTCGTGATCCGCCCGCCTCAGCCTCCCAAAGTGCTGGGATTACAGGCATGAGCCACCGCGCCCAGCCTCTTCCCTGCTTTTTACTGGTTCTTCTCTTCTTTGGCAGAACTCTGTTTGAACACTGGGATTTGCGAATGGCAGAGAGGCTGGGTCTGGCTTGTGTCGGCCTCCAGGCCCCGGCTGCGTGGTTCCCAGGGGACCCGGTGCTGGCTCCCCATTGTCCAGACCTCCAGGCCTGTCAGTGTCTTGGGGACGTCGATGTTGCCAGCAGCTTTTATCCACTGGGGGTGCAGAGGTGTGAGGGAGATGCCAAGAGGGGAACAGCCCACCCCAGCCCTTGGCAGCTTGGACGGGGCCCCCAGGTGCCTCCCCCAGCCATGAGCACAAATGAAGTCCGAGGGAAAGATGGGGCTGGGCTCACCCAGCCACCACCCCAGGGGACCCAGATGGCACCAGCTCAAACACCACCCCGTCTCCCACAGAGCAGGTGTTCAGGGTGTCCCAGGGAGGCCCCGGTCAGTGTGAAATGCATGTCCTTGTCCTCCAGGTCACGGCCACTCTCCTCTGCCTCTCTCTCTGTGGGGTCGCCTACAAGACATGAAGGACAAGGAGAGAAGCAGGACGTGAGGCCCAGGGGCTCTCCTGGCCCCCTAGACTGTGGGGAAGCCCCCTGCCCGCCCTGCCCACTGGGGTGACCCAGGCACAGCAACAGCTGGGAGTCCACGCGCCCCCCAGGCCCACCGGCTGCTGCGCCAGACTTTCTATGGCATCTTCAGATGTCACTCCCAGCAGAGGCCAGACCCCCTCCTGTCGCAGTTTCCATCAAGGTGGGGCCTGGAGGCCACGGATGAGCCCCCTTGCTCACCTGATCCCCGACACCCCAGAGGGGTTGTGGGCATCCACTGGCACGCGGGGGTCATAAGTGGCATCCAAGTGGGTTTCCCACGAATTGCTTCCAGAAGAGCCAGTCCCGGGCAGCCACCCCCGCGTCCCCCGCCGCACCCGCGTCCGCCTCCCGGGCAGCCACCCCCGCGTCCCCCGCCGCACCCGCGTCCGCCTCCCGGGCAGCCACCCCCGCGTCCCCCGCCGCACCCGCGTCCGCCTCCCGGGCAGCCACCCCCGCGTCCCCCGCCGCACCTGTGTCCGCCTCCTGCCCCTCAAGCTGTCCCAGGCTCAGTGGCTTCCTCAGGCCATGGGACCTACAGCTGACACTGGCACTCTGTGTGCGGTGGTGCAGACAGCACTGTGGGATGTGCCAGAGCTGCTCCCTGCACTTCCCACAGTGGGCACTGAGCTCTGGGCACTGGGCAGGCAAGGCCAAAGCCGCTGGAATGTGCCACCCACCTGATGATGAAACCACAGCAGGCTGAGGTTCTGTGAGTCTTACGCGTTTTTAAATGTGGCTGTTTCTCTTCTAAATGTTACCGCTGCCACATGAATTCATGTTTCCAAACACATTGCAATGAGAGGGTGCTTTCTGCACGGATGTGGCCTGGTGTGGCCCTCACCGGCAGCGCCTCACCGTCCTCTATCTCTGGGGACCATAGTGAGGCTCCTGAGAGTGGGAGCGAGCCCGGTCCTCACCCCGTCACCAACTACCTGGGGACAGCCACTCTGTGCTTCCAGCCTCAAGGGACTCACGCTGTGGACAAGCCCAGTTTCCAGTGCCATCCACAGCTGGGACAGTGCCCAGGAGTGCTTTGTGAATGGGACGAAGATCACAGCAAATGAGCCCACCTCTGGGGGCTTTTCCCAGAAGTACAATAAATAATCTTCCTTCTTAGACTTCATGGTCCTTAAACTTTATAACAATTCAGATACTTAGGCAGTTTTTCAAAACATGTTGATTTAAATAAATACTGAACTAGCACTAAATGCTGGTGAGAAAACCAGCAAGACTAAAGCCAGGATACGTGAACGGTACCTGTGGGGCCCTAGGTGCTAGTCCTGGTTAATATTACCTGTGCCGTTCCCCGTGTGGTTTGTGTGAGCAGGGAGAACCCCACGCAGGGCTGGCCCGAGGGCCTGGGATCCACCCCACAGCAAAAGCGCTCAGCCAGCTGAAGCCCTTGGCGCGCACTCGGAGTGCGGCTAACGCTCGTGCCCCACAGGGGGCAGAGGAGGCCAAACAGCAGGGGCCTGGCACTTGCACGGGACCATCTCTCCTGGGAGCAGCAGCACCCAGAGCCGGCCCAGGGGGTCCCTGCAGCCATCCCCACCCGGCCCTCCCACCCTGCTACCCAGGTGAGCAGGCTGGTGAACACGCACACAAAAAAAACCAGTGATTATGAACTCCAGGAAAACCTCCGCTGTTGTGCAGAAGGGAAAACGCAGGCTTCAGCTGGGCCCCCTGCGCGTCTCAGCTCCCAGCCGGGCGTGGCAGCTGCTAGACTGTGTACCTGGAAAGGATCGCGATTCTTCTCCCCTCCCGCCATGCTTCCCAGGCCGGCCCCATGCCCATCTCTGAGCAGGCTCCCCCTTGGTGTGCTGTGCCCACGGTCTCCGTCTCTGCCCTCTGCCCACCGTCTGCAGAAAGCAGGGACCCTGGTCCTGGGAGAAGCTTCCCTCCATGTCTGTCCAGTGTAGACTGTTCAGATTTCAGCAGAGACCAGGTTTGCGGATGGCACCCAGGCAGGTCGCAGGCGCTCTGGTCCTGGGGAGGCCTGCCCGCGAGTGCTGGCTCTAGTCTGGGAGTGGGGCCGGCCTGGGGCCCCTCTGAGCCCTGCCCCAGGCTCCAAGGCCTTTTCCACCACCCCCTTTCATCCTCGGGGGCGATTTCGTTTTGGAGCACCGTGGTCTGTTTTCACTCAGTGGCTTTGGGGTTGGGGGGACCCGCGGCAGCTGTGGATCCACCGTCACCATAGAGTGTGGATTTACACCACTGGCCTTGGCGCCCCAGACAGGGCAGGCCGCACCCCGGTGCAAGCCTGTGGGGCGGGGCGTGTCCCCACGTGGGCCCGGGTTATCCTGCTCCATGCCAGAGCCCCTGTGGAGAGCCTGTGCTGGCTGCTTCTCGGTGTTCGGTCAGCCTTCTCGCCGCTGTGCCAACATTCTGGAAACACACACACAGCTTTGTTCAACTCCTATGACGACGCGATGAAACAGCGGCTGTAACAGCCGTTACAAGTGGAAAAATGGAAACTGAAGAGACCGCGTGACCTCAGCCGCCTGGACAGAGGGCCTCGGCTCCCTCTGCTCTCCTCTCCAGCCCCACTGCTCACCTGGCCACTGGGGAGGGGCGCGTTTCCTCAGAGAAACAGCTGCCCACCCATTTGAACAAGTCCAAAAATATCTTGACCTTATTACTTGTCCAGGCCCCCTGGGCCCCTATGTCGCCCCACACGATGGGTTCATTTCCTTCCATTAGCTGCAGAGAGGCCGGGTGTGGGGTCAGGGTTTGCGGTGAAATGTCGAGACCCAGGGGGCCCTCGGTTTGCACTGCCACGGGATCAGCTCAGCCCCTGCCCGTTTCATACGGGATCAGCCCAGCCCCTGCCCGTTTCATACGGGATCAGCCCAGCCCCTGCCCGTTTCATATGGGATCAGCCCAGCCCCTGCCCGTTTCATGGGTCAGTTGCTCTTCAAGCCCTTTGTGGAGAGGAGGGTCAGGCCGAGCGGGATAGGGCTTTCTCTCCAGCGCTGAGGCTGAGGCTGAGGTGGTTCCTGCAGGGCAGGAAGGTTCCCGCAGCCACAGCTTTTGCAGGTGAGGCTGGACCCAGCCCTGAGCCTTGTGGGCGCTGCTGCAGGTCGGCATCTTGCTAGGAGCACCTCCTCCAGTGTGAAGCAGCAAACGAGCCCCGGGTGAAGGTTCGAGGGGCTGCTGAACCGCCCCCCTAATCCGTCACTGTGCAGATGCTGAGACCCCAGAGGTGGGGGCAGGCCCCCCACTTGGCCTCCTGAGACCTAGTTGGTGCCTTTCCAACTAGGCCAGGCTGACTCACGAGCTGCTCTGGGCCAGAAGCCACGTGGTAAGATTGGTCCCTGGCCTAACGTTGAGCTGCCTGTGCCCTGCCCACAAGCAGAATTTAGGAATAGTCCCTGGAAGCAGAACTAAACACACCCATCCCAGCTTCCTTCTCCTCCTCTGCACTTACACCATGAGTGTCTCTACCTTGAGAGACTTAAACTCCAACCATGTGGGAAATGTTTCAGCCACTCATCCTGAATTTACTCCTGTGGGACAGCAGCTGCGCTCTGCTTGAAAGAGTAAGAGATGGAATATCCTCCATTCAACCAGCCTCCCAGCCCTCTGGAAAGACACCTGCCTTCCTGGTTTCACTTTTCTTCTTGAATGAAAACAGGGCAGTGTTCAAGCCTCAGAGGGCCTGGAGCAAAGATGAAATGTGAACAGCCTCCGGAGGAAATCACTCAAAAGTAGGGTCATACGAATCCACATGGGAAAGTCCCTGTTCCGAGTAAGTGGGAGTGGGGCGGGAGGCTGAATCCAGGACCCACAGGTGGGACAGGCCTTCCTGCCAGGGCGTCTTCTCTGCTGTTTCAAGAGGGCTCCTGGAATCTTGTTTACTGCCATACTTTTCTTTGCAGAACTTTTTATAGCCAGGATCGGTCAACTTTAGTATGGACTCCGCTGGCCCCTGCATGCTCAGAATTAGTGGAGTTCTTAGTAAGATGACTTCATACTAGATTAAATAAGCACAAGGTAATGTTCAGGATTGTGGGCTGTCAGCTCCTCTTGGGCCAGCAGTGCCGAGGAACATCAGGCTCAGACATGCGTTCGATGAACCTTCCTAGGTATGGATGGACGTATGTCCCAGGCTGTGTGGTGAGGACCCTCCCGGTGTGCTGTGCATGGGAGTGTCCATTGTGCATTACATATTCAGATGGGAACGTGAGTAACAGGCCACGTGTCACAGCACCGCCAAGGCAGGTGTATTCGTCTGTTCTCACGCTGCTAATAAAGACACACCCAAGACTGGGTAATTTATGAAGGAAAGAGGTTTAATGGACTCACAGTTCTGCAGGGCTGAGGAGGCCTCAGGAAACTTACAATCACAGCAGAAGGGGAAGCAAACATGTTCTTCTTCACGTGGCGGCAGCAAGGAGAAGTGCCGAGCAAAGGGGGAAAAGCCCATGATAAAACCGTCAGATCTTGTGAGAACTCGGTCACTATCATGAGAACAGCATGGGGTATCCACCCCTGTGATGCAATTACCTCCCACCAGGTCACTCCCCCAACATGTGGGGATTATGGGACAATTCAAGATGAGATTTGGGTGGGGACACAGTCAGACCATGTTAGCCAGCCAGCACCGAGTGCACTCAAGGCTCCCCGAGTCAAGCAGCCAGCACATTCTGTCATCCCAGCGCCTCTACTATTTAAGGAAAGAGAGCAAAGCCTTTATTTTCATTGTCCATTTTCCTCTGATTCCTCTTTCCAAACTGGGCATTTTTGTGCTGGAAAGAAATCCTGAATGTTGATGCGATGCTGTGTGATCATCTCTTGGGTAGTCATTTTCCAAATAATTTCTTGGAGTACCGACACTCGTCGTTCTTTCAGGGACCCCTGGGGGCAGTTGGTATATTATACATGTATGAGTTTTTAGATGGCTCCTCTCTCTCAGGTTATTTCTGCTGTTTCTGTTAAGATTATAGACAACATAACTGGGATGTGTGATTTCATAGGTTGACCCTGATCAGCTTCCCATGCCTGGATGATCAGTAAGAAGCCCTGGACCCCCTCTGTGGAGGGCGGGCTGCAGCTCCTACCCTTAGAGCTGATTCACCGTTTTCAGATACTGGGGCCAAACCGGCCCTCCCAGACGCCTGCTGGAACCGATTCCGCCTGGCACTGCATGCATCCCAACCCGGGGCCCCATTAATTCTCGGATGCCTGAGTCCAGACCCACTTAGCGTGGTTGACTGGAGCCTGTGCCAGGGCTGAGCTCATGAGCTGAATTCTTACATGAACAAATTACTTGCAGTTTGGTCTGTGGCTTTGCACTGCACACCTCTGTGGCCGCCCCTCAGCATGGGGTCTACGGTCCTGTGCAGAGCAGGCGAGGCCTGGGTAAGCCATCAGGGCAAATCCACCCACACCTTTGGCAAAGCCAGCCCAGGTCTATTCCCTAGGGACAGTGAAAGAGATAGCATAGGCGAGGCCATACCTGTGTGCCCGCACCTGGGAACCTACTCCCGTCTGTGGCAAGCTTGGAGGACAGTGGTGGCTGAAAATGCAGGAAGCTTCTCAGGCATATGGGCATCTGCCTGAAGCTGCTGTGTGGGCATTTCACATCCACCCCTGAAAGCCCAGAAAGGGCTGACAGCTGCTGCCAAAGTCAGTGGGGTGTGGTTTGCCACAGAAGTCAGCGACAGCAGTGGGATGTGATTTGGAGCTGGCTGGGAGGCTGGGGCAGGGTATTGAGGCTGAAGTAATATACGTTTTGGGTACTGTGAAGTCAGATGACTTGATAAAGATGCAGAAATAACGATTTGACTGAGGGCAAGAAAGCAACCTGGGAGGAAGCTGGGTCAGCTTGTCCTCAGTCAGGAAGCTTCCGCCATGCACCATCCAGGAGCTCTCCCAGCTGCACGCTTCATACTCGAACTTGTATGAGATGGGAACCCATGACAATAAAACCAGGCTCTCTGGGATAGTATTGAAAAAGTGGAAGTTTTCTTAGTACAGATTCATCTCACCTTGAAGTCTGAGAGCAGACCCAGAAGAATTGATTGCAGTGGTCGAGTCTGGCCTGATTCGATGGTGTTTGCTGCATTTGCTGGGACCAGAAGAAGGGCACGCATGTTGTAAGCACTGTCCTCAAAGAGACTTGACATCAACAACTTGGCACAGGGAGGGTTAACTGTGTGTTATTCTGAAAATATGTTTTGGTCCGGACATGTCCAGGCGGTAATGTAGCAGACCCTCCACTTTGAGGAGATGATAATAACACTAGCCCATGTGTAATATATCAAATCAAAAGCAGCCGTGGACCTGGGAAGGACAGACTTTTCATCAAAAGGCCTGGTGCTGTGGGGTCAGGGCTGTGGCAGGGCAGTGCTCTGGCCATAGGACCGCAAGCACTACCACAGCCAGGCGAAGGGAGCCCTTGTCTTGTTCCGCAGAGGGGAGTGAGCATGGCTAGAAGGAGCCGCATGTGGGTGACGTGGGTGTGAGTGGACCAGGATGTGGGGTGATTGTGGCCGTGAGCGGCAGGAGGCCAGAGAAGGTTTGGCCTGGAGCTGCCTGGCTCAGGGGCTGCCCACTGCCTCGGTGGGGGTGGTGAGAGTTCAGGTGTGCACTGAGGAGAGAAGTGAAACCGACCTTTGGTTAGTGAGTATTCTGTCCTGATTGATCTGTGGGGACCCGCGGGGCAGCTCATCACGGATGAGGCAGAGAAAGCGAGTTTGGAGAGCTCGTCCACCTTGGCCCGGGGGCACATGCAAGCAACAGTGTCAAGTGCTCTCTCCGTGCTGGGTGTGGCCCCATCATGCATTCCAACATAGGGAATACCCGTGACCACCCTGCGAAATGGGTGAAGCCCCATTGTGCAAACAGGGAAACTGAGGCACAGAGGAAGGCAGTCCCTTGTCCAGGGGCCTCTCACGGTGAAGGCGTGCAGAGCCAGTACTGGAAGCCAGCAAGAGGGCTGCTGTATGCCTGACTTGGCTGCCACGGTCTGCACCATGTCGAGCTGCCTGTGGGGACAAGCGAACTTCAGTTGCTCTGGGCCGTGTTCCGCCATCTGATCCAGCAGCACGGCCCCTCCGCCAGCCAAGCCTCCTTCACACTCCTGAGGCCTCGCTGAGCAGCCGCCACCCCTTATATAAACTGACAGATATGGCTGGATGCTTCGACGTCACCTAAAGCTTCACCTTCAGAGTGTGCACTATCCCATCCTATTTCAGGTGTTAGCTGGGAGTGGGAAGGCCGTGTGTAAGGAGCAAGGGGAGCGAGCAAATGCCTTGCTCTGAGGAACGTCCTTGTGCTGGAGGTAGACCAGGAGGACACACGGCCCAGAGGCTAATTCTTTAATAGTAGAGATACGTGGTGGGATCATAAACAAAGACAGTTTCACGGGCTTTTGCTCGTCACTAGTGAGCCCTAATTATAAAGTATCGAATCAGAATTCAACTAGCCAAGCCATCATCAAAAACTCATAGCAGTTCATCAATAAGTGTGTAAAATCCTACTCTCCATGGACATTGTGGACCTTGGGAACTGGGGTCAGCATTTTTATTAACCCGTGTGGACACAGCAGTCTGAGAGTTTTCCATTCCTCGAGGGCTGCTTGCGGCGTGTTGTACGTCGATGGTATCAGTGGCGTCCCAGCCCTGCTTGGGAGGACACACACTGCTCATTTTCAGCAACCAGGGAGAATGAAATCACCCAGCACTCTTCCTCAGGCTGATGACCTCGGGGTGCCCTGGGTGACCCAGCCATAGGGTGAGCATTCAGGCCACAGCGCCTTCCCCAGACCCTCAGGACCCCTCATCAGGACATCCTTCTGGCCGGGGCCCCTCACCCCAGCTCGTCCTGGCCAGAGTCTAGGGTCAGCCTTTGTGCTTCGGAGACTCCTGCAGCAGGGTGAGAAGCAAGTTATTTAGACAGAGAAGGCAAGCACCGGAGACAGCCTGCCGCCCCCACCCTCCGTCGCCCTGCTGGGGACAACGTGGAGGGCACTGGCCTGAGGAGGGAATTTGGGGGTTCCTGCTGCCTGTCAGGATGTGGAGCACAGTGCAGCAGTGTGTGGTGAGGGGCAGCGGGTGGGCGGTCATTCTGGCAGCCTGCAGGGTCCCAGGAAACACGGTCTTCTTTGGTCAGATGAGAAGCAAGGCCTTGCTCAGCACAAGCGACCAGCACGTGACCTTTCACCTCAGGTCACCAAGAGTAGCAACAGTTAGGCCTCCTCCACCGAGCACATGCCTTGCTGACCTTGCCCAGGGAAGCCTGGCAGCCAGGGCGGGGCTCCCATGGCAAGGAGGCAGCCCTCCTCCAGGAGATAAGCCGTGTCCAGCATCCTCAATGTAGCGCTACTACCTCTATATGTAAGGCCTGCACCTGGTGACCTAAGTCAGGTTTTGCTTCTAGGTGGCATTTGCTTGAGGGTCCCAAGACCCCAGGGAGGGCACTGTCTGAAGACCCCGGCACAACCCCTCAGAGAACACGGCCACCTGGCTGTGAGCGGAGCTCTGCTTGAGCGCTGTGGCCCGTTTCCAGCATAAAGCAGGAAGTTCCTGGGACTTGAGCTGAGCACTGTGTGGCTTCATCATTGTTTTCAGAATGTGGTCTGTCCAGAGAGCAGTGGCATAGGAAGACATTGACTTGTTGCATATGTGGGCATTCAGCGCCTGTATTCACGTGGACATGTTTATGTGGGCATTCGGCGGCACCTGTATTCACGTGGACATGTTTATGTGGGCATTCGGCACCCGTATTCACGTGGACATGTTTACGTGGGCATTCGGCACCTGTATTCAGGTGGACATGTTTACATGGGCGTTCAGTGCATGTATTCACATGGACATGTTTACGTGGGCATCCAGTGCCTGTATTCATGTGTACATGTCTACATAGGCATTCGATACCTGTATTCACATGTACATGTTTATGTGGACATTCAACACCTGAATGCACATGTATGTGGGCATCCAACACCTGTATTCACATGTACATGTTTACATAGGCATTCGATACCTGTATTCACGTGTACATGTTTACATGGGCACCCAACACCTGTATTCATTCACCTGTGTACATGTTTACGTGGGCATTTGATGCCTGTATTCACATGTACGTGGGCATTCAACACCTGTATTCACGTGGACATGTTTACGTGGGCATTCAACAACTGTAATCACATGTACGTGGGCATTTGATGCCTGTATTCACATGTACATGTTTACGTGGGCATTCGACACCTGTATTCACATGTACTTGGGCATTCGACGCCTGCATTCACGTGGACATGTTTAGTCGTCAGCCTGAGCCATGCAGGCGGAGCGTTGGCTTTTGAGAAGGTCAGTTGCCTTCCTCACTTCCTAGCCTGTCCCCAGGGAGGAAAACAGGGAGTCTGTGTGTTCTTGGAGCTCTGGTGTCACCGCGGAGTTTGCTGTGCTCACTTTAGACTCTGGTTCTGTAACTTTTAATTCCTTCAGTGGTTCCTGTCTGAATTGGTTTTTGCTCTCGTTTGGTTTGAATTGGGGTATTTTTTTTTTTTTTTTTGCTGTGGTGTAAAGATTTTTCTAAAGGTCCTTTAATGTTATACAAGTCAATTATGCATCAATATTATGGATTAAACCATTTTCCTCAGCAGTGGTTGAAAGAAACTAGCTTTTCAGCAGACATCTTATTCTGGTGGATCTTTCAGTGCTTTTAAAGTAAATAACAATAAAGAAATTTTCATTTCTATTTCAAAGTTTTACTGTAGGCATTGCATGCAGACTGATTATAAATGAGCGAGCCTGCCCTTCCCACTGGGATGTGAAGTTCGCTGAATTATGTCAGCAGCCCAGGAATGACTGCTGTGCCTAAGCACACCTTCTGGCCCTAGCTCTGAATCCACATGTGTGAGAGGAGCATGCATGTCCCTGATGCAGCGGGACTGCCCTTTCATAGTGTCCGGGGGACAGGACATGACAGGCAGGATCTGCCAGAGCCTTGCTGCATCCCTGAGCTTAGCAGTGTGGGGCACTGCGTGTCCTCCGGCATCAGGAAGGCTGCGTCCCTGAGCTTAGCAGTGTGGGGCACTGCGTGTCCTCCGGCATCAAGAAGGCTGCATCCCTGAGCTTAGCAGTGTGGGGCACTGCGTGTCCTCCGGCATCAGGAAGGCTGCGTCCCTGAGCTTAGCAGTGTGGGGCACTGCGTGTCCTCTGGCATCAGGAAGTCACAGTGCATGGCCCCTTCTGTAACTCAGCGACCGACATGGGCGTGTTTCCAATTCCACTTGTATGTGTTTCTTGTGTATCTAACAAGAATTTGTGGATCTGTTTGAATGTGAAAAAAATGCAAGCATTCTCTAAAATTGAATTGTGTGTGGAGAAAATGATACTGAGGATAAAAGTGTTGAAAAGAGAACAGGAAAAGCGGAGAAAGAAAATGAGGGAAAGGAAGAGAGGAGGAAAAGAGGGAAAGCCACAGCACCAGAGGAGGGGAGTGGAGAGGTAGGGAGGAGGAGGAGAGGGAAGAGGAGGAGAGGGAAGAGGAGGAGAGGGAGGAGGAGAAGGAGAAGATGGAGGAGGAGGAGAGGGAAGAGGAAGAGGAGAGGAAGGACGAGGAGAAGAGCGAGGAGGAGGGGGAGAAGGAGGAGGAGATGGAGGAGGAGAGGGAGGAGGAGGAGAGGGAGGAGGAGGAGAGGGAGGAGGAAGAGAGGGAGGAGAGGGAGGAGGAAGTGGAGGAGGAAAGGGAGGAGGAGAGGGAGGAAGAGGAGGAGGAAAGGTAGGAGGAGAGGGAGGAGAGAGCATGAGGAGAGGGAGGAGGAGAGGGAGGCGGAGGAGAGGGAGGCAGGAGGAGGGAGGAGCAGAGGAGGGAGGAAGAGAGGAGGAAAAGAGGGAAAGCCACAGCACCAGAGGAGGGGAGTGGAGAGGTAGGGAGGAGGAGAGAGGAGGAGAGGGAGAAGAAGAGGGAGGAGGAGAGGGAGAAGGAGAGAGAGGAGGAGAGGGAGAAGGAGAGAGAGGAGAGGGAGAAGGAGAGGGAGGAGGAGAGGGAGAAGGAGAGGGAGGAGGAGAGGGAGAAGGAGAGGGAGGAGGAGGAGAGTGAGGAAGAGGAGAGACAGAGGAGGGAGGAAGAGGAGGAGGAGGAGGAGATGGAGGAGGAGGAGAGTGAGGAAGAAGAGAGAGGAGGGAGGAAGAGGAGAAGGAGGAGGAGGAGATGGAGGAGGAGGAGAGGGAGGAAGAGGAGAGGGAGAAGGAGGACAGGGAGGAGGTGAAGAGGAAGAGGAGGGAGGAGGAGAGGGAGAGGAGGGAGGAAGATGAGAAGGAGGAGGAGGAGATGGAGGAGGAGAGGGAGGAAGTGAAGGAGAGGGAGAAGGAGGACAGGGAGGAGGTGAAAAAGGAGAGGAGGGAGGAGGAGAGGGAGGAGGTGAAAAAGGAGAGGAGAGAGGAGGTGGAGAGGAGGGAGGAAGAGAAGAGGGAGGAAGAGGAGGAGGAGAGGGAGGAGGTGACGCCCCCTCCGCCTCACTCCTTGCCCACCTCCGAGTACACAGCTGGCTGCGGCTATCCCCCCGGGCCCAGCCCACCTATGCACACCTCTGAGTCTGCATTTTGCGGCGGTCTCCTCACTGACCATCCCTATAGCATCACAGAGACAGCGGCGTTACTGTAGGTCATGAACAGAAACGGCTCAAACAACTCAAGAAACACAGTTCTGGCCACGCCAGGCTTACTTGGTGAGCAGATGCCCTGTGAGGAACCCAGCCTGCAGGCCTGCGGGGGACACCATGACCCGGGCCTGGGGCAGGAAACCCTGGATGCCCCAGCAGGTACCCCAGGGCGTGGAGCTTCCGTCCAGGCTCCGTCCTGCCCTTGTGTGGGGACTGCCCCGAGGCTGCGCCCGCCTCAGCCCCACACCCAGGCTTGCTGTCCTGGGCGACTCCCTGCATGTGAGCGCCGGCTCCCGAGGACGAAGCCTTCCCAGCGCTGCTGTGTCCCCATGTGCCCCGGGCGTGCTCCACGCTCCTCTCCTCGAGGCATCGAGTCCTGTATTCAGGAAGCTTCTCACGCTGCCGCCTCCGCCCTGTGGGTTGAACTGCAAGGGTTTGTTTTCCTTCCATCCCTCGGCCCTGTCCATGCTGGTTGCACCTTCACTGTCCCCGTTATGCCTATGGGAGAATAGGGACTGCCCAGACCCAGCAGGGTGAGGTGAGGTAGCCTGGCCACTGCGGCTCATGAATTTGGGTGGAAACTGGGGTCCTGTGGATTTCTGTCCCTCTAAAGAGCAGCTCATATGACAGTAGCTGCCGCAGACCCGAAGGGTGAGAGCGAGTGGTTGCCACACACGGCGTCCTGCAGAGTGGCGCCATCTTCCCAAGTCACATCTGAGCCTACACTGCCGTGACGGAGTGAGGCGTTCCGAGACTGTTCGCGTTTTCATGAAACGTTTCTCCTTCCTGAGGACTGAGGGACTCCCTGGCATGTGGACGTTTTCAGGCCCTCAGACTCTGCTGACAGCAGTTAGGATGCAAGGCCACCTTCTCATCTTCCCTGACTTTGCTTTCATTGTGTCACTGTTCTCATCAAGAACTTTCAGAGACTCTGGCATGTAAGTAGCAGAAGAAGAGACCATGTTCCTTGACCAGTTATTATTTCAGGCCTTTTACCTCCACTCTGACTTGTCCTCATGGTTCCTCTAGAGGAAGCCTCCCCCGTCGGACTGGTCCTCTCATCTTTGGAAGCCTCCCCACTCGGACTGGTCCCCTCATCTTGGGCAGATTTCTACTTCCCATTGTTGACTCGAAGACCTCCCCTGTCGGGCGTGCCCTCTGCTGTACCATGAGGCTGAGTCACTCTGGGGTCCTGGATCCAGCCCAAGGCCAGCTTCCTAACCCCTTAACCGCAGTTACAGCTCTGAGCCCTGAGCCCACTTTTGCCGACACTGTCACCCTCCACGCACACTGTCTTGTGCACATGAGCCGGTGTGTGGTCTCACAACCTAGATTATGAACTGCGTGCAGAGATGGGGGGCTTACCATTTTCTTAAACTCACTGCAGCTCAACTTCCAGTGAAATCTTGGTTGGGAAGAATAATATTGACGTGGTTTATCCCTTCTAAACCCTCGCAGGCCCACCCTAGGATTCACCAGGCTTGACAGGCATGATGCCCAGGCCATGCTGGGCTCCTGCATAGCCATTTTTACTTGGCCTGAGGCCAGCAACCCTAGGCATTCCCTTGCCCTGTTGTATAAAGACATCATGGAGGATGGTGCATATTCTATTCAGCGCATCTCTGTGAGGACTCCTGGAACATTTCTTTTTTAATTTAAGAATAGCTATGATTTTCAAAAAATAGATTGTCTGTTTTTGTCATATAGACATTGTGGATCCTGTTCCTCTCTTCCCCGTGGCAGCTAGGGAGCTCACAGCCCCATCCGTAGCCAGCTCCTAGTAAGTAGGTCCGTGTCATGGGTTTTGCATACTAACCTCATTCTAGGCTCCAACTTATTTCCCATTCTTGTTTTCCCTATGTTTTCTTTTTGTCACCTCTTTTTAAATATGTGTTTACTTTGCTAACTTGTATGCATCTTTCTGGAATGAAGTGAGGTATAAATGAAAAAGCAAATTACTTAGTGCTCTGTATGACACTTAGGATGTGCTGTGTAGAGCTCTCAGTTGGAGTTTATTGATTCATTCACCAACTGACTTCAACTTGGATCAGTCCAGTTATTGTTACCATCATCACAAAGAGTCCAGAACTGGATGAGGCGGACACAAGCCCCACCAACCAGGACCTGGGGGCTGAGGTTCGGGAACAAAGACACCAATGGGCAGAGAAATTGAGGCTGAGGAAGATACAGCTCCAAGGAACAGAGGCAACACAGACAGAGGGAGGCACTGGGCCAAAGTCTGGGTGAGAGGGCCCTGGGCTTGGGTGGGAGGTACAGCAAGCCGCCTGGCCCCACAGCCCACTACATCTTTGTGAAGCTGATGTTGAGTGCATAGGGGCCCCTGGCCCTCGCAGCGGGCTGATGGAGAAAACTGAGCACGGGCTCTTCTCCCCAGATGAAGACACGGGTGGTGCTGGGAAGAGGCAGGTGGGCTTGAGCAAAGGCGTCTGTGGGGACTGCAGAGCTCGTCAGGGTAAGAGTCCCACGCATTGTAAGAACAGGTTTTCATCTCCTGGAGGTTGGGAGCCGCCTCTCTCCTGTTTGTTTTCTAGGCATGACTCCCACTCACAGAAGGGGCTGTGCTTGGTTTGTGCTTCTAATGTCCGCGTAGAGCTAAACCTCAGCTAAAGGCCAGCCGGAGCATGACCAAGGAGGCTTGTCCTGAAGAGAGAGGGGTCAGAAAAGCGGAGGTGGAGGACCCCTGCCTCCGTCTGCTGCGAGTGCCTAGAACGAGGTCCTCGCGATGAGCTGCTGGTTGGAAACTGTAGCATCTTGATGGTCCCAGCACTGAGGATGATGTGTGGACATCTGTGCAAGGCACCTTCTCACCCAGGCCTGGATCCAGTTCTGGGAGTTCTGGGAAGCTGGTTGTATCACTGCCCATTTACAGGGGAGCAGGCGGCCCAGGAAGACCCCGCCAGTACCCAGTGTACACCCGGAGTCGGCATGCAGCCTGGACCATATCACCCAGGCCTCCAGCTCCACGGCTCCAAGCCACACCCTGGACAGCCACCCGTGGCCTAGCAGCACATGGGACCTCGCACAAAGGAGCTGGGGCGCAGAGGCCAGAGAAGAAAGAAGATGCAAAAGCGACCAAAGACTCAATGTGTTTACGTGTTTGTTCAAAAAGATGTTCTCCCACCCCCCACAGGGGTCCCCCCAGACCCGGCCAAGAGACCCAACGCTGAGACCCAATGCCGAGAGCCTCGTGTGTCCTCTGGGGTCGCCCTGGGTGCCAGCTCCACCTGATTCATCCTAGAGAGAGTGTGGAGCTGAGGCCGCCCGCAGCAGGATTCGCCCAGGTCACAGTCGTTCACAGGCGGTTCCGGGAGCAGGAGCTGCACCTGGATCAGGGGCCTCTTTCCACTTCCTGCCCCAGGTCTCTGGGCAGCACTGAGCAGGACTCTGCTGGGCTCACACTGCAGCCACCATGGTCTGCGGGCCAGGGCTCTCACAAACTGTGTTTGTGTCTATGTGTGTCTCTGTTTGTGTCTGTGTATCTGTGTGTGTCTGTGTCTGTGTGTATGTGTGTGTGTGTATGTCTGTGTGTATGTGTGTGTCTGTGTCTATGTGTGTCTGTATGTCTGTGTGTTTGTGTGTCTGTGTATGTCTGTATGGGTGTCTGTGTGCGTCTGTGTCTGTGTGTATGTGTGTGTGTCTGTGTCTATGTGTGTCTCTGTGTATGTATGTGTGTCTGTGTCTGTGTATGTCTGTGCCTGTGTGTGTGTTTGTGTCTGTGTGTGTGTCTGTCTGTGTATGTGTATGTCTGTGTGTGTGTATCCATGTGTGTGTTTGTGTCTGTGTTCTGTGTGTGTATCTGTGTGTATTTCTATGTGTGGGTGTCTGTGCATCTGTGTGTGCGTGTGTCTGTGTATGTATCTGTGTGTGTTCATGTGTGTCCGTGTGTATGTGTGTGTGTCTGTCTGTATGTGTGTCTTTGTATGTGTCTGTGTGTGTCTCTGTGTGTTTGTCTGTGTGTGTTTGTGTCTGTGTCTGTGTGTGTTCATGTGTGCCTGTGTCTCCGTGTGTGTCTGTTTGTGTCTTGTGTCTGTGTGTTTCTGTGTCTGTGTCTGTGTGTTTGTGTCTGTGTCTGTGAGTGTGTGTCTGTGTCTGCATGTGTGTCTGTTTGTGTCTGTATCTGCGTCTGTTTGTGCGTCTGTGTGTGTTCGTGTGTGTCTGTGTGTTTGTGTGTCTGCATGTGTGTCTGTGTGTTTGTGTGTCTCTGACTGTGTGTGTGCACTGCCCTTTGCACTGCTTTGCCAGCACATTTTCCCTGTGCCGTGTGTGTCTTTCTCCTCCACTCAGTTGTAAGCTCCCTGAGGGCAGGGGCTGTGTCTCACTGCTCTGTGGAGTCCCAGATCCAGCACTCTGCACCCGTGACATGGTGGGTGGCTGTTAAATTGAGTTGGCAAAGAGGTGTCAGTGTCAGCTGCTGCAAGCCACAGAAGGGCATGAACTGGCAGCAGGTGGGATTAGTTTTATATCAGAGATGGAGACAGGGAATGGGGGGGCAGGTACCCCAGGAATCTATATCTGCATAGCAAATTATCCCAAATTGGAGAGCCCTGTTTTGCTCTCAGCTCTATAATCTGGTCAGGCATGACAGGGAAGTCTTGTTTCTGCTCCACTGGCATCAGCTGGAGTGGTCCAAGGGGGCTGGAGGGCTCGCCCCAAAGAGGGCTTGTCTACATAGCTGGCACATTGTGGTGGCAGTTGTGGAGCTCAGCCAGGGCTGTGGCTGGGAGCTCTGGGCCTCTGCATGTGGAGCCTCCACAAGGCTGCTTGGGCTTCCTCACAGAATGGCAGCGAGTTTCCCAAGAACAAGTGTCCCAAGAGAGGAAATGGGAGCTGCCAGTCTCTCGAGTCTGAGCCCAGAAGCCAGAAACTGGCAGGGCGTTACTTCTGCTGCCTCAACCGGCCAAGCGGGCCCACAGCCCCCGCACTCAGGTGGGGAGGACAGAGGTCTCACCTCGGGGGCAGGTGCATTCTGCTGCCTCAACTGGCCAAGCGGGCCCACAGCCCCCACACTCAGGTGGGGAGGACAGAGGTCTCACCTCGGGGGCAAGTGCGTCAGAGAATGTGTGGCCCTCTTCAGCACACCCAGCAATGAATCTGAATGCAGGCGCCTCATGACCTTGCTGTGTCTGGAGCTGGCTGAACGCTCTTCCCGAGGATGTCCGTCTACCCGAGCTGGAGGGATGTATTAGAGGATACGAAGGAAGATTTGATGCTTT